>NC_000008.11:63427265-64052265 GCF_000001405.40 Homo sapiens | reverse complement strand
ATACTTTGATATAAGAATATAATGTGTAATGATCAAATATGGGTAATTGGGATATACGTCACCTCAAACATTTATCATTTCTGGTTTTTGGGACCATTCCAAATCTCATTTAGGTGTTTTTAATTATACAATAAATTATTGCTAATTATAGTACCCCTATTGTGATATCAAACAGTAGCATATAGTCCTTCTATCTAATGTATTTTTGTACCCATTAACCAACCAGATTTTATCCTTCCCTTCTCTAATACACTTCCCAGCCTCTAATAACCACCATTCTATTCATTCTATTCACTACCTCTCTGAGATCACTGATCATTTTTTTTTTTAGCTTCAGCAAATGAGTGAGAACATGTGCTATTTGTCTTTCTGGGCCTGGCCTATTTTATTTAATATAATGCCCTCTAGTTCCTTCCATGTTGCTGTAAATGACAGGAACTCATTCTGTTTCTATGGCTGAATAATATTCCATTGCATGTGGTTATATATGTGTGTGTACACACACACACGCATATATATATCCATTGATCTATTAATGGAACTTGGATTGATTCAATACCTTGGCTATTACGAAAAGTGCTGCAATGAACATGAGATAAAATGCAGATATCTTTTTGATTACTGATTTCCCTTCTTTTGGATATACACCCAGCAGTGGGATTGCTGGATCATATGGTATTCTATTTTTAGTGTTTTGAGAAAAGTTCATACTGTTTTCCATAGTGGCTGCACTAATTTACATTTCCACTAACCATGTATAAGACTCGCCATTTTTCTGCTTCCTTGCTAGGATGTGTTATTTTCTGTCTTTTTGATAATAGCCATTTTAACTGGGATGAGATGATATTTCACTGTAGTTTTGATTTGCATTTCCCTAATAATTAGTGATGTTGAGCATTTTTTCATGTACCTGTTGGCCATTTGTATGTCTTCTTTTGAGAAATGTTTATTCAGATTTTTTACCCACTGTGTAATCAGATTATTTGTTTGTTGTTGAGTTGTTTGAGTTCCTTGTATATCCTGGTTACTAATCCCTTGTCAGATGGGTAGTTTTCAAATATTCTGTAGGCTGTATCTTCATTTTGTTGATTGTTTTCTTTGCTGTGCAGAAGCTTTTTAGCTTGATGTAATTACATTTCAAAATGTTTGTTTTGATTGACTGTGCTTTTGAGGTCTTACACAGAAAATCTTTGCTCAGACCAATGTCCTGGAGTATTTCCCTAATGCTTCCTTATAGCAGTTTCATGGTTTCAAGTATTACATTTAGGTCTTCAATTCATTTTGATTTTATTTTTGTATATAATGAGAGATCAGGGTCCAGTTTTATTCTTCTGCACATGCATATTCAATTTTCCTGTACAATTTATTGAACAGATTGTCCTTTCCCCAAATGTATGTTATTGGCACCTGTGTCAAAAATGAGTTGCCTGTAAATTTGTGGATTTATTTCTGGGTTCTGTATTATGTTCCATCAGTTTATACATCTGACTTTATGCCAGTACCATGCTGTTTTGGTTACTCTAATTTTGTAATATACTTTCAAGTCAGGTCATACGATGGCTCCAGCTTTGTTCTACTTGCTCAGGATGCTTTGAAAAGACTATTTTTGAAAAGTGTGCAAAGCAGTACTTATCTTCATTGTATTGAGATAGAGATAAAGTTTTTTTCTTTTGCACACTGAGTAGTAAAGCTTGCCTTGCATTTTAGTCCTCTTTAAAGAGTTTTATGTTTCAAGCAAAATTCTTTAATTTTCAGAATAGTAATTTGTATTTTGTCCTACAGCATGGTCAACATGACTCCCCATTTTCTTATATAATTTGGAGCTAAATTATCTCAGTCAGAGTTTGTGCTAATAAATTGATCTAATTAGTTTTTTCCCTATATAAACTAGCTAGGTTTGCTTTGTTTACTGTCCCAAATTGTACTCCAGTGGCCATTTTGAAGTTGTATTACATTTTTACACAAGGATGTCTTAACAAGGAAATGTGGATGTATTAGTGAAATTTACAAACTTTATTCCGAATAACAAATGTGCTTATGCTTTACTGTTGATGAAACAGTTATGTCATCTTCAAGTGTTAATTTTATGTAGTTTACCATCAGCCTTGTCTGCCTCTTCCTGTGGTGCCTTTTTGTAGGCACATGATGATGTGAAGCTCATCTAGGTGATTTACAGGCCAGCTGATGACACCTCTGTGTTCTATGTTCTATTTAAGGCTGCAGTAAAAAAAACTGTTGTGAGAGCTTTGTCTCTTGAGAAATGCCATGACCTATTTACTTTAGAAAGCACAGGTCCTACGATTTCTAGTAGGTCGGTGGATTTAAAACTTAGAAAAACTCTTTGTCCTGTTATAAATTCCTTAAATTGTGCATCTAAATACTATTTTACAACGTAGCAGAATCCCCATGGAGTCTCCGTTCTGCCCCTTCCCTAGTCATGCAGTTGCTCTCCCTTAGGACACCTGCTATTCTTCTATTTTGTATTCACCTAGAGACACATGGGCATATACAAGTATTTATAATAAAATATAAATCTATATATTTTTGCATTTCTATAACACAAAAGGTGGCATATTATACACAGTTTTGTGTCTTACTTTTTCCCTCTAATAATATATTTTTCATTTATTTCTATATTAATATGCAAAGAACTTCCTCATTTTTGTTGATAGCTGAATTGTATTGCATTCTCTGGGTATAATTTCAGCAATCACTGAGGTTGGTGAGTACTTAGGTTGCTTCCGCTTTGCTATTAGAAAATATTCTCTGTCATAAATATACTTGTATGTTATTTGAATGTGATAAAATTTATATCTGTAGGTTAAATCCTAATAGCTAGGAAATGCTAGTTCAAAAGGATGATGAGCTTTACATTTTGATACATACTGCCAAATTGCATTTCATCTAGGTTTCAACAATTTTCACTACTATCATTTAAGTAAAAGAAGATTTGTTTGTTTTCTGTCCATTTACCAATGCAGTATGTTACCAAATTCTTAATCTTTGTCAAATTGATAAAGTAAAAAATATAATCTCAGTATAGTTTTACTTTGCATTTCTCTCGTTATGAGCAAAACAACATGTTTTCTACTCTTGAACCATTTGCCCATTTTTCTGTTAGTTGGTTGGTTTTTCTTATTACTTTGAAAGATCAATTTATATATTAGGAAAGTTTGTTATTTTTTATAACACGAATTTTATATTTTCTCAAGTTGTCATTTGGCTTTGTTTTTTTTTTTTTCCATGCACAGATTGTTGATTTTTACATGGTTAACTTTATCAATATTTTCCTTTATGTTTAAGTCCTGGCTTTTCTCCATTGGACACAGCATGCCTTACAGTTTAAACTGGTCTTGCCTCAATCCCACGTCATGTTACAGCTATTTATAATCGGAAGATTAGATGCTTGTAAATTGATACCACAGAATTTCTTAGAAATCCGCTTTACTTTTTAAATCCTTTAAGATTTTTCTCTAACCTTATTTCAGCCTTAAAAATTGTTTTCAAAAAGGAAAGAAAGAAAAACTTTAACCTAATTCTGGTAGTATTTAAGTAAACTTGAATTTAATGAGGATTAAATAATCTTAAAACATATTTGTCAATCATAACTAGCATTCAAAATGTTGACTTTTTCTTTCCCTCTGGGTTGTATTTAACTACATGCAGCCAACCAATTTCTTTTTGGTGGTATTATAAGAAGATATATCTGTCAGGTAAAATTTTGAAAAGACTCCATGAAGGAGTCAACAAATATCACTTAAATTTGTGAATTTTCTTACAGCATCAAAGTAGATTTTTTTGTTTATTTGTTTCTGATATTTTATTTAAGATGTTATATCAAAATAAGTAATGTTAACCCCCCAAACAGAAAGAATTGATTAACTATTCACTTCAGGCTATTTATATAAAGATAAGAACTTTGTTGTAATTTTTATTCTTTGTGAAAGTAAAACAATATCATGAAGCTCATTTTTATGACCAGAAGTGAAAGAAGATAGACTATAGAAGCAGAGTCACTGTCCTGTGACTGAATATGAGACAAGAATTGATATTTGAAGTGTCCATGAGAAAACATGTACAGTATCTTGACACTTAAAGGAAGAGTTTTGACAATACCTGATATTATGATTTTGTTATCTGGATTGAAGTAAAGAATTCTTTATTGTCTATCTGACTTTATTTTTCCTTGCCAACAATTAAAAGCAGAGGAATTTTGCTCAATTTACCCAGGTGGATAAAATTGAAAAAGATAAATGAATAGAATTTTTACTATCCAAAGTTTGTGGGCTCCTGTCTATAGGCATGTATAGAAAAGTTATTAAATAAAAAAGTGTCTTTTATCAAATAAAAATAAAAGATACTATATTAAATACAAATTCTAAATAAACAAGTTCAGTGGGTCTTTGTGGGCCTCGCTGACAAAAATTTGACCAGATCAAGCTTCTGAATTAACTGTTCTTACAAAAAACACTTGCATTTGAAACTCTTTGCAGTCTTCGAAGCCAGGCCTTACTCCTAACTTAAGACAATGTAGGCAAAGGCGGGTGACTTACTGCCTGACCTTGAACAAGTCATGCCACTGATTGTAACTCTGGCCACTTGGCAGACTTGAAACAAAGAGACACTATATTCATTCTATTTGGAGGAGGATGTTACGTAGCCAGCTCTTAAAACTACTGAAATATTGATTTAACTTTCTTAGCACAAATTTCTGGCCCTATGGCATGTACCTGCTGACAGAGTACACTTATATTTGTCAATTTTGTGTGAGTGTGTGTGTCTTCTGTTTATGGAGACAACATACTTCACTGTATTTAAATTTGTTAAGTTTTCCTGGTATGTTGGTATTTAGGATGCTGTGAATAAAAAACGGTAATTCTCCTCTGCCTTAACAAAATCTGAATGTCAATTTTTTTAAAAAATCCCCTTTGTTAAAATTATTTCGTTTAAACATCATTCATTAACTCTGTGTAATTGATATACCTTAACACTTTATTTGCTACTCCAGCAGCATTTTTTTCCCCAAGGAAGGGTAAAAATGAATGAATATTCACACTTAACTTTTAGCTTCAGGCTAAAATGTATTATGCACTGTATTTTGGTTTTTAAAAATAATCACCTTGTCATAGTTCAATGGCAAAGTGAAGTCAACTCTGTCAACAGAGACAATTTCAGGGGGAAAAAACACTCCTCACCCCCTTGAGTATCATTTCATTTGAATGCTCCTGATTTTTTACCTGCTACTTTTTTTGGAACGCTCCATGGGACAATATAATGAAGTCTAAAATACCATGCACTGAAATCTCGTCTTTGCTGACAGCACGTAGCTGACAAGTACTGATGTTCTCATACATTGTCCCTATTTGAACACTATATCTTATGTACGTAGAATGCATGTCTAGAAGTTTCCTTTTAAATTCCACAAGCACAGAAAAAACCTGGATCCCCATATGTCTAACAATGTATTGCATGAATATATTAACACCATCACAACACCAACTGCTTTCATTGTTTTGCTGTAAATGGAATCACAGTCAGTATATACATCACTCAAAATTTATTTTTCAACATACCCTAGAGGAAAGCAAAAGCATTGATGAAAAAATATTAAGATAAAAATTAAAACAAAACTAGTGGACATCATCTATCATAGATCTTGGCAGTTGGATACAACTGACATGATTTTGTGTAAAGGTAACAGGGTTGCAGAGCAAATTTGGGTTCTATTCTTTAAAATTTGCTCTCAAAGAAAGATAAAAAAAGGTTGCCATAATTTAGTATTGATATTTTAGAGGCTAAGCACATTTTAATTTCCCTCTGTCTGAAACAGATTGAATAAATTAAGATTATCCTTCATCATGTGAATATAATTAACCTAGGTTTTTCCTTTAATGTTTTATTTTTGCCCTGGTCCTTGTGCCCTGTGTGAAGCACGTGAGCTCTCAGGGCTTGGGATGGCCATGGCCACTGTCCACTAAGCATGCCCAGCCTCCTCCTACCCACAGCATGTTCTGAGGTCATGTGAGATTTGTAGAGACTTTGAGGCTTTCAGAAGAAAAGCTCAATGTGAATTCAAGTGGCAGTCACTGCCAAGACTTAAATATACTGCATCTAAGAAAATCTTTGGTTTGATACTCTTTTCTTAAGTTTTAGGAGAAAAAGTTGAGAAAATTCATATTATGACAGGAGGCCAAAAGCCAACAGTAGTTCAAAATAGTTGATCCAAGAAAGAAATTGTATTGAGCTATGGTAAATGAGCAAAGTAAGAATAACTTCAGTGAATTTTGTAAAGGTCAAAGACAACTTTGTAGACAAAAGTCCCAAACTGCCTGTGTTCTGCAGCTCCTGGTGTAGTTTTTTCTTGTAGAATTCTGTATATGTGAACCTACTTTTTTAGGAGATTGTAATAAAAGCCACCAAAGCAATTTTGGACCACTGCACAAATTAGTAAGTATATGTATTTTATATATTATATATATATACACATACACACACACTATATATATGCACACTATACACTATATAGATACACACTATATATATATGCACTATATTTTATGAAGCAAAATTACATTATGTATAATTTTTTCCATATATAATATATGTATACAATTTTTCTAAATATATATTATATATATATTTAAAGAGAGAGAGAGCTTTGTAAATGCCAAATAAATACACAACTTGAGGGGCATTATGTTGGTGCTGATTACTTTTAAATTTCATTTACAAACTCATAAACTTTCTAGACAGAGTGAGGAAGATATGTAGATAGTATGATATTGTCAACGTGAGAGAGATGAATGAATTAAGAATATTTTTGTCCTGGTTTAAAACGGCCATCAGTTATATATTACTTAACAACATCCAGTTAGGTGGTCAATTATAGATTGCTCATTTCTTCACATCATGTATTCTTTTTCTTCCAATATAGTTTATTATCATAAGAAACTCTTTGTGCTATTTGAGAACAAAGGGGGTGAAAATTATATTTCAGAATATTCTTTGAGTACCCATTCCCTCCTACCTCCTCAACTCTCCTTATGAAGCTCTTTGGGTATATCTCTGTCACGACACTAATAACACTGATTGGAATTGTGTGTTTAGAAATCTTTCTCCTAGAGGACAAAGACTACTTCTAATGCAGTGTGTGGTAATTAAGTAAGTTCTATTGAATTGAACTGAGTGTTGTCCTTATGCTCAAGAAATATCACTAAGAAGTCATTCTCAACAGGAAGATTATGAAACTTAAGTAGACGTTTAGGAGAGCAGGCATTGACATTCCTTAAACTATTAGGTAAGCATGGTCTGCATTAATAAATGTGTATCATGAAAACATAATAATGTAACTACTGTTGAGGCCACATTTGGAGTAATACCTCTATTTCTAAGCAATACATTTTGGAAAATTGTTAGTGTACAGTGTAACTGGAGAAAGAATCCAAGAAGCTCGAAAAGCTCAACCTGGAGAAGGCTTTGTGGAACAGTATCTTTATTTCTCTTTGGTCAGTGTTTTTCTTTCTTTCCTTTCTTTCTTTCTTTCTTTCTTTCTTTCTTTCTTTCTTTCTTTTTTTCTTTCTTTCTTTCTTTTTCTTTCCTTCCTTCCTTCCTCCCTCCCTCCCTCCCTACCTCCCTCTCTTTCTTTCTTTCTTTCTTTCCTTTTCTTCCTTTTCCTTTCTTTCTCTTTCTTCTTTCTCTCTTTCTCTCCCTTTCTTTACTTTCTTTCTCTTTCTTTTTCTTTCTTTCTTTCTTCTTTCTCTCTCTCACTCCCTTTTTCTTTCTCTCTCTTTCTTTCCTTCTTTCTTCTTTCTTTGTTTCTCTTTCCCCTTCCCTTCCCTTCCCTTTCTTTCTTTCTTTTCCTTTTTCTTTTTCCTTTTTTTTTTTTTTTTTTGGCAAAGTTTTGCTCTGTCCCCCGGGCTGGAATGTAGTGGCACAATCTCAGCTCACTGTAGCCTCAAACTCCTGGGCTCAAGCAATCCTTCCATACCACCCTCTTGACTACAGGCATGTGCCACCACATCCAGTTAATTTTTATATTTTTTTGTAGACATAAGTTTTCACCATGTTGCCCAGGCTGATCTCAAACTCCTGGCCTCAAGCATTCTTCCCACCTAACCTCCCATAGTGCTGGGATTATAGGTGTGAGCCACTGTGCCTGGCTTGGTCAGTTTTTTATGGAGCAAAATTACATTTTTTATGACCCTAGAGAAAAGAGTTAAGAGTGGTATAGTTAAATAGAAGCACATTGGGCTGTACATAAGAAATAAGTTTTTATTTTTTAGTGCTCTCAGTGTTTTAAATAAAAATAAATATAAAATTCCATCTACCATTATCATTTATTAATGTAACAATGTCTTCACAGAAGACAATAAAATAGACATAATCTCATTTTAAAGGTGTTTCCTTTCATATTAGTAAATTTAACTGTAAGAAAATCTCAGGACATCATCCTTATTTTTTTTCAATTTGATCTAGGGACTACATTTGGGAGCTGTTTGCCCTAATTACATTACTTTCTTCTCTCTCTGAGTCTTTAATTCCATGAATTCAACACAAGGGCAAAAGATAACTGATACTAGTGGTTTTAAATTTAAGAAATATTTAAGTTATTTGTAGTTTGAAATTGTCTTTAGTCCCATATTAATGGCTAAGCAAAACATTATTCTCCTAGAACTGAAAGAGAAATGTAGGGTCTTTAGTCCCTTATTAATGGCTAAGCAAAACATTATTCTCCTAGAACTGAAAGAGAAATGTAGGGTCTTTAGTCCATTATTAATGGCTAAGCAAAACATTATTCTCCTAGAACTGAAAGAGAAAAACAGTTGTCACTTGCTTAAAGCTCTGGAGCATGCATCAGGATGTTTCTTCTCTTTGTATTAGGCTCTATTTAGGTGTCAATGCAAATAATTTGGTAAAATGGACTTTTCTGCATTCTCATTTTCTCTTCAGTCTTTCAATGGGCATGAACTGGAATGGTAGGCCATCATTTATATAGGAGAATTAGTAAACTCTAGATAAATGCTTTAAAGTCTTAAGAATTGAAGAATGTAGTCAGTATTTTTCAAATATCCAAAAGCCATTTTCAGCTTCAGAAAGAAGTGCAAAGCTACACAGAGAGTTAATGTCTTCTTCCACTGGAGAGAAGCTACTGTTATATACAACAGTAACTAAAAGAAAATTTATTTAATTTATTATTTCAATTTACAGAAGTGCATCCACAGACCAGACCTCAGTGTAACACAGAGTATATATTTCATTTCAGTAAAGAAAGATTAAACTGAATCAATATTTGAAGGACCCAGGCACAGTATGAAGGTCAACAGACTCCGGATCATTCGATCTACCCTGCATATTTGTATATTTGTGTGAATGTGTGAGTATGTGTGCAGTACTCATTGACTTGTGTATTTTAAAGGGACACTTTTAGGGGTGTTATAATCTGACTACCCAAGCCTGTCTCTGAAATGCCATGCGTAATCAATCCCTAGCTCCCTCCTCTGTCATCCACGTGTAGCCTGATTGTTGCTTAAAGCAAATGCATTAATTTTAGGGCCTTGTTCTTTATTTTATGGACCAAATAATTTTTACATTCAAAACAAGTCATTTAATTCTGGGTTGCAGTTTAATGTGGTTTATTGGAATATTGTGAATAAGGTTTGATGTTTCTTTAAAATCTTCCTTTAAGAGAGTGCATGCCACTTTCTTTTTTCGCATTTCCATGAAGTTCCCGGAATTTAAATAGCAGCTATATCAATCAATAATCTTGTTTAACCATCCCAAACTCTTGGTTTCTATTATGTACTCGGTCTAATCCTGTTTTTATGTGCACAGTAATATATAATTTCTCACTGAGTCATCACAAAAGCAACACAATAAATCCAGCAGAGAAAGATAATCAGTGTTAATAGAGGATCATCCCAAAGCTATCATGATTTGAACTCCTTGCCAAGTTAAGTAGAAGGATATCATACAAAATGAGTCTTCTTTAAGGAGAGATGTTCTGAGATCCAACTTAGGTTTATTAAATTCAAGATCAGTCCTAGATCATGGTACTCTTTTTTCAGGTCTTTATTTTTGTGTTTGTTTTTCCCTCCTGTTTTTTTTTTTTTTTCCTCAAAACCTACCATATTTTCGGCATTTTGTTTTGTTTTTGTTTTTTTTTCCTTAGATTCAGAATCAGAGTTATACCATAGCACTCAGAAGAGCAGTGCAAAATATCTAATTGCAGTTCCAGGACAAGATCAAAGCTGTCTATGTAAAAGTTAGTGAAAACCATGAGGTAGTTTGAAGGCAGCTTTCCAGGACTCTTTCATGGTATGGCACTGGGGTTCTGAGATAGTCATTCAGAATGGGATTAGAAAAATGAAATTGTCTCCAACTGAAGAGTGTGTGTACTTACTGTCATCTTTATCTTAAAACTCCCTTTTTCTGAGGTGTAGCCAAGCTGTTGTTTGAAAACCAACCAAAGTAATGTGTTAGACTCTTACTAACTAAAAAGCTCCTAAATACAATCATGTCTAGAACATAGTTTTATTTCAAGGTCATTTATGTGCGTTGTTTGGAATAAAAAAGAAATATTCTAATAAAATTGTTTAAAATTTCATTTTAAATTGATATTTCTCTGTTGAGAAGATTTGGGTATTCTGGACTTTTTAGCAGATCTATGTCATTTTCTCTTGAGTGTAGGAAATTTTCCAAAATTTAAGGCATGATTTTTTATAGCAGATGCTAATCCATGTTTTCAAATAAGTATTTCAGAGAGTTTTTCTTTTTCATCCTTAATAATTTTCTTACTCTTTTGACTCTAGACTCTAAATAGACTCTACCTCAATCAAAGAACCTGAGGCCATATAGACAAAGGGACTGTTAGGTCTGCAAAGGTAGAGGAGAATGGAAAATTGATTAAAAATATACAAGGGATTCACTTAGCAGATAAGGTGAAAAGTGAATTTAAGGCATTATCTGGAGAAGGTGCAAGAAAACTACGCTTAAGGGTTGAGTGGGAGCATTCTTACAGTATTCTAGAAGAACTTTTGTTCTAATAAACCAAACAAGAATCTATATGGAAGAGTCACTTCTGTGGCCTTAACTTGTACATAAAAATTAAAATCCCAAAGGCACTTATCTTATTTCCATTATTTATAGATTATAATTTGATATGCTGGAAAGTACATTAAAATACAACTATTTTATTAGATTTTAACAATTTTAACTGGTTCAGCAAATGCCTAACGTCTTCTCTCTTCCTAGGATAATCTTTTCTCAGATGGAAATATTTAAGTGGATTATAATCTTTTATTTTACCTATAAAATCATTACCTTTTCTTTTACCTATAAAATTATTACCAGTGGCTGTTCATTTCTTTGGAGTTATGAATTCATTTAGAAGCCCAATCAATGGTTCAGTTCCTGCCCCAGATGCTCACATACAGACACAATTTTGGAAACAATTCAATGGGCTTTGTTAAATCCTCAAAGTTTATCTGTGAATACAATAGAAGACTGTAGGTTAGGTGCCAGTTTACCATGACTAAAGGAGGCTTTCTTTGTGCTTTGGAAGTAAAAAATAGCCAACAAGGCACTCAATCCTGGCTGTAGTCTTTAGAAATTATGTCACTTATGGGTCTGTAATGAATGTTCAGAGTTTTTGGGGTTACACCAACTTTGATTTTAATGCAAAACTTCTTTATTGCTACCCTTTGCTGCATTTATCTGAGAAGTAAGAATAATTATCAACGTACATTCCAAATGAAATTCAAGTTAATTTCTATTAGTGACAGGATGAACAATATCATATGTAAACAAAAAAAGACTACCTAATTAAAAGATTTCTGAAAGAGATTTCAATTTTCTAAATGTTAGTGCTCGTACAAAATAATATGTCTCAATTGAGGCAGCTTACATCATTGCCAAGTTTCTGTCATTTGGCAGGTTGCTCCAACATTTAAATTCAAATATTCAACAAAAAGAACTCTACAGAAAAGGACATCTTTTTGAATAAATACAGTCTTACCTGACATTCACATATGAAGTAAACTATTGCCCCACCCCAGTTATCATTGGATGGCCAGTTAATCAGTCAATAAATATTGATTACTTACTATGTCCTAGGCATTAAGGTATGGTGTATAATCTTTGTCTTAAATGGCTGTTTTCTACTGGAATGACAAGTAAGATTTAATGTGATAATGTAATATCGGGGCAATATGAGACCAAATCTAGTCCCTCACCTAGGCTCAGGTTTTAGGGAAGATTTAATGACATGGTCATATCTAAATATAGATAAAAGGATGAACAGGACATAGGATGAAAAAGGCAAAGGTATTTGGGGAAATGAGAATGGGATTGGAAAAGCTGGTCTGGACTTTAAGAGAAACATATAACAGATATGGAGTCCAGAAAGCTAAGCATTTTGATTTCAAGAAAAAATATGAAACTACTACAGAGTTTTAGACAGAAGAATGATGTGAACTATTCTGAAGTTTAGCAACCTCATTCTGGCTGCCATAGAAAATAGAAAGTCAGATGCCATTACAGAATTGCAGGTGAAAAATACTGATGTCCTGAGTAAAGGGTAGCTAATGGGCAAGAGTGGAATCAAAGTTAGTAGCTGAATGGTTTTGGATGGAGATCAAAGAGTAAAACATGATTCTCTGATTTCTGTTTTATGTGACTTGATAAATGGTGCAACAATTTACAATGAGAGACATCAAAGAAGAGATGTTTTATGGAAAGATGAGATTATATTGAAATATGTTGATTTGGAGTTGAACGTGGAAAGTGCACACAGAGATGCCTAGTTAATCATGAAATATGTGAGTTTGCTGTTGTGGGTAAGGCCTGTACTCTCTCTATATAGGTATAGTGTTATTATTAATATATACATAGATAGGCTGGGCATGGTGGTTCATGCCTGTAATCCCAGCACTTTGGGAAGCTGAGGCGGGCAGATCACCTGAGGTCAGGAATTCAAGACCAGCCTGGCCAACATGGAAAAAACCCATCTCTATTAAAAATACAAAAAAATTAGCCAGGCATAGTGGCACACACCTGGAATCCCAGCCACTTAGGAGGCTGAGGCAAGAGAATCGCTTGAACCCAGGAAGCAGAGGTTGCAGTGAGCCGAGATCGCACCACTGCACTCTAGCCTGGGTGACAGAGTGGGACTCTGTCTCTCTCTCTCTCTCTCATATATATATATATATATATATATATATATATATATATATATATATATATATATGTTTGTGTGTGTGTGTGTGTGTATGTATACATATACATAGATAACTGAAGTGATAGAAAGGGATGAGATCCACCAGAAACAGTGGAGGGAAAGATGGACAGAGAACGGAGGAAGGAGAAGGGAGACAGAGGACAAGGAGGAGAAGGGAAGATGTAGATAAGATCAGATTCAAGGGCATAAATCTGCAAGTATCAGCCTTTTAAAAAATAAGTAAAAGAAAATAAGTTCAAAAGAGAAGGTTTGGGAGAAACAACCAGAAAGGTAAGAAAGAGCCTACTCGGTTGCCCTGATGCTAAGAAAAATTAAGGTTTTAGGAAGTTAAGAGTAACAGTGTTAATTGTCTTAGTCTGTTCAGACTGCTATAACAAAATACCATAAACAGGTAGCTTATAACAACAGAAATTGATTTCTCACAGATTTGGAGGCCGGGAAGTCCAAGTTGAAGGCACCAGCAGATACACTGTTTGGTGTGGATCCACTTTCTGATTCATAGAGTGGTGCCTTTTCACAGTGCCCTCAATGGTAGAAAAAGCAAGGCAACTCTCTGGAGCCTCTTTTATAAGTGCATTAATCCCATTTATGAAGAGTCTTCCCTCATGACCTAATCACCTCTTAAAAGGCCCTCCTAATACCATCACCTGAGGGCTAGGATTACAACATATACATTTTGGCTGTGGAGATGTTGGGGAACGGTGTATATTTTGACCACAGCAGTTATATCCTACAGAGATGTCATATTCCAGTTCAGGTAAGAATGAACAGGAATCATCAGATTAATTGAAAAAAAATTATAAATATCCCTGATAGATAAAGGCCTCTAATGAAAGTGGAAGCCAAAATATCATAGGTTGAGGAATGGAAAGTGAGGAATTGAAGGCAGTGAATGGAAACTACTCTCTCAAGCAGGCTGGTTGCTAAGTAGAGGACAATCACCAGAGGAAAGTGTTCGTTTAAAAAAAGATATCTTCTAACTGTTGCTCAAAAGAGCTGAACTTTTTCATATACACAAAGCAAAATGCTACCAATTGTGTGTTATTACCGAACTTAAACCATTTAATATAGCTCTGAGACTTGTTAGGTTTCCCATATTTTGTTTTCCCACCCTTGTTATGAAAACCAGGAAGTCTACAGTCATTGTGCATACTATTTGGCTCTTATTTTCATGTATAATATCAAGTTTGGATACAAGAATCAGAAGTAGATAAAAAGAAGAGAAACAAAAGCACATATTTTTTTGAATCAGCTGAGGTTCTCCCCAAATAATGAAATAAAGCATATAAAGAAATGAGAGTGCCTGTTCTCTTTTATTTATTATTTCAAACTGGCTTGAAAGCCTGATCAATTGAGCATTAGCCTTCAAACCAGCGAAAGGCTCAGAATAATAAAGTGAGTTCAGATAGGACAAAATCTCCCAGTTTGTTGAGTTCCAGTAAGCAGCACCATGATTGGTTAAGGTGGCTCTCCATTCTAAAGGTCAGCAAAGTCTTGCTGTCAGTGCCGTGCTGCAACTACAAAGCACAAAGATTCTGATAATCAATGTTTTAATCTTTGTTAGTAAAATCATGGGCTGAATTCTGCACCCAGTGTTGACCTGTGTTTGTAATTGTGTAAGCTGATGAGCTAAAAGATTTGTCAAGGTATTATTTCTCACCTTTTAGAAATTTTAATTCATTGGTCACCTTGTTGAGTGTGCCATACCCTGATCCTACAGCAAAAAGCTAATTAATATAATTAGTCAAACATTCTTTGATCATTTGAGTTAAAATAAGGGAAGTGATCTAACAGGTTTTAAACACTATTTTCAGTAAAATTAATCAAATTAGCATCTAAATTATGTTTTCTTTTGATTTTCATTAGTTAAATCATTTAACATACATTATTATAATGGCCTTTGATAGCTCTATTTTATTTTATTTATCATTATTATTTTTTGTGACAGGGTTTCACTCTGTCACCCAGGCTGGAGTACAGTGGCACCATCATGGCTCACTGCAGCTTTAACCTTTTGAGCTCAGGTGATCCTCACACCTCAGCCTCCTGAGGAGTTAGAACTATAGGCACATGCCATCACACCTGTCTAATTCTTTTTTTTTTTTTTTTAGAGATGGGGTTTTGCCATGTTGCCCAGGGTGCTTTTGAATTTCTAGGCTCAAGCAATCCTCCTAGCTAAGCCTCCCAAAGTGCTGGGATTACAGAGATATCTGTATTTTCATGGCTTGCATTTTTTTTTTGTTAATAATATGGAATGAAGCTATAGCATACAAATTCTCTACATTTTTACCTGTCTCTCTCCCAACCCCTATTTATATTATTAGTGTCACAATTTACATATACTTAATATGGTATAAAAATCAACCAAATAGTGTAGCTGTAGTTATTATTTTTTAAAAATTTTATATTCAGGGGTGCTATAGTTTTCAGTGCTTTTGTCTTTCTATTGTCCTTAAAAGTGATTTATATTCTACCATTTCAGTATTAGAGTATTCTGAATTTGACTATATATTTACCTCCACCAGCACATTTTATAGTTTCATATGTTTTCATATTACTAAATAGTATCCTTTAATTTCAGCTTGAAGAACTCCCTTTACTATTTCTTGTAAAACAGGTTCTGTGATGTCAAACTCCTTCAACTTTTGTTTTCCTGGGAAGGTCTTTTATCTCTCCTTCATTGCTGAAGGACAACTTTGCGGATAAAGTATTCTTGATTGAAAGTTTCGTTTGTTTGCTTGTTGTTTGTTTGTTTTTTTGCTTTCAGATCTTGGAATATATCATCTCACTCTCTCCTAGGATTCAAGGTTTCTTTGGAGAAATCTACTGATAAATTTACGGATGTTTCCTTGTATGTGGCATGTTGTTTTTTATTTGCTGCTTTCAAAATTCTCTGTCTTTGACTTTTGACAATTTGATTAAGTGCCTCATTGAAGTTCCCTTTGGATTAAATCTGTTTGAGAACACTTGAGCTTCATGGATCTGAATATTCATGTCATTACCAAGATTTAGGAAATTTTTAGCAATTATTTCTTTAAATACATTTTCTGACTCTCACTCTTTTCTCTTTCTTGGTTACTTCTAAGGCACATGCTGGTTTACTTGATGATATCATGTAAGTCCTGTAGGCTTTCTTTACTCTTTTTTATTCTTATATTATTTTCTCCTCTGAATAATTTCAAAAGATCTGTCTTTGAGGTCGCAATTTCTTTCTTCTGCTTAACTATAGATGCTCTTTATTGCATTTTTTTTTGTTTCAGTCATTGTGTTACTCAGTTTCAGAATTTCTGTTTGATTCATTTTTATGATTTCTATCTCTGTTGAGCTTCTCAGTCTGTTGCTATTTTGCCTTATTGATTTCATTTAGCCATCTATCTGTGTTCTTTTGCATCTTGCTAAGACTTCTTATAATAATTATTTTGAATTCTTTCTCAGGTAACTCATAAATTTCCATTATTACTTCAAGGACACTTACTGGAAAATTATTTTTTTGGGTAGCATAATGTTTCCTTCCTTTTTTTTGTTTGTCACTAATTGCCTTTCATTTATTTCCATGCGTTTGAGAGAACAATCACCTCTTGCAGCCTTTTTGAACTAGATTCAGTTGTCAAAATATTTCCCCAGTGGGTGGCTATGAGATTATCAGCTGGTGGGGTGCAGCATCTCTGCCTTGAGGTAAGGTGCAGCAACGTGATCTCCATGCAGCTCCATCAGCTGAGGTCAATGTCTGTGAAGACTGCAGGGATCCTTGGCAGGAAAGGCTGTAGGTGCCTGCAATGGCATTAATGGGTAGGGATGTTGGGGTCCTCAGTGGTGAGGGCTACTGGGATCCTTTTCTCTTTTCACCCTATGCGGGGAAGTTCTAGCCAAGGGGATTCTTTGTGGCATCAGATCTGGTGTGCATATGGAGATCACCTACAAAGGTAGGGTCTGAGGCCATGAGGGGATAGCATACAGCGGTGGCATGGGCCTGGGGATGACAGACTGAGCAGAGAGACCTGGTTACTGGGGGACAGGCTCAGTGGCAGTGTGGTCCTGGTGATGATGGGTTGTAACCATAACTCAGCCTCAGGGGGTAAGGTAGATGGCCTCAGTGGCAGCATAGTCACAGCTGGGACTTAGACCCTAGGGCACAGGGGACAGAGAAGCCCTAGATGTAACATCTGTATATAAAATAGTTACTTGGGACTTTTATTGATTATTATATACTCAAAGTGTTCTTATAAAATACCATTTTCAATGGTTCCTATAGCAGTTGCCTTTAAAGTGTTTAAATATTGTTATGTCATATGAAATTTTGATGATTTGATTTTGATTTTTAGCCTCATTATATTTAATATCACCTTTAAAATATGAAGTGAAATACATGTGTGTGTGTGTATACAGTCATATGTTGCTTAACAATGGGGATATATTATTAGAAATGTGTTCTTAAGTGATTTTGTCACAGTGTGAACACAACAGAATGTATTTACACAAACCTAGATGATATAGCTTACCATACACCTGGGATGTATGATATAGCCTGTTGTTTCTAGGTTACCAACCTGGATAGCATGTTACTGTACTAAATACTGTAGGCAGTGGTAACACAAAGGTAAGTAGTTGTGTATCTAAACATAGAAAAAGTACAGTAAAAATATAGTGTAAAAGATAAAAAAAGATACACCTGCATAGGGAACTTACCATGAATAGAGCTTGCAGGACTGGAAATTGCTCTGGGTAAATTAGAGAATGAGTGGTGAGCAAATGTGAAGTCTAGGACATTACTGTACACTACTCTAGCTTTTATAAAAACTGTACACTTAGCTTACATTAAATTTATTAAAAAACTTTCTTCTATAATAAACTAACCTTCACTTACTCTAACTTTTTAACTTTTATACTTTTCACTTTGTTAAAACTTTTTGAGTCTTTTATAATAATAAATTATGCTTAGCTAAAAACAAACACAACTGTACAAAAATATTTCCTTCTTTATATCCTTACTCTAAAAGCTTTTTAATTTCTAAATTAATATTTTTTAACTTTCTAAACTGTTTTGCTCAAAACTAAGACCCAAACACACATATCAGCTAGGCCTACACAGAGCCAGGATTATCAATATCACTTTCTTCACCCTCCGTATTACATCTTGTCCCACTGGCAGGTCTTCAGGTAGGATAACAAGCATGGAGCTGCCATCTCCTAGGATAACAATGCCTTCTTCTGGATACCTCCTGAAGGACCTGCCTGAGGCTGTTTTTCAGTTATCTTTTGTTGTTTCATAAATAAAAGGGGAATATTCTAAAATAATGATGAAAAGTATTGTATAGTAAGTATAAAAATCAGTAACATAGTCACTTATCATTATCAAGTATTATGCATTGTACATGATTGTATGTGCTGAACTTTTTTATACATCTGGAATGGCAGTAGGTATGTTTACACCAGCATCACCACAAACATTGAGTAACGTGTTGTACTGGCTATCCATGGCTCTGAGTAATATGTTATGATGGCTATGATGTCACCAGGTGACAGGAATTTTTCAGCTCTATTATAATCTTATGAGACCACTGTCCTGTATGCAGTCTGTCATTGACTGAAATATTGTTATGTGGCACATGGCTGTGTGTATATAAGTGTGTGCATATACACACATAATTAAACATATGTGCACTGGATGTAAATACGTATGCGAATGTGAACACATGCACTTACATACCTACACATATATGTATGTATGTATACATGTGTACACATACACATTATACACATATATGCTATTATAAAATTCATGTGTGGGTATTCCCTTATATTTTAACAATGGAAGTGTAAAAATTTTAAAATAATAAAATGTAAAGAGAAATAAAATGACTGACAGGTAATTATTAATTTGGACAATAATTTTTTCTTTTTAATGACATCTAACATTAAAATACCTCAAATCCATCTTGAGATGGCACATAGTTTATGTATGAGACTAACATATTATCTGTTCCTCCTGAAAGAAGGATAAAGGAATATCTACATAAACTGATATTAATGTCATAATGGACTCCATTGAAGAGAAGGGATAATTGGCAATTCTGAATTTTATTGTTATGAAGATGTTACTCTTCTAAGCCCCTTATGATTATATTTTAGTGTTGAATTTTGTAACAATTTTGATCAAAATAGTGGTAATGACTACATCTATAAAACTATTGTCCAAATGTTTTGATCAGTTTCAACAAAAATTGTTTGTTCAGAGATATAAATATGGACAATCATCAATGAGATTTCATTAGATACATGATTTACTCTCTCTCTCTCTCTCTCTCTCTCTCGTGTGTGTGTGTGTGTGTGTGTGTGTGTGTGTGTGTTTTAATCCATTAGAAGATTTAGTCTGGTCGGCCTGACATAAGGGTGATAGGTTTCTATCTCTTAGTCTAATTAACACCTTTAATCTTTTTTAATGGTTGGGCAGTCTCTCTTTGGTTTTGAGGCATGCTAGAGATAAAAGCATAGGAGGATGGAGGTTAATCCTTCCTGTATATTATTTCTTAATTTCTGCCACAGAGATTCTCTTTCCATGGTGGCTATTTATTCAGAAGCCCTGACAATATGATTTGAGTAAAAGACAACAGACAGTTGGCTTAGAACTATCATTCAATACTACTCAGATGTTAAATTATAGAGGCTGTTATTCATTTAACAACTGTTAAATGAACACATCTCCAGTATCTTACATGTCTTTTTTATCATTATGCTTAAGAAATGAATCAAATTAATGCTTTTAGAATTTATGTTGGACTGAAGTAGCACCATTCCTAGAAATATTCTAACAAAATGACAATAAAATAATGGAAAACAGCCCCAGACCTAATCAAGTATTTACAAGGAAATACTAGCTTATTGATTATGACTCATTTTTATCACTAATATGAAGACAATTAAATATCCTATGGTACATAATAAAAAACACAGTAACTAAAATTTGACATTCACTAAGAGATTTGACTTTAGAATTAGGATTTTAAATGTGTTAATATGTCTTCTGTGAGATAAAACGTTTCAATCATTTCCTCCCTTGAAATACTTTACGATTTTCTTTTTAGAATTTTGAAAAAAACTCACAAACACTTTGTTTGTGGAAATGGGCTGTCCTTTAGAAGCTTCAATTAGAGTTTTAAGCAAACAATAGATTTGTAAGTATTTTGAGACTAAATTGAGCCCCTTCAATAGATTTTTATGACTTAGGATTGTAGCTCAGACAAATATATAAGACCATCTTTAACCAATTTTGCTTTAATTGAACCAATATGCTATCTCTCCAGAATTGTAGTTAAGGAGAAACTTTTCAAAATAAACTTTTTTTAAAAAAATGGAATTAAAATATTAATATTGTCAATTTGAAAATCACTATTAAAATAAATATTCCTGCATTATACACACATGCACATTCTACAGATCTTTAAATAACTTTAGGTAGAAAAATTCAGAGGTCAAAAAAGTGCTAATCAAACATTTTTAAATGAGACAAATTCCTTGGGGAAAATACAAATATAGGTAAATTATAAAATAAAACATTTTTGGAATTGTTTATTTTCAGAATCCATGTGAAAATATATGTGTGGAACACACTTGCAAAGAAAATATCATAATCAGCTATGCCTTTACTTCCTGTTATAGGCAAGGCTATCATTCTGCATATAAAGTTGTATAAGGTAAAAGTATATTAGTCTAAAAGAGATTTATTTTCTTCTCAAAATATTCCTTTTAGAGATCTGTGAGGAAAACAAAGAATAAAGAATAATGAAAGTCTAATGAATGAGACTGAATATTATTTCTTTGATTTTTCATAAACCTAACTTTTCCAGTAGAAATCAATGATTATTATTCATTTTCCCTTTCTTTATATGTTGTTCTGACTATGCAAGTTTTATGTGCTCATTGTAGAAAATCTGTTACATACAAAATGCATTTGTTCACCCTTCATCTTCTTCTACCATTCTTCTTATTAGCTACTTGCCTTGACCTGCTAGAAGAACAGCTCAAGTCAGTTTCTTTATCCAAGGAATGAAGATGAAACTGCCTGAAATCATGTGTGTGAAAACAAAATGTAATATTTGTAAAGTTCCCAGGACACAGATTGAACTCAGCAAATGTTAAGATCTCCCTATTTTAGAGGTTTCCTATGCTATATGTAGCTTTATATGACATTTATCTACTTGTGTTAGTTATAATGACCTGAATACCATAGGATTGCTTTTGGAAATCAGAAAACTATGATACTAATAAGTACTGTATTACCTTTCTCAATGAAGACTCTGTCTTTGCTCTTCTCTCTTCTTTCATTTTCTTATTGTTATTTTAAATCTCTGAATTAAATGCTTTATTATCTTTCCAACTACTTTTGCTTTTCTTTTATAACCACTGGCTTATAGAAACTACAGTAAATTCATCTGCAATAAAAAAAAGTCACATTGTTATAGTTCTACACAGAGATTAGACAGCACCAGTTGGATGCATTTAGTGATGTGGTCCAACTCCATCACTAGAACAAACTCCTGCCCCCATTCCTTGTTGTCCTGTCAGGAGCCACAGGACTGGGCCCCAGCTTGATTTTCTTTTAGATGTGTTCTTTTGGGCTGGTTTCATGGGCCTCAGACCAGTACAGTGACACAAAAAAGGGTCCCACTCTTGGAGTTTAGTGCTCTGCCCTCCAATCTTGAAATTCTTCAGGATTTTGTCTTTGAATTTATACTTTGTGACATTTGATGTCAATGTCATTGACAATGGAGCATGGGTTAAGGGCTTCGAACCTGGCTCACATGCATCTTTGGGATGGCTTCCCTGGCCAGCCCCCAGTTCCCTGCTTTCTGCTCCCTGGTACCCCAAGCCCCAGCCAGCATCCCCACTTTTGCCCCTGCCCCAAGACTGATGATGCCCTCTGTGTGGGGTGGCCATGGGGTTGAGATTCTTATTTCTCCATTCCCCATTTGACTTCCTCCAGGGGCCAGGCTAGGACACCCACTGGGTTGGTTGGGTCAGTAGTGTTTGCTCAGCTGTGTCCCAGGGCAAGGATCAGCCTGGGCATTGCTGCTGCCATTTCCCTGGGTCCGAGAACACCCCCACGGGCCAGGAACTTACTGTGTCCAGGCATGGAGGTTTCCATCTTTGAGAGGGACACCTGCCCACTCTGTGTTGGGTGGTGAGCATGGCAAAGGGAGATTCCCTTCCCAGCTTCAGTCAGGTCCAGTGCATCTGTCAGGTGGCAGCCAGGAAGGGTTCCTAGCAGTGGTTGGCCACTTGTGTGCCGAGTTGCAGGTGGAGTCCTCAGGTGCCTGTGAACATCTGCACTATTTTGGCAAGTATTGCCATGTCAAGAGAGTGCCACGTTAAACAGCGAGTAAAATGCACCACGATAGATCAAGTGAAAGACTGCACAAAAAGGAATGTTTTATATTTTAGTACCTTTAATGGCACTTTAATCCTGCTTTTTGAACAAGGAGTCCTCTGTTTTTATTTGTTACTCAGCCCCCCAAATGATATATTAGGTCCTTCCTGCTCCCTTGTTCTCTGAATCTCCTGCATTGACTACCTAAGACTGTTCTCACTTTCTCTTGTTTTCCTCTCTTTCAACTCAGCTGATTACTTTGAACCCCATCCAGATGGAGTTGGCCTGATAAACATAATGGCCAGCCACATTATCCTGGGATTTCTGGAGTGAGTCCCAGACTTGTGTCTTCACATGCCTTTATGATGCTTGCGTGTTTGTTTCCTAAGAAGCAGTGTTTTGAGTCAAATGGTAAATGCCAAATTTTACAGTAATAGTGCTAAGAGGTTTCTAAAATGATATTCAAAATATTCCTACATATTTCTAATATTGGCCCTACTATGCTGTTGCTAAAAGTTTGAAATTTATTATTTTACTCATTTAACCAATATTTATTGATTTTGCACTAAACACCATGCACTTTTGCTAAGTACTTGGAATACATTCATTCATTAAACAGGTATTTATTTAATATTTACTAGATGCTGGATTCTATTTTAGAAGCTAAGGTTATAGTGGTAAAGGAGAGAATCAATTTCTCTACTCTTGTGAATACTTCTATTTTATTTGGAAGAGGAGTGATAGACAATAAACAAATAATCTCCAATTTTTATAAAGTTTAGCAATATTTAGAAGTGTTTGAAATTAAAGTTTTAAATTGACTTTATAAAATTAAAATAATTTTTAATTAATATTAATATAAAATTAATTCTAGTAATTAACTAATAATATAGAATTAAAATAAATATGCTTTATAGAATGATGTACACACACATACACACAAAGCACTTTGTCCTTTTAGTTACTAGAAAATATGGACTGATTCTTCCAGCACAAGGAATTATTTTCCCTATGGATTGATTTTTCCACCATATGGAAATATGGATTGATTTTTCCAGCATATGGAAATATGGATTGATTTTTCCAGCATATGGAAATATGGATTGATTTTTCCAGCATTGAGAATTTATTCTTCCAGAATAGGGAATTATTTTCTTCTGTATATCCCATTTTCTTCTGTGTATCCTATTATCAATAGCCAATGGGAATTAAATGACAAATATAATCAGGAATTCCCAAGTGCCTAATGTACATAGCTTAGGAAAAAGTAAAGACCTTGCCATGAAATAGTTCAAATGTAATTAATAACCCAAGGAAATATATACAAGGACCAAATTGGGGGTACAGAAACAGGACTGCCATTGGGTTTCAAATGAACTGACATGGCCAGTGGAAGACAGAGTGAGGAGCGGTCTTGGAAATTTGCCCTGTGATGGCTGAGAGTTGACAGTTACAATGAAGGCAGGGAACATTCTGGTTAAAGGAATGACATGAAGAGAATGGGAGAGACTAGCCTGGGTAAAAGGAATGTCAATAACTGTAAGGGAAACCAACACACTTAGGAAGTTAATGAAAAAAGCATAACTACTAGGCAAAGAATTCTAGACATTAGGTTTAGGTCATGTAAGACACTAAAAGTTTTCAGGATACATGATTAGAAATTAGGCTTTCTAAAGTTTAACACAGTAGTAGTCTATTTGGCGGCTTTGCTTACATAGTAATAAAGGTGAGGAAATCAATTACAGTACTACTGAAACTACGCAGTTGTAAAATGGCAAAAGTTTGAATTAGGATAAGGGCATTGGGTTAGATATGAAACGTGGATGGACACAATTTGGGATAGGTGATGTGGGAGAGAGAAGGATGAAAATTGACTTAGATTTCTCCCGTAAGTGATGAGGAGAACAATGAAAACTTTCACAGGATTGAAAATAGGTGATGAATTGAAAATAAAAAATAAACTAAAAAGCAGTAAGTCCCTCTTACCCAATACTGTTAAAAGTTGGGGACCAACATTCCCCTCTTCACTAGCTTCATGACTATGTCAATTTGATACTTGACAATAAGGCTGACAGTCCATTTGCCCTAAGAAGCTGAATAGCATCCACTGTCATTGCAAATAACACCGTTTCCTCAGTGAAGGTTGAACTAAATTACTTTAACAAGGCTAAATTAAAAATCAAACATGTTGATGCATTTAATGTGAGGCACAGAGGACATAAAAGATCATTAAAAATGAGTGGCAATATTGATTGTCATAAACAGCCCTTCATGTAGTAAAACAGGTTCAGTGCTGACCCTTGAAATGCAGTTAGCCTATTCCCAGTATATTTACACATAGTTTATGTAATTTAGAAGAATTATTTCTTTCTTGCTATATTTTATTTTTTATATGTTATCTCAACCTTTCCTTTCTCATCACAATCTACTTTTCTCTAAAATAATGATAATGGCAATAATAATTCCATCCTAAAGTTTGGAATTTTATGAAAGCCTTTCATTCTAATATATTAAATGTATGAAGCAGACAAAACATATCTAACGATACTTAACAGACAAAAATCTTGTGGATTTTAAACATGTGCAGACAGATAACTTGGACATTGTGAGGCAGCAAAATTTTTATTGACTCTGCTCAACTTTTACTGTATTTCTATCCATTTTCTAAGGAAGCGTGTACCATTCCTGTGTCCTTACTATTTCAGAAGTTTGAATACTGTAAAATAGCCTAGGGTGGCCTTTTAATTTGGTTATAAGATGTTGGAAAAATTCCTGGTAGTATCTGAGATTTGTTAAAGTAGACTTTTGTAGACTAACTTTTTTCAATTTATATCTAAGGCAGCTTGAGATGAGGTTGAAAAAATTCTGGCAGACATTGGGCATAAATAACACATTATTGAAAATTTGTTGATTCTTTATTAAATTAAAGAAAAGGTATTTTTAATATTTATGATCTATCTTCATAGATAATTTCAGCAATTCCCAGAATATTACATGAGCCTATTACAAGTAGCTTTCTGCCTAAAGGCATGTGGTCTTTATCAACCCTAAGAAGAAATATTAAAGGGTTTTAAGATGTGTAAGAGATTACCTGCAGGAAAATAACCCAGGGAGAATATACAGAAAAAAATGAGACCAGCGCAGAGGAGGGTCAAGAAGTTGAGTAGTGGCCAAGAGGGTATGAAAGCAGGACAGAGTGGGGAGATATAATAAAAGTAGAGTTGTTGTAATTTCATGACAGGTTGCATAGAGGAATAAGGGAAAGGAGGAATGTAAGATGACTTCTATGTTTCTGGGTTGGGCAAATGGGTCAATGCTGGTGTAACACTCCAAGAAGAAAAAGATGAAGAAAGGGGAGAAAATCTGGATGAAAGTATGGTTATAAAGCAATAGAATACTAATGCAGTGGGGGTAGGAAGTGGGAGTGGAACAGGAGTGTAGAATGCCCAGGTGTATTTATAACCAGATGATCATCCTTAGGTCAGGCATATGCTGGCAATTTGTAGATGACATAAGTACATTCTGAAGAAATATTTGGTCAGAAATAAAACCTCACAAACGTGTGATTACTGGGAGAACACTTCTTGAGGATGTAACTATTTAGGTAGATCTTGTGTTGGCAGTGAGGGGAGGCATGCCATTTTCAAGTGAGTGGAGAAGGATTTTTCAAGACAGGGATGTGGAAGGAGACAAAATTGACTGGAGCAGAGGAATCTTAGTAAGAAGGATGCATGGATGCATGTTTCCCATCATAGCTATAACAAACTGCCACAAACTTAGTAGCTTAAAACCATACATTTATTATTTTATAGTTCTGGGTGTCAGAAGTCAAAATTGGATCACCAGGGCTACATTTCTTCTGAAACTTATGGGGGAGAACCTGTTTCTTTGCCTCTTCCAGCTTGTACAGGCTGCCCACATTCCTTAGATCATGGCTCCATATCACTTTGATCTTGGCTTCTTCCCTCACCTCCCTTCTCTGACTCCAACCCTCCTGCATCCCTCTTTCTCTTAGCAGAACCCCTGTGATTATATTAGGCCCAGCTGGATAATCCAGGATAATCTCTCCATCTGAGGAATTTAATTTATTCACATCTGCAGTCTCTTCTGCCATGTAAAGTAATATATTTGAAGGGCTGGAGAATTACCATGTGAGCATCCTTGAAAAGCTGTTATTCTGCCTAACACAATGGGTGAAATGGGCCGGTTGATTACAGGTTTTAAATGGTCAACTGAAGAGATTAGAGACATTGATTCTAGGCAATGGAGTGATTTAATAAAAATGGCATTTTAATAAAATTAATATTGCACCAGATGGATCTTTGAAACTGGAAACAGTTTCTGTGGTAGATTACTTGTAGTAATCTATATAGGAGGTATCAAGGGCATGAACTAGAAGACAGCATTAAAATACATGCTAGTACTAGATATCGTCACACTTTGACATAAATAAATAAGAAAATGTGATTTTTATAATATATAAAAATAGTGTTTTGGCTGGGCATGGTGGCTCACGCCTGTAATCCTAGCACTTTGGGTGGCCGAGGCGGGCGGATCTCCTGAGGTCAGGAGTTTGAGACCAGCCTGGCCAACATGGTGAAACCCCATCTCTACTAAAAATACAAAAATTAGCCGGGCGTGGTGATGGGCACCTGTAATCCCAGCTACTCGGGAGATTGAGACAGGAGAATCACTTGAACCTGGAGGTGGAGGTTGCAGTGAGCTGAGATCATGCCACTGTACTCCAGCTTGGGTGACAGAGTGAGACTCTGTCTCAAAAAACAAACAACAACAACAAAAAGCAGTTTTCTTGAGACATACTTTACACTTCATGTACTTAACTCATTTAATGTGTACAATTCATTGGTTTTTAGTGTATTTGCAGAGTTTTGCAGTTATCACCAAAATTAGTTTTAGAAAATTTTCATAACCCCTAAAATAAACCCTTGTACCTGTTAGCAGTAACTCCTCACTTCTCTCTTAACACTCTAGCCCTAGGCAATCACAGATCTCTCTGTCTGTATAGATTTGTATACCCTGGACATTTAACAGAAATGAAATTATATAACATGGAGGTCTTCTGTGACTCACTTCCTTTACTTGCATAATGTTTTCAATGTTCATATATCTTGTGGCCCAGTCAATACATTCTTTTTTTTATTTTTAAGTAATATTCCATTGTATGGATATACCATATGTTATTTACCCACTCATCAGTTGATAGACGTTTGGATCATTTTCATTTTTTGGGTATCATCAATAATGCTGCTATAAATATTTGTGTATAGTTTTTGTATGAATATAGGTTTTCATTTCCCTTGGTATACACCTTGGAGTTTAATTGTTCCTTGATACCATAACTGTATATTTAAAATTTTAAATGACTGCCAGCCTGTTTTCCAAAGTTGGATGTATCTTTATACATTCCAGTCAGCAGTGTGTGAGGGTTCTAATTTTTCCAAACCCTTGCTGACCTTTGTTATAATCTATTTGGTTTTAGCCACTTTCGTGTGTCTGAATTGGTATCTCATTGTGGTTTTGATCTGTATTTCCTTAATGACTGTTATTGGACATCTTTTAATATGCTTATTGGCCATTTGTATGTCTTCTTTTGAAAAATATCAATTCAAATATTTGGCCTATTTTAAAATTGTGTTATTTATTGCTTTAATATTGAGTTTTAAAAGATATATATATGTATACATATATATGGATACAAATTCCTTATCATATATATGTGTGCAAATATTTTTCCCATTCAATGGGCTATCTTTTTATTTTTCTGATAATATCCTTTGAAACACAAGTGTGTTTAATTTTGATGAAACCAAGTTATCTACTTTTTCTTTTCTTGCTTTTGCTTTTGGTGTCATATCTAAGAGAGTTTTGTCTAACCCTGATTAACAAAGATTACTCATATTTTCTTCCTATAATTGTATAGTTTCATCTCTTACATTGAGGCTTATGACCCATTTTGAGTTAAAAGTTGTATATAATGTGAAAAAGTGGTCTAACTTCATTATTATGCATATTGATATCCAATTGTCCCAATAGCATTTTCCAAAAAGACTACTCTTTCACAATTGAATTGCTTTCATACTTTTGTCCAAAATTGTTAATGTGAGAGATTATTTTTAGACTCACAATTTTATTTCATCGATCCTTATGTCTATCCTCATTCCAGTACTACACTGTTATGATAACTACAACTTTCTAGTAAGTGTTGAAATTGGGTCGTATGAGTATTTCAATAATTTTTAATCCATTTCAACATTTTTTTTTACCTATTTTGGGTACCTTGAATGTTTATATAAGTTATAAAATCAGCTTGCCAATTTATGGAAAAAATATTGCTTAGATTTTTAGGTGCTTGTATTGAATCAATCTTTAGATCAATTTAAAGTGTATTGCCATTTTACCAATATTAAGTCTTTCAATCCATCAACTAAGGATGTCACTGAATTTATTTCAGTCTTTTTTAATTTTTTCAACATGTTTGTAGTTTTCAGAGTACAAGTTTTGTCCTTATTTATTTGTTTTTATTTTTCATTGGTACAAATACCTGTGCATTCTTATGGGTCCATGTGATATTTTATTACATACGTAGACTTTGTAATGGTCAAGTCAGAGTACTTGGGGTAACCATCACCTTAAGTTTTTATCATTTGTATGTGTTGGGAACATTTCAACTCTTCTAGCTATTCTGAAATACACAATAAATTGTTATTAACTATAGTCACCCTACTCTGCTACTGAACATTACAACTTATTTTTCTATCCAACTTTGTTAATTCTATTTCTAAATGTTTTATTCCTTGTGATGCTATTAGAAGTAGAACTGTTTATCTTAATTTTCATTTTTAGATTGTTCATTGCCAGTGTATAGAAATACAATTGACTTTTATATATTGATTTGAACTCTTAAAATATGCTGAACTCATTTATTCATTAAAGTATTTTTAGTTGATTTCATAGAACTTTCTATATATAAGATTGTGTCATCTGTAAAAATAGTTAATCTTACTTCTTCCTGTTCAATTTGGATGCCATTTATTTTATTTTCTTGCTTAATTGTCCTGAATTGGAAATTCCAGTACAATGTTGAATGAATGTGGTGAGAGAAGACACACTTCACCTATTGCTGACCTTAGGTGAAATGATTCAAACATTCACCATTAGCTATCATGTTAGTTTTTCCTAAATGCCTTTGATTAGTTGAGAAAGTTTCCTTCTATTTCTACAGTGTTGAATGTCTTTATTATGAATGGATATTGGATTTTGTCAGATTTTTTTCTGAACTATTAAGATTATCTGTTTTTTTCATTTTTATGTTGATATGGTGTATTATTTAATTGATTTTTGGATGTGAAACCAAATCGAGTTTTTGAGATAAATCCCACTTGGTAATATTGTATAATCTTTTCTATATGTTGTGAAAATCTGCTTGCTAGCACAGCCAATTTTCATTATTCAGTTTTTGTATTTGTAAATTCACCTACTTGCCAAAATATGCTTATAATCCCCAAATCAATACTTGGACCACTCTTGTGGTCATTCGTGGCCACACACGGTAAGAAATTTGAGTTGCCCAATGTGCACATTCCCAGCTGAAATCTGAAAATGCACTGCTCTGCCTTCTTGTTTCAGCACTCATACTGCAAACAAATTTCTTTTTGAGTTCTATTTACTGCCTCATTTTTTTGTGTGTTTTGTGCCTTGTTTGGTGATTTTGCTATTAAAAATGACCCCCCAAGATTACTTCTGAAGGGCTCTCTAGGCTGTGATGTGCCTTATGTAGAAAATACCAAGTTAATAAACTTTGTTCAAGAATGTGTTTTGGTGCTGTGAGCCATGAGTTCAATGTTAATGCATCAATAATATATTTGAATTAGGTGCCCTTAAACAGAAACACATATAAAACAAAGGCTATGTATTGATCAGTTGATATAAATGTTGTAATCCAGAGCTCATGGGAATTGACTCCTGTATTTCCTCTAGGGGCAATGGTTCGGTACTCACTAATTCAATGTACTCAGAGACTTTATAAAGCATAACTTCTGTGAATAACAAGAATAAGTTGATTTTTTCATGTATATTTATTTGATAATTAGTTGGTAGTTTTCAGTTCTTGTGATGTTTGGAATCAGGGTAATACTAGCCTCATATAATGAGTTGTGACTTGTTTCCTCTTCTTTATTTTTTTGGAAGAGTTTGGAAAAATTCGACAGCAACGCTTTTGTAAATGTTTGCTAGACTTCAGAAAAAAAAAAAAAATCCTGGGCCTTGGCATTGCTCTGTTGAAAGTTTTAAAATTTATAATTGTGCAGAAAAAAGTTAATATAGCTGGCCTGACTAAGATTCTTAGGAAACCTGGCTCACAGTTGGCTGGTGTCTGAGAACTAGGATTTTGGAAGGATTCCCACCATTTCAGAATTGATAGGAGTGGCTCACTGTGCTTTAACGTTTGTACAAACAATGTGATTTATGCCGAACACCTGTTTTTCTTCTAGTAGTCTGGAATTTTGGTACATGCTCGGCAGAGGCTGCCTACATGACTAACGCCTAGATGCTGAGTCTTTCATGAGCCTTCATAGCTGGCAACATTTCACACATACTGTCACAACTTATTGCTGGGGAAATAAGCATGTCCTGTGTGACTTCAGTGAGAAATGATCCTTAGAAGTTTGTACTTTTTTTCCTTGGACTTAGCCCCATGCACCTTTTTCTTTGTTGACTGTGCTTACTATTCTTTCACTGTAAAAGTCATAGCCATGAATATAATTACATGCTGAGTATTGTGAATCCTCCTAGCAAATTACCCATCCTCAGCGTGGTCTCGGGGATTCCCAACACATTAATCTTTTTACTTATTAAAGATTTATTTAGATTTCTTATTTCTTCTTGAGTCAGTTTCAGTACTTGTGTCTTTCCAGGAACTTGTTCATTTAATCAAAATTAACCAATTTGTTGGCATGTAACTATTAATAGTATTCCCTTCTAATTCTTGTATTTCTGTAATGTCAGTAATGATGTCCCCTCTCTCATACCTGTTTTTAGTAATCTGAGTCTTTTATATTTTTTTCTTGGTAATTCCAAATAAGATTTGTCAATTTTGTTGATTTTTTTTTCAAAGAATCAACTTATGGTTTCACTTATTTTCTTTATTGTTTTTCTATTCTGTAGTTTATTAATTTACACTCTAATCTTCATAATGTCTTCTCTTCTGCTTGTTTTCAGCTTGCTTTTTCAGTGTTTTAAGGTGAAAAGTTATGTTATCAATTCGAGATCTTTCTTCTTTTTAATATGGGAACTTAGCTATAAATATTTTCCCTCAGCACTGCTTTCACTGAATCCCATAAGTTTTGGTATATTGTGTCTTTACTTTAATTAATATCAAATTATTTTAAAAATTTCGTTTGTGATTTATTCTTTGACTAATTGGTTGCTGAATAGATTATTACTTAATTTCTACAACTTTATTTTTTAAATTTATTTTTGATATTGATTTATGATTGTATTTCCTTGTGGTCAGAACACATATTTTGCTTGATTTCAATTATTTTGAATTTACTTAGGCTTGTTTCATGACTAGTGTATGTTTTGTTTTGGAAATTCTTCTTGTGCTATTGAGAGGAATGTGTATTCTGCCTAGTTTTTCTATTCATAATTAAAAGTAGGGTATTGATGCCCTCAGCTATTATTGGTAAAGTGTCTATTTCTCCTTTCAGTTATGTTAGCTTTTGTTTCATGTGTTTGGGGCGCAGTTATTAGGTACACATATATTTATAATTGTTATATCTTCTTGGATTGATACTTTATAAAATACCATGCTTCTCAGTAATATTTTTGTTTTAAAGTCTATTTTGTCGCATATTAGCATAGCCACTTCAGCTTTCTTATAGTTGCTGTTTGCATAATACATGTTTTGCCTTTTTTTATTCAACCTATTTTTACCTTAGAATCTAAAATATGTCTCCTGTAGATAGCATATAGTTGGATGTTCTTTTTTGGTTTATGCAGTCTAACAACTTCTGCTTTTGATTGTATTGTTTAATCCATTCACTTTTAATGTTACTATTAATATATTCAGTTTTATGTCTTCTTTTCTGGTTTCCTTTTGTACCCTATATGTTGTTTCATTTTTATTTTTCTATTTCTTCCTTACTGCTTTCTTTTGGTTTAATATTTTTAGTGCAATATTTCAATTATGATAATGACTTTTTAAACATTTTTTGGGAGGGGTTATTGTCTTAATGGTTGCTCTAGGACTTACCATGTACATCGTAACATATAAAATTTACTTCAGATTTGTACTAACTTAATTTCAGTGAGCTATGAAGATGTTACTTCTACATGGCTCTGTTCACTCTTCTCACTTTTTGCTTTTATTGTTATATATATAAAACATGCATATTTGTTATAAATCCAGCAAAACATTTTTATAATAATTATTTTAAATAATTTTATGAAGGTGCTGAATAATGAAGAAAGAGTATATGTAAACACATATCTATTTATCTCTCCATCTATCTATAGAGAGAAGTTTGTCATATTGGCCTTCTTATTTAATGTTTCTGTTACCTCCATTTGTTCCTATGGATTAAAATTATTTTCTGGTATCATTTTCTTATTTCAGTGCAGCTTTTCTTCCATTTACCTCCTCTGTGTTATATGGCCAAATATACTACATTACTATATGTTATAGGACCAGTGATGCAATTACTTACATATTATTTCATGAAATTGCTTTTAGAATCAACTAGGGGAAGAAGGAAGAAGAAATATTCATTTATATATCTTTAATCATTAAATAATTAGCTTTCTCATTGCTCTTGGTTTGTTTTGGTATGGATTTGAGTTACTACCTGGTATTACTTGCTTTTAGTCTGAAGCATTTCCTTTAACATTTCTTGTAATGAGTAGACTAGCAATGAATGATCTCAGTTTTTGTTTATGTGGGCAAGTCTTTATTTCAACTTCATTTTAGAAAATAGATTATTGGTTGATCCTTCCAGCACTTTGAATATGTCATCCCACTGCTGCCTTCTGGATTTCATTGTTTCTGTTCATTGTACAGGGTTCCTTTGTATGTGATACTTTTTCTTTTGTTGCTTTCAAATGTTTCTTTTTGTCTTTTAATGCTTTTACTATGATATTTCTGGGTGTAGATATCTTTATGTTTATTCTAATTCTAAGTTCATTGAGATTATTGAATGTAGATAAAATTTTTCTTCCTATTTGGGGCTTTCAAAAATTACTTTTGAAAATATCTTTGTGCTCCTTTCTGTCTCTCTCCTCCCCATATTACATTCCCATGACTCATACGTTGGTGTTCATTTTTTAAATCCTTTTTTCTCTTTTTTTCAAATTGCAGAATTTGTACAACTTTATCTTCAAGTTAGTTGATTTTTTTTTTTTTGCCAGTTTAAATCTACTGGTGAATCCCTCTAAGGAATTTTTAAATTTTAGTCATGTTACTTATCAACTCCATAATGTCTTTTTGGTTCTTTCTATATTTCTTCCTCTTTATTGGTATTCCTTATTTCCTGAGACACTGTCATCATACTTTACTTCTTTAAGCATGTTTTCTTTTAGTTCTTTGAACATATTGATAATAACTTATTTGAAGACTTTGTGAAGTCTCATCTGGACCCTCTCCCAGGCAATTTTTGTGGTCTTTTGTGTCTGTGTACGAGTCACACTTTTCTATTTCTTTGGCTGTCTTATAATTTTTGGTACTATACCATAACAACTCTATGTACTGTTACTCCCACATTTCCAGGGCTTTTTATTGTTTTTTCTTGTTTATTTGTTTGTTTACTATCCTGGACTATTTTAGTAAGTCTATTTTCCCCACAGTGGGAAGCCACTGATGTCACACTTCAGGGAGTGCAGTGGTGGGCATGTGCAAAGTAACCCTAAAATGACAGTTGTTTTACCAGGGCTCTCCTAAACTTCCCATTCCTTGTTCACCTCCAGATACTAGGTTGCACTAATTGCCAGCTAATTGCGCTATTATTTTTGACAATGACCTGGAGAATAAGCACCCCCACAATTCAATTTAATTTGAGTGCCTTTGCAGGAATACTTTTGAAGCCAATCTTTGAGGTTTATTCTGACCTTAGAAGAGCTCCTCATAGCTTTCTTTTTTTTGTAGTTCTCTCTGGTAAACTAGATGACTTTTAGCTTGTTGCTTTCATCGGGCTACTAGCCCCCTTTAATCGCTTACCACCAAAATCTCCATTATTTTTAAGGTGACTTTGACTTGAACTTTAATTCCCTTATGGGAAATCTTTGGAGCTCTCTGTATTATGGCCTACCTCTCTTCCTGGGAAAAATCTCTGAGTGACTACTCCAGAACTGAGGGTGGAGGCAGCGGTCTGTTCTCTCAGAATGACATCTTTGCTTTATTAGTGGGGCACTGATCAAGGAAAGTAGCCTCTTGTCTTTCCCATTTGCTTCTCCCCATGTGGACTCTTCTCCCTACAAGCAAACTGGAGTGAATGTAATAAGGACTCCCCTATGGTCAGCCTGCTATATTTGGGATAGATCTTCTGCCCCACCAGTGGGGGCTACATAAAGATTCATTGACCTCTCAGATGCAGTCATCTAAAATTTAACCTCTGCAACATGGAGATGGGGAGAATGAGAAATGCCAGTGTCTTGTTCCTCCTAGGGAGATACCATAGCCCTTGACTAGGAGCATGGAAGTGCTCCCTCCTTGGCCATATCTTCTCAGAGTAAAGCTTCTGTCATCGGGAGCCTGATATGCAGAAGGAGACAAAAAGGGTCAGATCAGGGCTTAAGTGCCACAGACTCACTGTGTTTTACCAATCTACAAATCTACTCTTCTTAGAAGATTTTTATGATTAAACATTTCTTAATTTGTAGCATGTCCCAGGAAAACTTCTAGATATTAAAATGTTTTGTGTATAATTTTTACCAATTATTATTGTTTCACTAGAGAATGGGGCTGCAGAGCTTTTTTCAACAAAATTCCAGAAACAGTCATTGCTCAGTGTTACAAAACTTGAATTGGCATATTTTTAATTGAAGAAGTATAATATAAGAGAGATTAAAAATACCTGAATAACCTTGGACAGATTATTTAACCTCAGTTTGACCAAGTGTAAAATGCAGATAATAATTTCTATATTATAATGTATTTTATGAATCAAAAATAAGATTATGCATTTAAACCTTTAGTCTAGTACCTTTCATACTGCAAATACTTTAAAATGTTATTGAGCAACTGAACAAATTTGGAATACAGTAGGTGCCTTTCCCGTTAATCATTGCTGCTCCTAAATCATTTTCTCGTCTTCTCTCACCATCAGTATTTTGTATTTTATATCATTAGATTATACAATATCACTTTTTATAGTGGTCGTCTTTTTACCACAACATCTTTATTATTTAATCCTTTAAGATTTTAGATCCTGGATCACTGTCACTCTCTCTAACATTACTTTTTAAATAATTCTTAGTGACTCCAATATCCATACAGATACACTTTCCAACACTTTGACTCCTCAATTTCTTGACCTCTTCTCTTCAATGATATTGTTCCCTTCCCTACCTCACCCCTCTTCTATACTTAGTCCCTTGACCTTTTAGTTTTCAATAACAACACTATCATAATCTCATCTTCAAAGAAGCATCTTTCTCACTCTGGCCTCCTACCTTCTGGGTCACAACCTTTATTATTCTAACTTGAACATTCCTCAACCCCACCTAGACATAATTAGCATCAACCTTGCCAGCTTCATACAGTCCCTCATCTCCTTATACCTTTTATTTCCTTTTTATTTACCATGAATTCCATATTTAATTATTATAAATATAAGCTTTCCCTTGCATATATCATCAGCTCCCATGCTTCTCTCTTGCTTTACCATCTTTTTCTAATGAAACTATAACTTTAGATAAGTAAATATTTCTGCTATATGACTGCACCTGTACAGTTCAGGATATTTGGGGAAACTAAGAAAAACACACAGCCATGGAAATTGGTCTCACTTTAAATTTATTATCAATAGCTTCAAGTAGGTCTATTAATACAGTTATACTATATCTTCTTAATCTGTTTTCTCTTTCACTCTCTTGGTTCTTTTCATAATTTCTTTTTGAAGAAGTTTTGTGACCATTGTCACTAATTTATCTTACCATTCTCTCTTACTGCAATCAGGTTTTTCCCCCACATTCCACTGGAATTACTTTTCTCTAGATCCCAAAGACATCCATATCACTAATTTCAATGGCCATTTCTCATATTATTGGCTGTATCTGTAACATTGAAAATAGTCAATCCCTTACCCCTTCTAGAATCAAATTTTCCTCTTGATGTCTATTATTTCTCTGATGTTTCTGGCTACTTCTTCTCAGTCACTTTATCAGTTCCTCCTCATTCATCTGAACTCTAATTTTTACATCTTTTTCCTTTTTACTTGCAATGGGAAGAAAGGTCCCATCCCAAATAAAGAAGGACAAGTTTTACTCCCAAGGTGATACCATTCCCCTGTCATGGTTTTAAATATCATTTCTATGTTTATGACATCAAACTTTATATTCTGTAACTAGGATCTTCCTCTTATCTTCAAAGTGTAATATATCTAACTGTCATGTATCCAACTGTCTATTCAATGTGCATTTGCCTATCTCCTGTGTAAAGGGTTAGTGTGTCTTAACTCTAACTTTAAAACGTTTCAAACTCAGCTATTGATGTGCGCTTCTCCTGCTCACTTACATATATTTCTTAAGTTTGACCACATTCTTCCAGTTACTTAGGTAAAAAACTTTGGTGTCAATCTTGATTTCTTTTTCTCATTCTGGTCCATCAACAAATTTTGTCTAGTCTACCTTAATAGATCCAAAATTCAATCCTATGTGTCTTCACTGAAGCTGCTATGATTCTCCTGGCTACCATCATCTTTCTCCTGGATTATTACAATACTACTTTAATTGGTCTCATAACTTCTACACTTGCCCCCTGTAGTCTGTACTCAATAATCTATTTAAAATTTTAAGACCACCTCCAAATTTTGACATACATCTTCTTTGCTTTGTTTTTTCTTTAGCGCTCATTTTCCATCATATTAAATATTTTACTTTTTAAATCATGTTTATTGTCTTTCTCCTTTGATAGCATTCATACTCTACAGGGAGAGGAATTTTTGGCTTTTTGATCACTACTCTGTCTTCAGTGCTTATAAGATTGCCTGGTATATGGCTAGGAGCTTGGCCAGTTCTTTTTTTTTTTTTTTTTTTTTTTGAATGAATGATTCATGGACTCTGGAATAAATTTGGGGGAGTGAAACAAGAGACAAAGTAAGAGGTAAAATTTCAGGAAATGAGAGTTTTTGAGTCATCAGTATAGAGAAGATAATTAAAACATGTAAAGGTATACATTTCACAAGAGGATAAGTGTAGAGGAATAAGTGTAAACAATAAAGAGAACCACTAAGTTGGTGGGTAGAGAGAAAAAGCAACCCAGTTAGTGAGAGATACAGATAAAAATTGACAGACAATATTTTAGAGACTAAAAATGAGTAGACAAGCTATGTTAAGTGGAGCAGAGAATTTGATGGGGGTCAGAATAAAGAAACTCAATTCCATTAGGGAAATGATTCAATTGAAAAGTTTCAGAGCATTGATGGGTCCATAAATTAGATTATAGGGGTTTACGAAAGTAAGGGATGGGTGATGGGAGCAATGGAGTCTAGAAGTTGGTAGCTTGTTTGAGGAGCATAGCTGTAAAATAATGTCAAATGATAGGAGCAGGATTATAATGGAGTAGTAATTTCAAAGTGGAAGACTTCTCAAGATTTGGAAATTCAAACATATTTAAAAGATAAATAAAAAGCTTTTTAAAAAGTGAAGTATAAAGAATGAGCACGGCTAGGCGCGGTGGCTCACGCCTGTAATCCCGGCCTTTTGGGAGGCCGAGGCGGGTGGATCGCGAGGTCAGAAGATCGAGACCATCCTGGCTAACACGGTGAAACCCCGTCTCTACTAAAAATACAAAAAATTAGCCGGGCGTGGTGGCGGGCGCCTCGGGAGACTGAGGCAGGAGAATGGCGTGAAGCCGGGAGGCGGAGCTTGCAGTGCGCCGAGATGGCTCCAGTGCACTCCAGCCTGGGCGACAGAGCGAGACTCCGTCTCAAAAAAGAGAGAGAGAGAGAGAGAGAGAGAGAGAGAGAGAGAGAGGGAGGGAGGGAGGGAGGGAGGGAGGGGGGGAGGGAGGGAGGGAGGGACGGAGGGAAAAGAGGAAAGAAAGAAAGAAAGAAGATAGAAAGAGGACAAGTTTGACTCTGCAAGCAGATGTCTTGTGTGCATGTGATTTAAAGGGAATGATGAGAAGAGAGTGGACACAGTGAACAAATGACCAGCGCTCTTAAGAAATTGTTTCAAAATTCACTATGGGAAGAACATAGGTTAGGTTTTATATAACTAATATGAAACTAATATTTGTGAATTGCCTTTCAACTTTTCTGAAGGCCTCTCTTAGAAATTCCTTAACTCTGCCTCCAAATATCCAACACATATGCTTGACTCTGCAAGTGTAGCATGATTTTACAGCCAGTGCACACCTAATCTAAACACTCCAAAATTTCTCAGACTATGAGTAGATGTTAGTCTCAGGCAACTACAGTGGAAGCTTCATTAATAAAGTGGTGATGCTCTCCTTTTAGGCGAGCCGCTTCAGGCAAACCCGGCCTCCGACTGTGCCCGAGGCAGGCCTCCAGTCTGAACATAACAGGGGGAAGAGGAACTGCTTGAAAAACCTCCGTTTTGCCACTTGTCTTTCTCTGATCTTGTCCCCTTAACCTCTTGATGCCCCAGGTTTTATAACTTGTACCTTAATTTCCTCCTGGCCTATACTAAGAGCTTAATATGTGGGCAATTTTTATGACATTTAAAATACATAAAATTTGAGTACTGCTCATATTGTGGGTTAACAGGGAGGATTCCTTAGTTTATGAAAAATAAAATTTAATATTGATGATGGTGATATTAAATGCCCTGATTTACCTCCAAAAATATATTAATTCATTTGTGAGATCCATTTCATTAGTAATTTTTATATAAAATTGAATACTATTTCTGGCTACTAGAAAAAAGGCTGCTCATTGAAGAGGTCAAGAGTAATATTTTGTGTTAAGACTGATGTTGGTTTGGTGCTATTCATTCATTGTTATTGCTATTGCTCTGTTATGTAAATAAAACTGGCCTTTTCCCTTCAGTGTGGTTGTATTATAGATTTAATTAACTTTTAACTTAGGGAAGGGCAGGGAAGCTTATCAGTTTTGAAGAAATTAAAAATGAAATCTAAAAATTTAGAGTTATAAAGCATTGTAGCCTGTTTAAAATTAAGATATTAAAATAGGCTTTTTAATCAACCATTGGTGTACTAACAGATTCAAACTATTAAAAGCATTAAATAGAACTGTACTTCCTGTATAAAATTGTCATATGTCAGCATTGCTGCATAGTATGAAACAGACCAGTGAAATGATTTTTACTTAATTGAAGAGAAAAAATTCAGATTTCTGAGTAGGATATAGAAATAGTTTTTGGTCAGCTATATTATCTGGAATGATCTCAAATAACATAATATGTTAATGCCCATTTTTCCATTTAAAGATCATTCTATTAAAGGCATTTTGGGCCAGGCGCAGTGGCTCACACCTGTAATCCCAGCACTTTGGGAGGCCGAGACAGGTGGATCACCTGAGGTCAAGAGTTTGAGACTAGCCTGAACAACATGGTGAAACCCTGTCTCTACTAAAAATACAAAAATTAGCCAGGCGTGGTGGCAGGTGCCTGTAATCCCAGCTACCTGGGAGCTGAGGAAGGAGAATCACTGGAACCTGCGAGGTGGAGGTTGAAGTGAGCCACTGCACTCCAGCCTGGGCAGCACAGTGAGACTCCGTCTCAAAAAATTAAAAATGAAAATAAATAAGTAAATAAATAAAGGCATTTTGGTTTTAACTAATAAAAACTCTGTCTGTATGTGTGTGTGTGGTACTTTTCCTGAGTCTTTTAGCTTATTTATCTGTAGCCACACTGTGGGATTCCCACCCAGAAAATGATATAAATGTAGGGGTTTTTTTTTCACTTAAGCATCTATATTCAATATTTGGTTCTTATATATTAAGTACAGTTTGTTCATTACTAACTATTTGCCTCCCTTTCTAATTACAGAATATTTGTGCAGAGTGAAAAGTCATTTATAATCTTTGGACAATTTAGTTAGGGCATTATAAATCTTAATTCTTTCATAATATGGGAAAGTAATTATGATAGAAGAAAGAAATGTTTATTTTAAACTAGAGGTATTCTTTTTTGTCGTGTTTTTTATCTAAACAAAATAGTTTTAAAAATAATTTTAGTTTGGATTAATTTGTATTGTAGTGTACAGCTGATAAAGGAGTTTATGTTTGGGATCAAAAAGTGAGGAATCTATATGCATTAACAGAAATAATGATGCCCAGTTGATTATTCAAATATGCCCTAATCTGTACTTTTGTCTGTTTCCATAAAACTGAAAAGACAGTTGCACTATCAGTTATGATACAAATAATGATCAGTATCAAGAGAATACAGCCATTAAATTATATTATTTTCAGTTAAAATAAGCTAGAAAGTTTTAATCCAAGTAATTAGTACTACTTTTCTTTCATAAATAGTTCAATGTCTACAACTGATTTTTCTTTTAAAAATAAGCCTGTTATTTTTTCACAAATTAAAAAATAACTCATTTAATGTAAAGAAATAAAATCTAGAATTTAAAAAAATGAAACAGCTGTCCATCTGTCCCATCCCCACAAAATTGTTCAAATTGACAAGCTGGATTCTGCAAGACCTTATTCCAGCAAATGTGGGACTCTGTGCATTTGAAAATGACCACAAAGTCATACTGACATTTTAGTACTATTTTTATATTGCCTTCCTCATAGATGAAATATGGTATTCTCTTTAAAAAAAGAGACCTCACTGAGTCACATGATTGGTTGCTATAGGGCTTTTCTTTTAAAGACTTATCTGACAATGCACGATAGGAGATTGCATAGATGATAATCATATTTTTCTCCTTTATAATATAAAACTTGTTTAGTAAAGTACATTTTTAAAATGGGGATAGTGGGTCATGAGCAGTACGGTTTTTCAAAAATAGCTAGAGCATAGGTAATTGTGATTCTCTTTTGAAAAAGCAATAATATGGCTGCCAGAAGGTTTCTGAAAATGTCTGGTATAAATTCCAGCCTCTGACCACATGACTGGGTCTAAAATGAGCAAGGGGAAAATTTCTTCCATGTTAACATTTTTTTCTGCTTCAAACAAACTCACCTTGCTGGGGTATCTCATGTATGCGATTTTATAAACAGGGAAGAATTTCAGAGTCCATGCCACAACTCAGAGATAAAATGTTCAGACTATGATTTCAATATCTTGCAGGCACATACACATGCTTTACTTTTCAACATGCATATGAAATGGCTACATGTAGAAAGCTGTATAACCATGCTGATTGCTGGGATAAATGAATACTGAATGTAAGAATTGTCACTGTGACATGTTTTACACTATCTACATGGTAAAAATCCTTTTATGCCAATAATTTGCATAACATGCTTAGACAAGCATATGTTGTCCCTCAATTTCTTAAAAGAAATGACCCAAGTTAACAGTGCAGCAAGAAATCTATTCATATTTCATTATATAGAGATAGGGTGAGCTATCGATGATCCCACAATAAATAAAAGAAAAAAGATAGAAATAAGGAACATAGGGACATTTAATCTGACAGTTCAGCAAAAACAATTAGATATATATGTGTATGTGTGTGTATATTATAGCATTTTTCAGAATTTATTATTATGAATGTCTTTCACATTCTGTTTTTTAAGGAAAACATCCTAGATGTTTGAAACATTGTTTGAATATTTAATATAACAGTACTCATCTGATATTTACAGGTATATGATTTAAGTACTAATATTAATTCAAGTATTGATAACTTATCCAGCACAGTTGTTTTTTAATATGCACAAACCAATTGTCAAATCTGAAGAAAAAACAGGCTTTGGAGATCCTTGCATACATTTTTAACAACTGATAATTTATTAAAATAGGTGATGCAATGGTGACTTCAACCTTGACCCTTGGCTATATATATTTTATACTTCACCTATTAGCTAGCTGCTTTTATTCCAAATAACATCCTCTAAAAAGTAAGCATGTTATTTTAATGGCCTACTCCAGTATAAAATGCACTGTGGAAAGAAATGACTTCTGCATAGCAGCCCTAGTGTGCTGCACTGAAACCAAAACACAGTTTATAAAATAACACAGCAGATTTCATATGCTTGCAGAATTCATATGCAATAGAACTGCTGCATTTACCTTTTTCTTATATTCATTGTTTAGCCAAATTACACTATAAAAGCCCCATTTATCAACATTAGTTTGAAATTATACACTACTTTATTTGAAGAAGCGTAGAAAACACAAATAAAAGCTTTGATCAGATATAGGAGAATCAGTGTCATTACTTAACAGAATGAAATATCATGGGGATAAGAAGGTTGACCTAGATATCTTGCTTTTGCTAGGGGATTTCTATGTAACTCACTTAAGAAGTAAGTCATGAAATAACAGTGCGGTAATTTTGTGTTTTATAATTTTTTGTTATCTGATATTTCAAGCTGGCTTCTTACCTGCAAAGGTTTTGGGTCAGGTAGACTGTTGTGAGGATTAAAATGCCAGAAAACGTTTGTAAAGCACCCAGTTGCTTAAAACACAGTGAGTTTAAATAAATGTTAAGCCCTTTTCCCCTTCACCATTGCAGATTTATTTTGACTCTTGTAATTGCAAAGCCTGTAATATTTGGATTTAATTCAACTGTTCTACATTTGGTGTGAATTCTCCACTTATTTGAATGAAGCTTCTGACTGTGAACTGAAGCTCCTCAGTGGACTTTCTGTTTCCTGAATAAGAGGAGTCACCTGAGTAAAGACAAATGAGTGATCTTGCTTTTCCCCTCCACTTTGGAAGTGAGCAGCAGCGCCCCCAGTCTCCCCACCATGTCTCTCCTTGCTCTATCCAGATCCTTTGTATGAATCACACTTATCTCTGGGGGAAGGGGGCTAAGAAAAGATTCATGAAATTGAATCACAGGTTGTGGGGAAGAAAAGATCTTTCTTAATAGCTGTTCTCAAAGAGCTGAGGTAGGTATTACCTGGTTTCCAATGTCCGAGGCTGTGCTCAGTCCATCTTATGCACCCACGTTAAACTAACAGATGTCATCCTTGGGAACCATGACATGGTGGTAGTTCTTTGGCAAGGCTGCAGGTAAATCAGTGGAAAGTGTACTTCCTTTAGTACCTATCATAGTATCTCACTAACAGTTTTTTCTTTATTGTAAGAAGGAAAAAAAGAGAAGGAAAGATACTTTATAAGATCTATACTAGTAAATTAATCTTAATTATTTTCCTTCTTTGCCTTAGTAGAGATAGAAAATAACTGGTTGGATTGAAATGGTGATCTGCTTAGGATCAGCTGTAGCGTGGCAGCACAAACTGGGCTAAGAGTGAGGCTCCTGGGTTCTGGCTTAATCACTGCCCAATTTACTTCATGTAAAGCATGTTGCTCGCACTTTCTGAAACTGTTTTTGGCCTAGAAAATGGGAGGGAAAGGCATTTTTAATTGCCCAGAATAGTGCCTGTCACATAAAATATGTTAAAGTGGAGGATGAGATATTATATTAACTCAAAACAACAATCTAGTTTCTTTTAACACTCCTATTACAGAAACTCACATACACTGTATATACTCTCTATACATACATACATATACACACACTCATACACTGGTTGAATATTATAATACTGCATTGCACCCTCCTTTTGTTGCAATGACAATGGTATGTATGGCTATCTTCCCATGCCATTAAATATTATAGATTTTGTTTGAATTTCAATATAGTATTTTATAATACCATATACTGTAATTTAATTAATTAGTGACATATAGATGAACATGTAAACTGTTTTTAAATTTTCATTTTTATGAACAATGCTGTAATAACGTTATTGTGTCTTTTTTCATTTTGATTGTTTATTGTTTTCTGATTTTGTCATTCAGAATTTGGATGCATTCAAATTTATCCACTTTTTTGTTTCCAGTTTTTATGACATGGTTAGAAAAGCTTCCCCTAGACTCAGTTTATAAATATTGTAGGCATTGTTACCTATGAGTAAGTTCATGATTTCACTTATTCAAAAGGAATTACTACTATTATGCTCTTGTTGTTATTGTTGTTAAGTGCAACTAATCAGGTATAAATTGTTTTTCCTGAATGGCTAGCCAATTTTTCTGATATAGGGATCAGATAACCTATTTTCCCACTAACTGGAGTGCTTTTATTTATTATTTAGTTTATTTTTAGATTGTCTATTATATTAATTTGATTGGCAATGTTTGCAGGTATTGTGAATAAAAATCATTACTCATCAATCGCTAACACAGGGATTTGAAGTTTGACAAATAAAATCCCCAGCTAAAAGTATGATAGGAGATAGGAATGTCTGGAAAAGGTAGGTGGGAGAAATAAGAGAGGGGAAAAGATGAAGGATGAAGAAAAACACATACAGATGAATGGCATTGTAATCTCAAAGGGGGTTGGAAGCCGTGTGTGGGTGTGTGTGTTGATTTCTACTTCTTCATTCAGTATTGTGTTGGATTGTTCCAGCACTTGGATTTAAATCAAGAAGTTACAAAAGTACAAACGGGTCTGGGCTTGATGGCACCAGGAAGAGGCTAGTTAGAATGATGACCTATGAGGTTGAGGCTGGTTGCAGAAGGCCTTAAAGCCAGGAGAATACTGATAGATCAAGAAATGAATTAAGGGTGTCAAGAAAATGTGGACGGTGATGAAATTTAAGAGGACATTAAATGTATCTTACAGAGTAAAAGAACTGAGTAGGTAGAGTTGTGGTCAGAGATGAGGATATTGAAGCTTATGTGACTGTGATGAGTATAATAAATCCAATGTTCTTTTATCTGTGCTGCCTATTTTTATACAAGAAAATTATCAAAGGGGTGAGATACAAGTTGGATAAAATGAGGTAATGGAAAACTTTATGGACAGAGAAAGTATAAAATTCTACTATAATGAGGGAGGAAAAATTAAAAAGAAAGGAGGGAAATTTTTTTTTAAAATACAGTCTTATTAGGATTGGGCATGTGAGGCAATATATTTAGTAGAAAAAGAAAAAGGGCAAGTGTTTTGGAAAACAGGCAAGTGAATCTGATCTAAAATGTGGAGCAGAATCATTGATGATGTGGCAGGAGGAGAAAGGGAAAATGGTATAAATATTTGAAGGGAGTTCTCCAAGTTCAATTAAATGCTTAGGCAGGTCCCCAAATTAAATTAGATGCCAAGAAACCATTGGCAAGCAAAGTGTAGTAATTAAGTGCCACAGGGCTAGGAATGAGGCCGAGCCTTGCCCCATTCTGCCACCTCTTAGTGGCCCTGTTCATCATTCTGTAATGGAAAACTTAGTAAATGAAACAAACAGATCACAGTCCAAAATGGCACAAAAAAGATAACTGAAACCAGATACTAAGGATAAACACAACTGTGGCTAGAGACATAGATTCCAAGGGCAGCTCCGCATTGGCCAAATGGGAATTTACACTCTTGTATAAACAACGTGCCAGGCTCCTGGGGTCCAGCATGAATGAGGGAAGATGCACTGTTCATGGAGAAAGAAAAGCTGGCTGTAAGTTAATAAGCTCTGAGTGCCCTTCAAATAAAGATATGCATGGATTTGTAGCCTGGGTAATAGCCAGAGTTTCAAGCTTCTAATACAATTTCTAGCATACAGACACTGGGCTCACATTGCAGCCATGGCCGTAGCACTAAGATACTAAGGGTATGGGCTGATTGGAATCTCAGATTAAAATGGAAAGACCACAATTTTGAAATATCTAAGAGCTCCCCCACCAAGGTTCCAACATTAATTCAGTGTCTGTAAACTACGTATTTGTGTGTGTGTGTCTGTGTGTGTAGAGAGAGAGACTCATTTTATAATTTGTGTGTATTTTGACTTGGTTGTTCTAATGGTGCTTAAATTAGTGGAGATAATCCCACTTCCAAATAATTCATTTCGATGTTTTGTATGGGTGGTTTTCAATAGTAGAGTGGCTTTTCTGGTGGAAAGTTGAGGAGGCCTTCTAAAACACTGCATTTGGCAGAGGGAAGTAACTTGGAGTTTATTTGTTTTTTTGATCGGAGTATCTGAAAGACACATTTCATTACTTCACTTCTAATGGATAATATTAGCTTTTTCTATGTACTGGGGGGGAAAAGCAAGGGGAACATAGTTGCTACCTAAAACATTTCAGGAATCAGAAACCAGTTGGTCTAAGGAAGTACATTTGTGAAATATTGTGCTATTATTCACCCTTAATAAAGAAGGAAGTTCTGTCATTTGGGGCAATGTGGATGAACCTGGAGGACATTAAGGTAAGTGAAGTAAACCAAGCACAGAAAGACAAATGTTGCATAATTTCACTTATATGTGAAATCTAAAAAATCAAACTCATAGAAGTAGAGAGTAGAATGATGGTTGCTAGAGGCTGAGGGGTGGGAGAGAAAATGGAGGAATCGTTGGTCAAAGGTTATAAAGTTTCAAATAGATGGGGAAAATTACATTTTGAGATCTATTGCATAACAGAGTAGCCATAGTGAATAATAAATAATGCATATTTCAAAATAACTAAATTTCAAATGTCTTACCACAAAAATTGATAGGTAAGCAAGGTGATAAATATGTTAATCATTTTGAATTAATTATTTCACATTGTTTACACATATCAGGACATCACATTATATCCCATAAAAGTATACAATTATGATTTGTCCATTAAACATAATATTAACTTTTAAAAAGTAGAGATTCAGAAATTATTTTTATATTAAAAAATAAAATTATTTTTATATTTTATTATTAAAAACCTGTAAAGGAGCTAAAGGAAGCCCTTTGCGTCATGATTATAAAATAGAAAGTATTTTTATTGAATTCATCTTTTTAGACAAATTTTTACATTCATTGACATAGCGTCCATTACATTAAGTAGATCCAGGGGTGTGATCCCCAATTTAGAGATATGCAAGTGAATCCAGAAAGCTCTCGAATGAACTATCCAAAGAAGGACAACTACTGACAGAACTGGGACCAGAGACCTGCTACTGGTTTAAACATCTTTCTAACTTGTCTCCATTTTATGCTCTTTAGACTCCTAAAGCCAAAATGGTCACCGGAATATAATCCTTCAATTAAGCAGATTGGACTAATACAAAATTATGAAAATTATAATACGAGATTGCTCAATGCTTCACAAATCTTCTTGCTAAATCACCAGTAACATACTAAATTTCAGGTTGTAGCCTTAAGTGTCATTAACTGGATTGCAGAGAAGCAAAGAAAGCAGAAAAGTTTTCCATTTTTATAACTGACAGCAAATAATACAAGTAATAAATTTTGTATAAAAATTACTTTTGAATGCATTATGTGTTAGAGAATTTTGCCTAAAGAAATTATCTGTGAAATGGGGATAAAGCCTATAACTGCTTTGCTTCACATGAAGTGAGGATTAATGAATAACCCTGACAGACTGCTCTAAACTGATTGAGAAAGACATGAAAGAGGAATACAGGGTATTGTCAATACACCAGGATTAATAGAGAAAGAGATTTTTGTCCAGGAGGAAATGTTAATTCATTTATAAATTAAGTGGTGAATCCATAAGGTACTTACATGTGTTCTCCATTCGAACCACATCCTAAATTATCAGGGTAAAGCAGTTTTATTTTATCTCCAGAGAAACAAATAATAGAGAAATTTAAATTTCAGCATTAGAGATTAAGTCTAAATATTTTAAAAACTCATTACTTCACAATCTGCTAATTTATAATTTGTAATAGTTCAACCATTAACGGAGTGAGCTTTAATATAAACTTGTCTTTTAAAAAAAGACTTCTGAATTAGATTAATAAAGTATACAAAATTGCTCTGTTACTCTAGAAGGAAATATTTATCTTGCTTAAACATTCAGGCTGGTTTTAAGTAGCTTAATAGTACCTACTGGCTACAAATAATATCTTCCAAATGATTTTCCTAATAATCTATGCGCATTTGCAGAATGCCTTCTTTACAACATTGTATTTACTAATATTTTTGTTACTGTTTATAATTGAAAGTCATTCAATAGCTTTTTAATTTTTTAATGATAAATTTCAAATGTTATAGTATTCAAACTTGTTTTTCTCCCATGAACTAAGTTTTCCCATAACATGTCTCATAACTGCTCCCTTTTCTTCCAGCCTTTCTTTGTGGCCTGATTCTAGGCCTTCATGATTTGCCACCTGGAGTATTGCAACTCTTCTATGTCATTATATTTCTAAGGCAAAGAGAAATGCTCTCTCTCTATCTGAATGTCCATCAGCACCCATTGTTGCTATAATGGTCTTTGGAAATGGCATCTGGTATTGCTACCTTATTGTTTAAAATCCTTTAATGATGCCCTATTGCCTATAGAATAGAGTCTGATACCCTAATTACATCTGTTAAAAGAAAAACTTTAGACCAATTAAATTTAATAAAATTCATTTGGGTGAAGAACTATTCATGAACTAAATGGCACTCAGAACCAGGAGAGGTTCAGAGAGCTCCACCCAGCAATGTGGGCAGGCAGTATTTATAGACAGAAAAAGAAAGTACCCTAGAAAAACAGCTCGACTGGTTACAGCTGGGTGTTTACCTTGTAGGGATGTGGTCTGATCAGTGGGCAACCTGTGATTGAATGAATCTCAGCTGCTGTGATTGGCTGAGACTCAGCTATTTATTACGACAATATACTCTTTAGTAGGGTGCAGTCTGTTTACATACTAAGTTGGGTTGCAGCTCGCTACATAGGGATTCAAAGTACAAAGGCATCTTTGGGCCAAATTTTAACTTAATTTAACACATTATATGTGATTCTTTATGCCTCAACTTAATGTCCTTGCACATCTTCTCCTCCTAGCCCTAGATTCCACTCATAAAGCCTGCACTCAGGTTTGTACGCTTTTCCTGGATCCCTCCACCTTCATTTTTCATGCCTCTGTATCTTTTTTGTGTGTGCTGGTCATTCTCCCAGAAAATCCTTTTACTAGTTTCTCAGTCCTTCCTATAACAGATGAACATCTATTCAAGCTCTACTATTTATATATTAACTTTCTCAACCATTGCTCTGTATGCACACCTACTAAAATCTATAAACATATTAATCAATAATAATAAAGATGTCAAATGTTTATCGAATACTTTTACTTAACACGTTATGGAATATCTATTTTGGAGTCACTGTAATCATATAAGAATGATACCTATTGGCTCCTTTACCCATTGCATATCCTCAAGGCTTAGAGAGATCAGGTACCATGTTCAAGGTAATTGAGCTAGTAAGAGAAGGAGCTAAATTCAGATTATACTCTGCTATTGAGTCTTCCAATGGCACTCATTTGTTTTAGGTCTATTTTCACCCTTTACAAAGGAAACTCTGAGAACAGAAACAATGCCTCTTTATTATCCTTGGGACCCAGTGCAGGTTGTTGGAAGAAATATAAGAATAATCAAATAGTGATATGAGCTACGCAGAGATGTAGCAATATTATTAGTAATGCAATTGTAAGATTTGACATTACATTCATCCTTTCTATGTTGAAACATGAAATCGTTTCCTACTGCACCTGTAAATTTTCATTGTAATAAATGCCAAATACGTGTACTCCCTGTTTGTTTTTTGTTTTTTGTTTTTTGTTTTTTTCCAACTGCCTATTCTTCTTTGGTAAAATAACTCTTGTTTTGGCAAAGATATGAAGGATCACTTCAGAGGAGGCCTCAAACGTCAGTATTAGTTAGAATAAGCTAACGACAATTATTTTTTCTTTGCTGGTGATTAGTTTGTGAATGAGATGTGGTGCAATTCTAGCAGGAAGGACCAGTCTTTCAGGTTGTGGGAAGGGTTTCTCATGTGGGGTGGGGGGAGGGGGGAGGGATAGCATTAGGAGATATACCTAATGTTAAATGACGAGTTAGTGGGTGCAGCACACCAACATGGCACATGTATACATATGTAACTAACCTGCACGTTGTGCACATGTACCCTAAAACTTAAAGTATAAAAAAAAAGAGGTACAAAAAGGAGAACCTCTCTCTCTTCTGGTCTTTGGATGTGTGCAATGATGTATTTCTTGGTGTCAGGTTCAAGTCCACGTTAGGGTCCAGCCCCAGCTGAGGTCCGAAGGGAGTGAGTGGACAGCTGAAAAAACACTCGGGGGTGCGTAGGTAGGTGAAATATAGCTTTATTCAGCAGCTCTCTTATCAACAACTCACACTAGTCCGCCTTGTCTCGGCTGCTTGAGCTGGTGGCTCCCATGCACAGATACACGGCCTGTTCTCTTTTACCTTCAGGGTCGGCACCTTAACTCTTTCTCTCTTTGGGCACAAGCTGGTTCCTGGCTCCCTGCTGTCCCTCTGATAGATGGTCATTCTTCCTTAGAGGGGCCAGTAGCTTTACTCTCTCTCTCTGGGTGCCAGTGCCTGCACAAGAGCACCTATACAATGTCAAGTCATGTCAAGCCGAGCCCTGTGCACGGTGTCAGCAGGGCAATTATACATTTTACAGACAACAGTGTCTCAGAGCCAAGCAAGAACTTACACAAACAAGTTCTATAACAAGTAGAGGTGTGCTGCCTGAGTCACACAGGCCTGATGTCTGCCTCGGCCTATCCTTGACCAAAGCACATCCATGTACCTTACACCTGGTGCTACTATAAGCATCTTTGACCACAAAGGGAGCAGGCTGTTTGCTAAGTATGGCAAAGAAGGGAGAAGAAAAGAATCTGAGCTCTTGTCATGGATGAGGTGCTGAACTAGTTAATTCTGGAATTGTTCCATCTCCAGACCTGTTATGATATGAGATAATAACTGTTATTTTCTGTATATATTACTTAATATTTTGTTATTGTTGACTTTCAGAAGTTTTGTTATGATATGCCTTGGTTGATGCAGTTTTCTTGATATTTAACCTACGTGGTGTTCACAGGCGGATATATTTGTTGTTGATATCTTGGTTATGCTTGATGTATTTCATCAACTTTGGCAAATTCTTGGCTATTGTCTCTTCAAGTATTCTTTTTAGCACACTTTCTATCTTCTCTCCTTCTGTAACTCCAATTATTTATGTTACACTGTTTACTATTGTCTCAAAGATCTCAGATAATCTGTTCTATTTCTATTTCTCTTTGAGTTTTAGTTTAGATAATGTCTATTGACTTGTCTTCAAGTTCACTGATTTTTTTATTTCTGTGTCTGGTGTACTGATAAATCCATCAAATGAATCATTCATGTTTTGATATTGTTACTTTCTATTCTACTTTTTCATTTGGCTTTTTTTTATTACTATTATTTTCATGATGTTGATGAAATTACCTCTCTGTTTACTTTTGTTGTCCATTTTTTTTACTTTCCTTTAACACTTTCATTATGATATTTTTTAAGTCTCTGCCTGATAATTTCAATCTTTATTTTATTTCTAGGTCTGCTTCTATTGATGATAAGTCATGTTTTCTTTCTTTTTTATATGCATCATAATATTTTTATTGCATTCAAGATATTATGTCTAGAAGAACAGCAGAGACTGGGGTAAACAATAGTAAAACTCAGAAGAGGGTGGGCTCATTTGTCTCTCAGGCCATTAGGGTGGAAGGCTGAGCCAATGTAATCTAGAAATGAGTTAAGTCTGCTGTCTCTTTAGTTTGATTCAATTCACCAATGCCTTCACGTGATGTGAGGTCAAAATTAGGACCTTCTTTTCTGCCAGGCTGGAGATCTGAGCACTCAGAGACTGTAGATATCCTTTTGTGCTTTACAGTCCACTACCAGCTTTCAATCCATGGGAGATCTAATCATGCTTCTAGGGGGCTCCTGCCTGGTAGATAGGCTGGGTATTTCCTGCTTGCCAGTACTGCCCTTAGCTTCCTGTGCCTTGGGGACTTACTTCCACCTGCTGCTACATGCCCAGCTCAGCAGGGCTGAAGTGGTAGACTTGGTGAAGGCCTGGAGAGTTCGTGAAGGGTTTCTCTCATTTCTGTGGCCCTGCCTCCAGGTTTGGTAGGCCCTGCATGCTTGGGCATCAGGAGGTGATTTCTCCCAGATCTCTTGCCCCTCCAGCAGCCTTGACAGCCGCTGCTTCCTATTTTGTGGGGGATGGAATTGCCTACCCTGCCCTCAGCCCTCACCAGGCCCCCAGCCCTATTCAGTTTTCTAATGGCACTTAATGAATGCCTATAGGACAGAGTTGGAAGGTGGGTGCAATTTCTGTATGTGGCTACTGTCCACTGGATCCTGTCATGTCTCTCCATAGTGGCCTTACCAATTTCTAAAAATTCCAGTGATCTTATTTTACTCCTGTCCTTCACTTCTCATTGTTCATCCAAAAAATGAAAGTGATTGTGAATTTTTGTATTCATTTATACTCTCCTAGGAAGAGCTTGTCATTTTTCTACATTCTTGTTATTTACGTTTCTTTGCTTCCTCAGCTCTGTGATGGTTTAAAACAACACCACCACAGCTATGCTTAAATAGGTTATCTGGCTTATTCTCAATGTCAAGATGGAAGCAACACTATCCTGACACTGTCTTTATCCTAAGTGGAAGCAGAAGTCTCTTTAATACATTTTTAATGGAGGTTTCTGGTACTTGCAGCTGAATATATCCTAATCTGATATATACTGTATTTGAAATTCTTGTTGGGGATGAGCAAACCACAGATTATATATTTTTTGCTGATATATAATGTACCTATATTTTGTTGTAGAAAATATAATAAATACAAAAAAGTCGCCAGGAGGAAAATAACAATTACCCATAATCACTTTTCATGAAGATAAACAAACAATATCATTTTTAATATATCTTTTCAAATTTTTCTATAGTATATATCTATTTGTATAGTTAAAATATGCAGCTTTATAAACTGCTTTCTATTTATGTAAGATATCATGCACATTTTCTGTTATTAAATATTCCAAAAGCATGAAATTTAATGCTGTATATTAGAAGGAGACTTCAAAAAGTTAGTGGAAAAATGAAATTAAAAGATAAAAATACCATCCTGGGCAACATAGTGATACCTCATCTGTGAAAAAAAATCACAAAGTTAGCTGGGCATGATGGTGTGCACCTGTGGTCCCAGCTGTTTGGGAAGCTGAGGCAGGAGGGTCACTTGAGCCTGGGAGGGTCAGGGCTGCCGTGAGCTGTGATTGCACCACTGCTCTTCAGCCTAGGTGGCAGAATGATCCCCTGTCTCAAATATATATATATTTTAATATGTATATAAAATATAAACATATTTATATATGTATATAAAATATAAACATATTTATATATGTATATAAAATATAAACATATTTATATATGTATATAAAATATAAACATATTTATATATGTATATAAAATATAAACATATTTATATATGTATATAAAATATAAACATATTTATATATGTATATAAAATATAAACATATTTATATATGTATATAAAATATAAACATATTTATATATGTATATAAAATATAAACATATTTATATATGTATATAAAATATAAACATATTTATATATGTATATAAAATATAAACATATTTATATATGTATATAAAATATAAACATATTTATATATGTATATAAAATATAAACATATTTATATATGTATATAAAATATAAACATATTTATATATGTATATAAAATATAAACATATTTATATATGTATATAAAATATAAACATATTTATATATGTATATAAAATATAAACATATTTATATATGTATATAAAATATAAACATATTTATATATGTATATAAAATATAAACATATTTATATATGTATATAAAATACACACTTTATTTCTCAATATAAGCTCCATCAAGGTCAAGACACTTTTGTAAGTGATAATACCAGCCATTTAGTCCACACTTAAATAACTGAGCATTCCGGAAATTAAACCATGTCAATGTAGTCTTTTTTACATTATTAACTGAAGAAAATTGGGTGCCCTTTAAAGACTTTTTAAGACAAGGAAACAAAAAGAAGCCACAAGAAGCCAAATCAGGACTTTAAGTTGGAGGTCTAAGAATTTCCCATCAAAGCTCTCACAAAATTGCCCTTGTTTGATGAGAGGATTGAGCAGGAGCACTGATGTGGTGAAGAAGGACCCTCTAGTAGAGCTTTCCTGGGGCTTTGTCTGCTAAAGCTTTGGTAACTTTCTCAAAACACTCTCATAATAAGATGTTATTGTTCTTTGGCCCTCCAGAAATGTCTTGAGCATCAAAACAAAACAAAACAAAACAAAACAAAACAAAACAAAACACAAAATGTTGCCATGGCCTTTGCTCTTGACTGGTCCACTTTGGCTTTCACTGGACCACTGCCACCTCTTGGTTGCTATTGCTTTGATATTGCTTTGTCTTCAGGTTCATGTTGGTAAAGATATGTTTCACATACTGTGATAATTCATCGAAGTAATGCTCCAGGATCTTGATTCCACTTCTTAAAAATTTCCATTGAAAGCCATGCTCTTGTCTGCAGCTGATCTGTGTGCAATGGTTTTGGCACCCATCGAGTGGAAAGTTTGCTCAACTTTAATTTTTCAGTAAGAATTGTGTAAGCTGACCCAATTGAAATGTCTATGGTATTGGCTATTGGTTCTGCTGTTTACTGCTGGCCCTCTTCAGTTAGGGCACAAACAAGATTAATTTTTTTCTCCTGACATATTGATGCGGATGGTCTGCTGCTGCAGGCTTCATCTAAACATCATCTTGTCTTTTCTTAAAATGAGTTATCTATTTGTAAACTACTGATTACTTTGGGGCATTGTCCCTATAAACTTTTTATAAAGCATCAATTATTTCACCATTTTCAACCCAAGCTTCATCAAAAATTTGATGTTTATTCTTACTTTAATTTTAGCAGAATTCATAATGCTCTGATAGGGGCTTTTTTCAAACTGGTGTCTTATTCTTCTAAGTGCCTCAAACTAGATTCTGTTCAGACATAACAGTGAATGCAAGTTTATTTTGGTGCAAAAAATGTTGAAATTTAGGTATACTTTTTTACAAAATACACATTTTCTATGAACTTTTTGGAAATTCCTTGTATTTTATGATATTCAAAATCATTTAACTAATTATATATTATTGGGCATTCTTACTTTTTCTAATTTCTCACCATGACACATAATCTTATGATTACATTCAGGAAAAATGAAATTTGCTGTAGGTCAAACCGCTGGTTAGAGAGTAATCCTGCACTATGTGTAAGGTCAATACCATTGTCCTTCACTCAACCACGTGCTACTTGCAGTGGAGCAATAGGAAGATTACAGGTCAAAGGAAAAAGGAAGGTCAGGGAGTTTATTATGACAGAAATCAGGACCCAGCGTGTAAATTGTCCAGGACTCAGGAAGAGCCTAAATTAGAGAACTGGAGTCATGCAAGGGATCTGACTAGGTGTTATGATTAGATCTCTAAATATTTCCTGACCAAGCATAAAGTGGATCTAAAGGGTCATCTGCTTACACTCTTAGTGCACTTTCACTGACATCATCTTCCTCTCTCGTCCAGTGCTCATCTTACAACGCTTACTTCCTTAATAGAGTGAAAACATAATCTCCTTTTTTCATCCCTGCTCTCAATGCCTTAATTTAGGATCTCAACATATCTATTTTTGATTCCTACAAAAGCATCCTTACTGTATTTTCTGCCTTTGGCCTGGTCCCCATCCAGTTTATCTTATCATATCATTTCCCCTGATTTTAATCCTGTAACGTCTTTATAGATTTTAGTAAAAACTCAAACCCCTTAGCTCAATAAACAAGGCTCTATATGATCTTGTCCCTGCCTACCATTTTAGCTACATAATTTGCCAATATCCAACATAGACCTGATTACAGTGAACTAGGTTTCCAACACACGTGCTTTATTTCTTTATGCTCTTGCCCATTCTGTTTTTTACACCTGGAGTGTTCTCCATTTCCTCCACAAGCTGTTATTCTTGTTAATCTCAACCTATCTTTTGAAACACAGCTTCCGTTTCACTTTGATTGGAAATACTTGATTGCCCATTAAATTAATAAAGGTTCTTTACTCTGCCTTCCAGTATATTCTCTTTGTATACTTATTATAGCACAAATTACAGCATGCCGTAATTTCTAGTTTTGTTTTTGTTTGTGTAAAACTGTTTTTATTTTGACTTTATAGTCCCAGGATTTTGCACAGAGTCTGGCTCTTAGTAATTCCTTAATCAATGTTCATTGGAATGCTATAATAATGGTAAAATATTAATCAGAGAAAAAAGGGGAAAAGGCTAATTAACCAATCACCCAGCCCACTTTTCTCCTCCCAAAACTGTCCACATATCAGCAAGAGGCTCCACTGTCATTCACAAGATTATTAGGACCAAAAGTCAAAAAGTCATCATCGATATGTTTCTTACCTTCATACTTATTCATCTTCAATCATCAAGTCCTATTGGTCAAACTGTATCCTGACTGTAACCACTTCTCACTCGTCCACCATTGCCATCCTACACCAAGGTATTATTATCTTATTTTTCCTGTATTTCATTTGGTTTTATAACTAGTCTGGTTTTTTCATTACTCTAACATTCTCACAATAGTGTGTTCTCCATGCAGCAACCAGAGAGCACTTTAAGAGATGGAATGCCAAAGCTCTCCCTGCAGCTTCACCATCCCACTTTAGATAAAATCTAGAGTCCTTGGCATGGCTGACAAAGTCCCATATCATTGGCAGTTGACCCTCTCCCTGGGTGTCATGGTACCCATTCCCCCAACGGGTACCCCACTCCACTCCTAATGGCCTTCATGCAGCTCCTCTATACATGCTAATCATGTTCCTACCTCAGGAACTTTGCATTAGTTGTGCCCATGGCTGAAATGCTCCTTTTCACACTATTCAGGGTGAACAAATAGTACCTCTTCAGTGAGCCCTCTTTAACAGTTGTATTACAGCAGCCCCATGCTACCCTTAGTGTCTGTCTCCAATCCTCTAATCTTCCTTTACGTTCTTTTATGTCACCATCACTAGAGATCATATCACATATATGTTTTGTTCACTTGTTTATTTTCTGATTTTTCACTATAACATACATTCCATAAGACCACACACTGTCTTGTTCGCTCTTGTACCCTCATGATAATTTTTTATTGAATATATGAATTAAGAAATAATAGTCCAGACTCTAGTTTTTTCTATATTCTACTTTATAGAGGATCTTATGAACTTTTATGAACATGACTAGAAATACATGTTTCATCACAATGTATACACTCAGGCACTTATAACTGATAGAGGTGTCTCAAAACAGTACTTATATTTACTATATAAATTATGTCCTTTTATGTTCTGTTCTATTGTATTTTTCATAAAATTAATTTTATTAATTTTGTGTTATAATCAGGGCCAACTACCTATGGTTGTACAGGCCATCTTCTGTCAAGGGGGATATATCTGGATATATGTATTAGATATGTATGTAACAGTAAGAATGTATGCATACATATTTGAAAGTAGTTACTACATTAAATGTATTTTTAAGAGTAATAATAAAATAAAAATTGAATAAAATAAAGTTCCTGGTAATTAGGAGTTTGCTTTTCTATTAAACTAACAATTTCACTTGAAATACTGACTTGGCCTTAGGAAATTTTTAGTTTTAAAAATTCAGGTTAATCATAAAAATTAGTTAAAACTAAGAATAATTAAACACAATATTTTGTATGCAAGGAAAATATTAAAAAATGGAAACAATGTTTATGTTTTTGTTAAGAAATGTACGTGAGAAAATCTTAAAAGTAAATGTAAAAATAAAAGAGAGTCGTTCTCTTGAGTTGTAAACTGAGCTATTTTATTTAGGAGTTCAAGTCCTGGAGGAAAGAACTGGTTGTACTCTTCCTGGGAAATTTTCCTTAGAATTGAAGTGTGGTGGAACAAGGAGCATACATTTAGGAGCTCTTGGCAGAGCTGCACTGATGAAGCAGGGACAGAAAAGTTGGAATAAGGTCAAGGGATTATTTCTGTATCCTTTATTTTAAGCCTGTAAATTTCACTTTGATTTGTCATGTTCATTCATCTTGTTGCATTTCTCAGGCAGAACACTGGGGAACAGCAAAGAGAATTTTATTTATATAAATTAATGTGCTAATTAGCTGCAGTCTCACGGCTCTTGGAAAATTGCCATTTCATTTTATTGCACATTAAAGATTGGATGTCCCAACCCTTGCATGCCTTTGGAAATGAAGAAAAAAACCCTACTAAAAATTTCTGCCACCCCAAAGGGAAACGTTAAACTCTGTGTGCCTCATGCTCAGTGTGTAAGTGCTTCTTAGTGGCCTATATTTTACTATTTGTGCTTTTAGCCCAGAATGTCCGGTTTTTAGAAAAATAGAGTTCTATTAAGTTTTGTCTTTTGAATCTTATTACATCAATTACTAACCATGTTTATATATACATTCTGATGTACCTAGAAAGATTAGTATGCCAATAAACAAATGAATCATATAAAAATTCATAAAATGTGAATCCCAAAGGCTGGAATATTTTAAATTTGGGGACATCAGTCCATAGGGGATATGTTCCAGAAGGTTGTATTCTCATCTGGGATCTACAAGTGGTGAGCTGAAAAACTTCTTCTAGATTTTTCTTTATTTTGATGATTACACAATGAATGAAATTTACCTCCTTCTTGTTTCAGAATTATGTATATATATATATATATATATATATATATATATATATATATATATATATATATATATATATATTTTGTTGTTTTTTTTTTTTTTTTTTTTTTTGAGACAGAGTCTTTCTGTGTCGCCCAGGCTGAAATGCAGTAGTGCGATCACAGCTCACTGCAGCCTCAACCTCCTGGGCTCAAGTGATTCTCCTACCACAGCTACCTGAGTAACAGAGACTACACGCATGTGCCACTATGCCTGGCTAACTTTTCAGTTGTTTTGTGGAGGCAGGTCTTGCTTTGTTGCCCAGTGTCGAACTCCTGGGCTCAAGTGATCTTTCTGCCTTGGCCTCCCAAAGTGCTAGGCTTACAGGCATGATTCACTGCACCTAACTAGAATAATATTTTGGAAATAAATAAAAAGCATCCTAGCTCTCTTGGAAGACATCTGAACTTTTGTACATTCAACCATATACAAATGTGAGATATTCACTACATGAAGAAAACAAATAAACTAACAAATGTGTGTGTGTTAGATACTAATCAATGCCACATTGAATACTAAATTGATAAAAACATAGTTTTTGTTTCTGTCTGTCCTTCTTACTTTTTTGTTTGTCTTGTGTATTAGTCCATTTTCATGCTGCTGATAAAGACATACTCAAGACTGGGCAATTTACAAAAAAAGAGGTTTAATGGACTTACAGTTCTACATGGCTGGGGAGGCCTCACAATCATGGCAGAAGGCAAGGAGGAACAAGCCACATTTTATGTGGATGGCAGCAGGCAAAAAGAGAGCTTGTGCAGGGAAACTCCCATTTTTAAAACCGTCAGATCTTGTGAACTCATTCACTATCATGAGAACAGCACAGGAAAGACCTGCCCCCATAATTCAATCACCTCCCACTGGGTTCCTCCCATGACATGTTCCCACATGTCATGGAAGTGGGAATGGTGGGAGTTACAGTTCAAGATGAGATTTGGGTGTCAACACAGCCAAACCATATCATTTTGTGTTTTTGTGGTGTTTTTTTTTCCTATAGTTTCTGAGATAAGGTCTCACTCTGTCACCCAGGCTGGAGTGCAGTGGCATGAACATGGTTCACTGCAGCCTTGACTTCCCGGGCTCAGGCAATCCTCCCATCTCACCCTCCTTCTTACTTTTAAGATGGAGGAGGGTTTGTTTTAATCTACATGTCCTATGACTAGTTTCCACCAAAAAGGGGAAAAAACTATTTTTTTTAATTTACTTTAAGTTCTAGGGTACATGTGCACAGCGTGCAGGTTTGTTACATATGTATACATGTGCCATATTGGTGTGCTGCACCCATTAACTCATCAGATAAAGAGTTAGCCCATTGAAGCGTAATCAGAAAGCAGCCCAGCCCTTCTGGAAATCGCTCTACTCCTGATCTCCTACCCATAGGTATATCCCAGTGACTGCTGAGAAGGATGTCCTCTCTCTCCATTCCATCTCTTAAAACTTGAAGAAATGCTCCTGTTTTAAAATATCTTGCTCCCTTCTCATGTTTTTCCAGAACATCATAAAAGAACTACAAATTTTAACAATCTTTCTATCTTCTCTAAAATGGAAAGAATAAGAAAAAAACTTATGAAAATAATAGAAAATGAAAGAAATGACTATGGAAAATAGAATAGATGAGCATTTCTGTAGGGATAGAGAGTTCTGAGTGAACCCGTAGAATGCAAAAGGGGTAGGTAGACCTCCTAGATAGCCTTCTCCCACCTTTCTCCCACAACAATAACAAAGTTTTGGAAAGAAGAGGCAAAAATATGAGGTAGTGTAAACAGCGCTACACCAGACAATGTATTATGTGGCCTCAGCTTTGGTCTTGGCTGTTCTGCAAAAGATTAACTTAAATTCAGGTCAGATTGTTTTATTTCACTGGCATATCTTCTTTGACCTGTACAGTAAGATGGTTCAAAAATTCCTCAAACCAGTTCTAGTTCCATGATTCTGTAACTATATTTTTATTTTTCAGAGAAGCTATAACTTATTAATAAATCTCAATTTTACGTATCAGCAGTTACAAAACATCATGAAGAACAATAGTGGAAAAAGTTGCCTGCAATACTGAATGAAGCAGAGTCCTCTAAAAACATTGTATAATAAAAGTAGTAAGATAAACCAGTAGCTTTGTAACTCTTGTAATTTTTGTATTTAAAATATTGTAGAATTGAATTAGGGAGTTCTCAGTTGCTAATAGGTATGTACAGTATATAGCATTATTTCCTAGAATACTGTCCAGAGATGAAAAAATAAAGGAGACCTTACAGAAGTGATAAGCAATAAGCTAACAGCTTTTTAAAAGGTAGTGCATACCATATTCTGTTTTAAGTCTTTTTACTTAGAAGCCAATCAGATGAAGACTATTTGCGAACATCAGCATTAGCTTACTAAACAATGGCATTTGCATCTTGAATTATTCTATTAGATTCTAACCTTGGCACAGTATAACCCTCTTGCTGAAATATTTATAATTGCCTAGTAACATGGGAAATAAACAATTTATTCCTATTATCTGTGTGCATGTTTTGATACAGAAAAAGCAAACTGTGAATGACTGGGTACTAATAAGATCATGGAATGTCCCCAGCTTGTCATAATGGCTAGTAACAAATATTTGCATCAAGCCTTGGTTATCCAAATATTCCTTATGAAAAGTGGCTGAGTGGGTTTGATTTCTCCAACCTTGCAGAATCATTTTATTCTATTGTTCCTGTGATGGATATGTAGGGTAATGCAGTCCAAAGCCTTCAGGCAATGCATGAATTGAATATTTGCTATTTGTGTAGCATGTTGTTTCTGAAGTGTCTAATTTGGAAGTGATTTAGTAAATACAATCACCACGAATGTGGTGATGGTTTCTCTTTGGCTTTTGCATAGGGAGATTTGAAACAGCGTCTCCATCCTCCCAATCATTTAAAATAAAATAGGAAAAATATTATAACACTTGTACTTTTTTAATGGGATAAGAAGCAAAATGTATACAGTTTTGGCAGTAAGGTCACCAAGCTTGCAGGGAAAAATATGGTTTTAAATAAATGCATGGATTCAAATTGTGAAATAATAAAACCTAAATATTTACATTAATTTTGGTATCACCAGACAGAAAACCTTTCAAATTATTAAAATATACTGTGAACCCTAAATGACATTGATTAAAAAGATCTCCCAGGTGCAGTGACTCACACCTGTAATCCCAGCACTTTGGGAGGCCAAGACAAGCTCAGGAGTTGGAGACCAGCCTAGGCATCATACTAATAAGAAACCCCGTGCCCTCAAAAAATACAAAAATTAGCTCAGCGTGGTGGCATGTACCTGTAGACCCAGCTACTTGAGAGTCTGAGGCAGGAGAATTGCTTGAGCAGGGAGGTGGAGGCTGCAGTGAGCCAAGATGGCACCACTGCACTCCAGCCTGGGTGACAGGTGTGAAACTCTGTCTCAAAAAATATATATAAAATAAAAAAAGATCATCTTTGCAGAGTACATGTGTATTGTCATGGACATTATCTGAAACCTAAGTATAACATCAAAAGGCAAAGGCCTCATTGCAAGACAGAGCTATTTTAATTTAGTGAAGTAATGTTCAAAAGATTCACACAATATATCTTTCAGCTGGAAAACATTCATTAAGGAAAATCTGTGTTAATGTTAACAGCATAAACAGAATTCCAAATAAAGAAGAACACAATGAACATCCTTAAATGACCTCTGGTTCCCTTAAAGAATTTGCTGCTCAGCTCGCCCCTGTGGCCACCTGCCACCCCCATGACCACCCCCTGTCCCTCCTCGGCAGTGCCACTGTCTTGAGAGGGCTGGAGACAAGCCTGCTCTGACTACCACCTCTATGATCAAGAGGAAACACGGCCTCAAAAAAGTTTTGAATCAACTCTAGCTAGAAGGTTTCAAAGCTTGACCTATTTTAGTCTTGATTTCTTTTTTATTCTCTTGAGAAAAATATATCTTTACGTGATCAGAAAAATAAAAATAAAAAGCGTAAATGAGTTACAAATCTGTTCAGACCGGCATTGGATTAGCTAACTACAAATAGATCAAGAAAAAGCAATTATATCTGTATCTATCTATCTATCCATCTATCTATCTATCTATCTATCTATCTATCTGTCTGTCTGTCTGTCTGTCTGTCTGTCTATCTATCTATCTATCTATCTATCTATCTATCTATCTATCTATCTATCTAATCTGTCTAGTTCCAACTGTCCATGGAGCAGGGTGGTGTGTCCTAAGACATACTGGTCTGAATAATTCTTCACATTCTACTAGTATCAAAGGCTATGACCTGAACAAGGAACTTCACACTTTCACGTCTTGGTTTTCTCATATACAATATATAGGGTTAAACTAAATTATTGCCAAATTCCTTCTTGTTCTGAAAATAACGTATTGGTAAATCACATAACCTGATAATGTTTGGTGTATAGAAAATCTAAAGGTGTCAAGCTTTGACTGAAATGTTCAGAAAATTCCCGAGCCCCAGATGTAGTAGAAGTGGTTGAAGACATTTTCTTGATGTTCACTTTGAAGCCTTTAGGGGTAGGAGATGAAACAACATCTGGCAAGGTATGAATTTTTACAGAAACTTTATAAAGCTTATCTCCAAGTGATATTTGTAGACTCCTCCATTTAAGTAAAATAAAGCCAGAGGGAATTAAAAATAGGTGTTAAAATGCTCCATGTATTTATCTTTCAAAATACCCAAATCTGCACATAAGAAATTGGTCCAGGTGAATATATTAGTGAATATGATGGTTCCCTAGCCAGTCAGTGACTTACATAATCTACAGACATCTAACTAATTTAAGTAAATCAGTAGATAAAATGCTCACAATTATGTATTGATAAAACTGTTATGTCTAAGTTTTTAAAAAACTCTTCTCCTGCAATGTGTTGAGATATACTAGTTCCTTCATGCTTCAAATAGTTTCAAAAAAAAACAATTTATCTCAACAAGGCATAATTTTTTAACAACCCATTTTCCTATAATTGAAGGTAGATGGAAATGAAATACTATATCTTAGAAAGATTTTATGTAACAATTAAAATTAGTTTAACTTTACCCTTCAATATTTATTCTGATTTGATGTTAACCCCTGAGGCCATTCATAAAAGGAAAGTGATCAAGTTGGCTTATAGTCATTACATTTACAATTTTATAATCATATGTTCTACGAAAGTAGATATGTAAAAATAAAACTCCATTAAAACTTTCTAGGTACACACATCAAAAATTGGACACTCAGAGTGCTGTCCCCTTCAAATGGTCATGTTAAGCCAATGAGTGAGCATTGATGAAATATTACTGTAAGAAACTTTTTGGAATTATTTTCACAATATGTGACATATTCTTCAAACTACAGACTACCATCAAAGGTTGAAGACATTTTCTTTTGAGGATTATTTTGGTTTTAGAAATAATGGGAATGCATTCACAACCAAGTCTAATATATAAATTGAGTAATCCAAACTGGATAATGCAATTTTGGGGGTCTAAAATTGTGATGCTAAGGTAATAAAACTGACTTTCTTGCATGACTAATACAAGAAACAACCAATAAAGCACTTTATAGGCAAAATTCAATGAATTGGAACTAAGTGTGAAAGCTCCTTATCTAACGAATGGCAAAATATGGGAGCAAATAGGCAGCTGACTAGGCGTCAGCTACACAATGTTCTGTTGCTCCAGTTTCTTACTGCGCAGCTCATCTTTTTTTCCTTCCTCTTTCAAGATATAAATATGGTAAAAGGCATATAAAGTATTCCCATAGAATATGAGTACACACACACACAATAGTAGTCCCTACTATCCATCGTTTTGCTTTTTCTGTTTTCAGTTACCTGAGGCACAGTACAATACTTTGAGACAGAGAAAGACCACACTCAAATAACTCTTATTACAGCATATTGTTATAATTGTTCTATTTTATTATTATTTTTAATCCCTTACTATGCCTAATTTATAAATTAAAATGTATTATAAGTATGTATGTAAAGAAAAAAAATCCATAGTATATAGGGTTTGGTATCATCCACAGTTTCAGGCATCTGTGGGGGTCTTGGATAAGGGAAGAATACTGTATTTAAAATTAGCAAATTAGTATGCATATATGCAAATGAGCACCATCCTTCAAATAAGCTTAGAGCCCACACATAGAGTTCATCAATACTACTGTCTTTGTTCAAAACTTTGTTTGAAACTGTTGTTTTAGAACCATCTTCTGAATCTGTTCATGAATCACACAGGAAGACTAGTCACATTATTTTATCCAACTTCTCATAATCTTTCTTTTCTTCTTTTCCTTCTTTTCCATACCCCTACCAAGCCATATCACCTACTTTTTCAATATATTGACACTGAATGATGTCAGTACATCATAACGTAACCTCATGGGAGGTTTGTGAACAGGATGCCCATGAAGAAGGTCACTTTAAAGAGAAGAATGGTCACATAAATGGAACGACTACAGACTCTCAAGGAGATGCCTTTGGATGAAAATGACTTGTTTGAAAATGTAAATTTAAGTCTGTTTGTTAGAGATCTCATTACTTTATACTCAAACCGCTTATGCTTTATATAATTCTTAAACCCCAAATCAGGAAACAATTATATGGTGCATGAATGAGATCTGCCAGTCAAATTGCTTGTAGTGTCTTAGAAGGAAGTGGCTAAGTTAAAAGGGGGTGTTTTAAAGGGATTGAGTATACTAAAAGGGAGTGTTTTAAGGGGATTGAGTATATTTTAATAGATTAAGATATGAATTTTAAATTCATATGTAAGTTCCCTTAAAAACACAAAGATTGTAATTTTTTCAAAGAATCAGTCTCATGTGACAACATGAGCATTTCAAAGATTTCTATCATTCTGTGAGTAGTGGTTATGTGAGATATGAGGGAAAAAGGGAAAATGGAAGTGTGCCTTACAATGTTCTGAATCTACGATGTATGAAAGGTAATTAAATTATCCACAAAATAAAATTTAACTTCCTGGTATGAAATACGTTGGAAAAGAACAATCTCCCTTTACACCCCCAAGGAAAACATGAAAGAACATCTTTAGTTTTCACTTTCCTTCAAATCTAGTAGTGCTCATTCTTCAATCCGATGATTCACAGGGAAAGTGGAAACAATTACTTTTTTTATTAAATGAAGAATGAACATTCTTGTTACTTTACAAAATGAGAGTTGCAATAAAACAGATACTCAAGCTTAGACTTTTTGGGCTCGCCATTCTTTCTTAGCTTTGTGTGTCTGGAACTAATATGATATCAAGTATATCCTAATTTTAAATAAATAAATACATGCATAATCTTTTTAGCAAGTAGAGATTAGATTATCTTTTTCATATTAAAATAAAGCAGCAAGACAACTGAGAGAGCACATCTTAGGACGTGTTCCTTTCAAAAGTGTCATTTAAATCAACCCTACTCTGTTTTGCAAGCCGGGGTGTAGAGTACTATATTTCTAAATATGTACTATGCACTTTATTTAAAAATAAATTCCACTAAAAAACAGTACAATTAATACTACATTTAGATCTTTAACATGCAAATATCATTATATTTTGTCTTTCTAAAGTAATGGTACCTGGATTATTTTATAGTTGAAACATGTGAAAAACATTTGACACTTGTAATCAGAGCATCAGCGATGACTGTGTGTGTAATTTTAAATACTTCCTGTGGTTGTAATCATTTCTATGTCTCCTTAGGCATAAAACTTTCCTACCCATAATTCTCCTCCCTCAACACACACGCACACACACACACACACTCTAAAATATATCCCCCAACCTAAGTAAGGTGATCAATTTAGCAAAAATAACTGTTCAATTAAATTTAAAAATTAGTCAAAATGCAAAACCTATTATTACATTTATCTCAAGATATTCCATCCTATTTTTAGCACCAGGTTATTTCTGTCAATTAGAATGATCAGTAAAAGAGCAGAAAAAAATTTTTGGTCACGTGTCAGAAATATCTATCTAATTAAAATGGGGAATTTTGTCTTTTTTTTTCAGTAAAATGTCTCTAAAGACCTGCAAAACCCTATTGATATAAATAGGACCATTGCTTCTTCAGGGAAAATTTTTGATAGTGAGAAATTCGGCAAAGAAAGGAAATCTTTATGTCACCTGCAACATTGTTAAGTATCTACCCTATTTACATGCCTTCTTGCACATTTTCCTCATTATTTCATTCAGCAGTTCATGTGACTTTGGTTCTCGATACATTTTAAGGTGAGTGTACATATATCACACACACAAACATCATCTCTACATACAAAACAACAAGGTTATCTGCAATGAATATGAATTCATATGTATGTGTTCTTTTTAAATGATATTTGCAAATGGTCACACTGCACATCTATGGTTTGCTCCGGAATAAATGTAAGATTACAGCATTACCTTTTTAAACCTGCAGATTCTTCTTTCCGTAAGATTTTGCTCCAGCAAATCTCAGCTATTCTTATTACAGCCCTTTCTCACATGCCCCCAAGTGAGGAACGATTTGCAAGCTTTTGGCAAGACATGTTGTGAAAGCTAAGCTATTTATCTGATAACCATTTTCACTAAACTCAGAGTTCATCTTTATCTTTTGTTCTAAATAACCCACAAAATTCTAAAGTATTAAAGGAAAGAAGGAAAAATAATTCAGTGGCAATTATTGTCTTAAAAAGAAGTATTCATCATAGTATCTTTCAAATAACAAATATCCTGTTTTGTTTCCTGAAAAGTGATGTAGCTAATATTTTCATAAGATGGAAGATCATATAATATTTATAGTTTTGTTTGTAAAGAGCATGCAGTGAAATTCTAACACACTTTGTAACAAAAGTGCAGAATACCAAATTATGTATAATTTATTTTATCAATTTTTATAAAATATAAAATCCTAAGAAAAAAAGACTGGAAGGAAATATTCTAAAGTGTTTTTGCCTGTGATTGTGGGGATTGTAGATAATTTATTTTCTTATCACACTTTTTTTTCCTACTTTTTGGTTATTTTACACAATGGATTAAAAAAGAAAAATATAATTATAAAGATGTTTTTATTTTAAAAAATTCAGTGGAAACTTTTAAAGTGTATTTATCTGGTATAAAGCAGGGCAGGCATGAATACTTTTTAAAAATAGATACACATAAACCTTTAAGAACATTTATTCTTAACAGATTCAGACAATGGTTTGAATAGAGGTTTAATAATTTGTGTGATTTAGTCTCTTAAACTTTAACTTATAAGGGAAACTTTATTAACCAAATACTACCTAGAGGTAAATATGTTGATATTTAAGAATAATTCTTGCTACACAACACTATTATTGTCCTATCATAGTTTTGTTTTCTTCATTTGGATTTTTAGAGTAGCATTTAACCAAAAAAATTATTTATGTTAAAAATAAATAGCTACTCTAAAAGGTAATTTTAAAATACCAAAGTCCTTTTTAGATATTTTAAATCGAAGTCTTTAGTTTGCCAGCAGAATTCTCTCTTCTTCAAAGTATATTCTACAGTCATAATTCTGAGGTATCATCCAACTATTTGGTAAACAATTTCAGAGATTTGTTTTTTCAAGCAGAGATAACAATATTTCTGTAGCTACAAAACATTGATATAATTAGCAACCCTTTGATATTATTTTCATTAGCAGGAAGCCAGATTTCACACTGATTTAATTTTTGACAGGAAAAAATTCTGTTTCATAAATCGTTGTCATACTTGTTTTCTGATTCTTTTCCATAGACTCACATGGAATTTTAAAAGCTTATTAAGTATTGATTGTGCTGTTTCTAGGTATATACAGTAATTTTAAACCTTCTTCCCATATTCTATGCAGAAAGTAGGTAAAATATTGGTGGAGCAAAGGCAAGTAAAAATGGTTGGGAGTCCAGTTGTGCATGTCTACTCAGCAATTTTAAAATATAAATTTTTTTCCATTTGCTGGTGAGAAAATATTTTCTTTCTTTGCCTAAATGTCATCTATAATTGAGGACAAGTTAGCCAGATTCCCAAGGCTGAGTGTGGCTTTGATCTAGGTGTCCAGCCTTTCTTGGTGCAAATCATTCTGGGGAGAATGGTAGGAGTCACATCGATGAATTGGTTGTCTTACTAAAGGTTATTAAGGCTTCCTCTTTCCTCTTCCCCGGCCTGCTCCCTGCCCCACTCTTTGTGAGCACCTCTGCATGTGTGTAGCACTTTGAATTCGTTCTACAGAAATTGTATTCAGGTGTAACACTAAGCTTTAAACCTGCTCTTCTTTATGTATACTTGGTTACCCTGATTTTACTCCGAGATACGTGGCATATGTTTTCATTCCCGAACATCTTTATCAAATCATTTTAAAATATGTAGCACCTGTTATTTTATTTTGGATAAGCAGAATATTCTTTCTCAAAAACAGATTTGAATATCATGTTCTATAAATCACTTCATACAAAGCTTTTATTCAAGCATTAGGGCAATAACATTGATCCTATGGATTTCCTTGGAAATAATAAGAATAGCATTAAATGCTTCAAATTAGAATTAACCCTGGCAATGCTAAACAAATACATATAGAATCCGGGTACATTTATGAAATTCTGTAGAAATATTTTTATTGTGTTTTTACTTGTATACAAATTATTAATAAAACAGGAAAGAAGATTAAAATCATTCTAAATAGCCTTTTACAAATTATTTACACTGCTTTGTACAATTTGAAAACTTGGCAGTAATTTTATCAAATGTCTTATATATCAACGTCAGAGAACTGTTAAGCAGTCATTTTTAAATTACACTACAACCAATTATTTTTATAATCAAATATTTCCTCAATTATAAAATACATTCATCTTTAATTGCTTTTGGATAAAAATAAGTCACCTATTTCCAAAAGCAGTGTTTCTTATGAATACTTATGGCCAATTTTTGTTCACATAATTCTGCACTTTTTTCTGTCAAAGTATTTTTCAATGGAGCAATAATATAGTTATAACTTCAATCCCCATCCTATTTAATCAAATCAATACGTCTACAAAAACATTAAAAATATTGTTCTAAACTTAAAGACGGTGATGATAGCTATATATTTGTTTCCAAGTAATGTTTTGAAGTTATAAGGTAAATTTTTTGGAGAAGAATAAATTCTTGTGACAAATGATAACAGATACTTCCATTTCTTTCTTTTGTGATTCAATCTTCTTGAGAACTTTTGTGTAGATACACCAAATATTGCATGTAAAATTATGACCATAGAATTTTTGTGTTATAAAATGAGTATTTATTATTGCATACTAAAATGAACATGTATTTTTTCTATTACATACCATTTTTGTAAAATAATTCCATTTCATTTAACATACCAATTCTGTAGTGTATTTTAGTAATGATAAACCTCTAATTGCCCATATGTTTATACTGTGTATATGGTTAAGATAAAATATAATTTATGTATATGTAAAATGGATTATATATATATGTACATAATTGTTGCACTATTTATGGACAATCTCAATATTTTTCTATTTTCTCATATGCTATGAATTCATTTGTAGTAGCATCATGAAACATTAAAGTAAATTTATTACTTTCAATCAGTTATGTAAAAGCAGATCTCAGGTACATAGGAAATGGTTCCATTTATAAATGGCTATTTGTGCATTATTATATTATCACATATATAATTTTTGTTCATACCATTTTGAGTAACAAATCTTTTAACTTTTAAAAATATATCGATATTAAAACAGCTATTTAATTTTTAATTATGGAAGGACTGTTTTCTAAAACATTCTATCTTAGAATTAAACAGAATAGTGCTACTGAATAATATTATGGTAATGAAAATAAACTTTCATTTTGAAAATTCCCTTAGTTTTAGATTCTCTAATACACTATTATTTCATTGGCACGGCACAATTATTAATCACCTTTGTCCATATGTCCTGATCACGTATTATATCATATAGTATTAACACTAACTTTCCTGAAAGTATCTAATTCTAAAGCTAACAAACAGAAAAAGCTAATTTGCATGTGGTACTTTATCCCCAAGAAAAATAACTCTTGGTTTTGTTTGAATATCATTTACAAAGCTAAAGATAGTTGTTTTTCCAAACATGTGATCAGTGTGTCCATTTTCATATCATCATTAGTAATAGAGTGATCTCATTTAGGAGCAGGCCATTTTGATGTTAAGTGTATCATCATATAAAAAGAAGCTTGTCACACTCCTCCTTAATAGTGAAGGATTTCCGTTTCCCTTTATGCAGACATTTGCACCTAGTATTTTCCAATTCTGTAATGCAAACACTGAGGGAGAGGTTAAATACAATGTTGGCTCTGCAATATGTATGCAGAAAAGCTGCACGCATTTTGCCTTGCCTTCGTTGATTTTAACCCTGGGTCAATAGACATGTTTTAATGTGAACTGGAATACAAATGGTGCCTACCAAAAGAAAGTAAAGGAGTGTGAAGTTTTTATAAAATGTCACAATTGATAAATGTGCAAGATCTCAAAGAAGGGAAAAAAGATGGGGGATGGATGTTCCGAAAGCACTTGGTTAAACATATATTTCATCATTTTAATTTGGTGACTACACCAAATCACAAGTAGCCAAATTGGAGTTACAACTGTCCACTAACATTTTCTTTTCTACATTCCTGATATGTTCTCTCACTTTCCAACTCTTCTATTTCCAGGCAGTTGTACCATATGAAACTGACAGCAATTGTTCTGATTCATGGTTTAGGAGGAGTAGCTGATTAATCCCATGTCAGCAGTCTTGACCCTACGTGGAAAATAGAACCTTAGAAGGCCCACTCAACAATATATCAGGGAGCAGAACTGTGTGGCTTGTCTTGCTCTTAAATGTAATGAAAGTTTAGGACAATGCTAAACAGTGATTTGATGCCCCCCTCCCTTTTTAACCTGTCTCAAGAGAACATTCTGGGTGAGGGGAGAGGGAATATATTGGGGAGAGGAGGTGAATGATTATGATTATTTTCTGGAACAAAATCTTATGTTCACAAATATTTTATTTTTGTCCTCCATTAAATGCTTGAAAACATTATTTTTTTCTTGAGCATAGTTACTGATTTTTTAACAAATGGTTGTATGTACTTATTTTGAACCTTTAAATTCTCAATATTCCCTCTTTAATGACTATAGAATGCCCTTCTACGTTTAATGCAGAGCTCTAACTTGTACTTATTATAAAATAATTCCAAATAACTCCAAATTCCAGAATCATGTTTCATACAACATGCTCAATTTTAAAGAGAAATGTACATGCTGTAATTTAAATGCACAAAAGACAGGCTTTGAGGAAACCATTTTAGCCCTGGAGATCACATTTTTCACCAAAGCCCTAAACCGAGCATGTATTTCTACAAAGAATTTGAAGAAAACCTTAGTACTCTGTATTATGTTCTCAGAACTTATGATTAAATAAAGGGATAAAGTGGAATCATATCTTTTTCAAAGAGGACCATGTGCATGAAGGCACTAATGTGCAAATTTTATTTACAACTATAAAGCAGATTGAAATGCCAAGGCAACTTGAAAATCTCTCTCATAATGCTGAATCTTAAAGCAAAGAATGCTATAAATGGTGGTCACTGAGTACAAGTTGAATTCCAGTATTGAGAGCTATGCACAACTAGTAAATGAAAAAAAAAACTACCTAGTATAACTAGATAAAGCTGAAATGTGCTGAAATCTTCCCCTGCAAACTGCATAACAGCACTTCCAATGGTCCCTTTCTGTCACCCTCTGTAACCATCAAGCCCTGATTCTGCTGCAGTCAGGTGAATGGTCACAGAGCTCTTATGGTTGGCTGCATAGAATTCCAAGGAAAGACGCATCTGTACAATTTTTCCTTGGACAATAATAAATAATAATTTTGGTATATTTCGATTTTTCTTAAATATATTTGAAGAAAATTATGCAAGATTTTCTTACGCATCCTCCTAAAGGTTTTATTTTGACCGACTCCTTCACTGTGAAACTGCAGCCCTTTGATCAAGTAACATTTGCATTTCTGTATGGGGTAGGGTTTTATGTTCTTTTCATACATGCTGTCTATAACTACGTGTATCATGTTGGTTTGTGCTACTCACCATTTAAAACACTAGGTACCAAGTGTTGCTTTGTGAACAGAATCCATGTGTATTAAGCAGAAGACAATAGAATAGTACAGTTTAAAATGCAAAATTAATAGGTCTTTTGAATGGTACATATTTTTAAGACGGCTATTTTAAATATCATATGCTCAGACACACAATGGAATATTTTGGTTTTTAAATGCAGCATCTTCAGATTAGCCTTATCTTACTTAAAAAAAAAAGTGGAATGCTTTTCTAGGTTTTTCTTCAGAGGCAAGCACTCTGCACATACTGTGGAGGTAACATTAACAAATAATAATAAGACAAACTGTAGGTTAAATTCTGTTGCTCCAAGAACTCTTAAATATGAAGCGATGGTTTTATAAAAAAAAATGTGTTTTTGAAGGATCAGCAAAAATGCAGAATTGTCTATAAAAATGGAAATAATTTGTAAGGTATGTGTGTGTGTGTGAGAGAGAGAGAGAGAAAGAGAGAGAGAAATGATCTTTATAAGGTTTGAGGCTTTTTTTCAAGGTAACAATTTTTTTTTCTTTGCTGCATGAAGGAATTTTTTTTTTAACCTTCACTCAGAAAGCTGGTAGACAACAATTTCCCTCTGTTCTCTGGTTTTGATGACATGTTTTCATAAAGAAATCTCTAAACCCTTTTTGCTTCATTTATCCATGTGTTGATATTAAAACTGCCTGGATCTCAAAGGCATACAAACTCTTTGTCAATAAAGTAGTAAATTAAACAATTGGCATTTTAAAAAAGTCTTCCAGTGAATTTTCTCATTAGCAGCAAACTATTTTGGGTGCTTTCACTCTTAGAGCTTTAACATTTGGTAAAACTTATATAAGACAAGATTTGAGTTTATTGAGAAGTATCTTATAAATAGACATTGCATGAAATCATTCATTTTATCATTTTTAAGGAAAAATATTTCAGTTTAGTATAGTTTTTCTTAAAAGAACAACAGCTTTATTTACTAGGTTTCACATTACATATTCTTTTCAAAAATGTGATATGTTTACATTTTGAAGCATTCTGATAGCCTTCATCAAAAATAAAAGCTAAGCAGAATGCAAATTACATATCTCTCAATCAGAGAGAGTTTAGTTTCTAATGTCAAGAATATATTACTGGAGAAGAGCCTTTTTGTGTCTTCACCGGTTTTCTGCTTTTCCTCACCTACTGAGCAAGGCAGCATGTAGTATCTAGGATGAAGCTTGATATTTCTTAGATAATATGGTTTGGAAAATGCTGTTTGCAAGCTTATTTGCTTCTGTGTTGTGTTCATAAGCAGGAGAATATAATTCATTTCTGCATATCTGCTAGACTGGACAAATCAAGGTGACAATCCGTGGTTAGCTCTGGCGGGCCCTTTGTCCTACTGCTGCTGTGAATGGAAGCACAATGGAAGCAAAGTGAATATATAACAGTCCAGCTGCCTTGTTGTGACAGCCCAGTCCCACCATTGCAGTGTGTCAGCTCATGTTTGTGTACCGGTAGCCAATCCATAAGATGACAATGCAAATTGTGTGAAAAGTCTTCTATAAGATAACAAATCATGTTGGGGGTTGAGGTATGGGGAGGAGAGGAGAAGGGGAGGTTGGACACATGTCTTAAGAAAAATAATGACCCGTAAAAGGTTATATTTTTGGTACAGTGATTACATTCAAATGCAGGACCATCATCCCAATTCTGGCATGTGTCTCAAAGACGCAGGTAGGCGCTTACACTTAAATCGATCTTACCATTTCTGTGTGCAAGGTTCTGCATTAATGTTACTTTTAGGGCTGTTTATATTTCATTTACGCTTGCAATTAATCATCTTTACTGTGTTGATGCTACTGGCGTCAGCAGTGTGACTTAATTAAATTTGAAATTATAGTACAGTAAATATAGGCTTCCAACTAGCTGGTCCAAATTAAATGCTGTGGTCTATTTCTTACCCATGGTGTTTTCCAATTTAAGTGTTCATTTGAAAGGTTACATTTCTGACTGAAATCAGGTTTCCTTTTTTAAAACTTAACTGTTGCTAAACTAGAGTAGCTCTCTTTTCAATCCATACTTTATTCCTATCTATTATCTCTATTCTCAGTACATAAATCCAAATAATCCATATTTATTACATAACCTTTAATATTTATCTGATTAGATGCCTATGGTTCTTTAAGGAATGTTTTTATCCCCTTAAAACATTTCCTATTTCCCTCTGATATATCAGCCCTGGGCTGCTTTAAAAAGGTCTCACCTCCATTTTGTTTCAGGCTGGTAATCAAGCAATTAGCCCACAAAATGGAGGTCCTGGCTCTGCTCTATATACTGGCTCTTAGATGGGTGGTTTTACCTGTTTGAAAGCTCAGGCAGAACAGTTTACTGCTGATCTTGTGAAATTGGCCCCTTAAGACTGTTCTTATGATGTCAAATAAATGACTCTTGCTTAGGAAAAACCTTAGGAGTTTGAGACCTTTGTGGTGTTGTCACTAGAGCATTATCCTATATGCAAAACTTGCACATCTCTAATCTTCTAACTCGATAGAGTGAACATTTAAACTATTTAGTCAAAAATTCCAAATATAAAGTGCCTAGCTTTAAAACATTGCTAACTTCATTTCCTTAAATGTATATTATTTTGTGTATTACAGTCTTCTTCAAACAATTCATAACATGTCTAGCAAGGTATATGAGCAGAAATGCAGTCACACTCCTATCATATACACAACACAGGGTTTGAATACTAGAAAATTTGTCATCCGTAAAGTGCAGCATAGGACTTGTGTGTAAAAAGCACAAGCTCTTTTCTTTTCTTTTTTTTATTTAATGCAGTGCTGCCTTGTCTGCACTTTTTGAAATTGCATATTTATCAGTTCATGCATTATTTATGAGATTGGAAAAGTGGAGGGGGGGTGCAGAGAGGATGAGGAAGAAGAGCACACAAAAAATGTATGCTGAAAATACTTGGGATAGGAGATGCTTTTGATATGAATGTTAGCAGTTCTGCTCAAGGATAGCTGTATTTTGATTTTTTTTCTGAATGTTGTGTTTAGATCTGTTATTATACAATTTGGTATTTAAAGAATTGTTTTGCTGTCTTCTCTATTTGATTGCTCAGGAAATTAGGAAGGTTACAGTTTGTTTAGAATTAGGTGAAATGGGGACTAAAATGAACTGAGTATTTCAAAAAATTGTAAAGCATATTTAATAAATATTAATCTTTGTCAGCCTCTATTGTTGTCAAAAAAGAGCTGACAGATTGAGGATTAATGAAATGTTTCATAAATTAGAAATGAAACTATCAGCAGATTGTCCAAAGTAGGAATCAAAGATTGCTCAAGCCAGAGCTTTGGGCCGGTGGAATAGCCCATTCTTAAATCCAATCTTTTTTCAGCCCATGGGGAAAAAATAAACTTCCCATATCCACTGGCTGAGAGCATATATTTAGCTTCTTTCATTAAAGAAGTCAATGTTTTCTACATGTACAAAGCATGTTGATATTTTTCACTTATATTTCTCAAAGACAAAACAAAAGCAAAAGAAATAAGAAAAAAATCAGAAATAGTTATAAAACAAGCAACTGAATGTTCAACTTCATTAATGCATATACACATTTTAAAAAGTAAAATAAATATATAGTCTGGGATTGTAAGCCTTCTATTACCAGGGCACTCTATCAGGGTATGTGAGGGGAGGAGTTCCGGGGGCGGGTGGATGTGGGACAAGAGGAGGCGGCTACATTTGGAATCATGCTGTAACTTCCTACTATATTCCACAATGTAACGCAAAGATGAGCCACTAAATCCCCAAAACTAACTGTTAAAGAAAGATGAATGGGATGGCCTCTAATGATCGATTATAAAAATGATATTTTCTTTTCCTTAATCTCCATGGAATTTCCTACTTAAAGTATGTGACACAGGAAGCATGTTAGCCTAAAATAAGTAATAGGGACATGTGATGTACTAAACCTTAAAAAAAAAGTTATGCTAAAAAGAAAAATATGCTGAAAAGAAAAATATTTTGGGTATGTGTATTATATGACCAAACGCTCCATTTTTGATTCCTGAAATCCTGATTCAGGTATTAGCAAGTTAAAAATAAAACAAGAGCTCTTTTAATTCTTCCTCTTACTGTTCTGTTCATTTGGATTTATTAACTTTTCCGCATGGCTGTTCCGAACACTCACCTGAAGTACCTTTCTTCCTATCTGCCAGAGATATATAATTTGAAAGTGGGCTAGTAGAGTGTATAAAAATGTTTAGCCTAATCACTCCCTAATGACAGCGACTTATGTCCTTAGTGCAGTCGATTTGTTTCCTGGGTTTTAAAAGTAGATTATTTCCATGGTGCAGGCTTAGTGTAAGCTGTTGAGAAACCACAAGCACTGCACTTCAGCCTGAGTTTGGGACGTTCGCCAAGGGTAATCTGATTAAAAGGGCATTTTTTACAACATGGTGCTGCTTTGAAAATTCTGTGCAGCCTGATAGAGTGGGGGCCAAAAAGAATTGCTTTTTGAAGATGAACTAGTTTTCTTAAGCAAAATTATAAGCCTGATGATTCTCTTCAACCTAACTGCAATGGATAAACAAAACGTCCTCAGTAACACATCTGTTACCTACCACAAGTAATTTCATAATCTATTTAATGCAGCTTTTTTGCTTGTTTGTGTTGCTTTTAGTCACATGAACTTACATCATAGGTACACCACTCTTGTTCCATGGAGAAGTATAAAAACAGTAAGTTTCTAGTTCTACTTTTGTTATTCTGTGACCTACATGTATACGCATTTTGCTCCGTTCTGAGAGATAGTCACTTCTGGTCTGCACTAACTAGTAGCAGTTATGGTTGCTTGAGAAGTTTAGCAGCTGTCCGTTATTAAGAGGTAATTTCATATCTCAAATCCTGGGTGTCTTTTTAAAGATGGAATATAATACTAATTAAATATGTCATGTTTGCACACAGAATGCACTCAGAAGAACCTTTCTTGTATCTCTTATTTTATTGAAGTATTTTTATATTCTTCCGTGGGAGCTAACTAGGCAAGTAAAGATGAATAACTAAATCTGCTCCCATTTTTCTAACATCCTCAGAGTAGGATGAATAGCAAATGTATGTGAGAATTCATCCATTTAAATAGCATGGGGCTCTTTGCACCCAAGTGTTTGTATACACAGCCCACAGAAGAATATTCGGTTTCTGTCATTTCTTCAAACTCACTATCCTAATGGATCTTATTGGCATTTTGTCTTCGTTGGAGAGAACTGTAACAGTTTTCTGCCTCTCCCCCACCCCCAACAAATCAAGGCTTTTCAAAATAGCTGAAACATTGTAACGTGATGCCATGACGGTTCTGCAAAGAAAAACAAAATGCATTTTAATTCCATGAACTATTGGTTCAACAAATGGGCCAAATACTGTGCAAAATGCTATCTATGAATCAGTCTCTGCCCACAGCTCTTCACACTCTATCGAGAGAGAGAGAGAGTAGGATGCAGAAGAGCAGGCCTTATATTCAAGCCAGAAACCAATTGCTGAGAGACTCGAGAAGAAAGAGCAGTTTTCCTTCTTGAAAGAGGATTGGTATTAGCGAACTCGAGTTTTTAAAAAAGGCGCTTTTCCCAATATTGGAATGTGTGTAATCCTCAAGTTTACCTTGCTACAATAAGAACTAATTTCAATGAAAAGACATAGACAGTTTCATGTGTGTACTGCACACATTAAGATACCATTATTGCTTGGCAAAAGCTTAGTGGTATCCTAAAGCATGGTGAATTCTTTTACATTGTGTGTTTCTAAATTCTGTGGTCTACATTTCCACAGAAATAAGTCTCTGAGTATGTCGTTCTTAGTAAATGTAAAAAATGGTGGCATTTCTTAAAATACACTTTCTAACTTTTGGGAATGTGGAGAGAATGTGCTGAAAACACTCAAGACAAAATAGAAACTCAGAGATACCACACAGTAAATTGGGCCTTTCCCCATGACAAACGTCTATTGCGTTTCTTTATTAAAGATGACAGTTTTTCTTCAGAGCCATCTTTAACTCTCAGGGAACATTGGTATAGAATGGTTTGGGAACATGTGATGTGGTAAAGACAGTTTAATGACAAAATATGGTGTTTCCAAAGAAACCCTTTATAGTCATTAGGTCATGTTTCAGAAGAGGAGTGCTGTCACTTCAGAGCAAAATTCCTATCTGTGCCAATGGTGTTGTCTTTATGGATTCGGAGAACATTTTATGGTGTTTCTTCTTCCTGAAGAATAGAAAGGGTAATTTGACGCAGGCACATTAATATGAATGGCTTGGAGTTATATGATTGAAGATTTTTTAATACTTGCACCAACGTCAGCTTGTAGGGTAGTATCAGTGCTCCAGGGGGCCAATGAACCAAAGTACTTATTTCTGTGACCAGAGAGACAAAGAGAAATTATTTTATTCTGGAGAAGTGTAGGTAAAAGAGGTGTTTTTCTGCTCTCTCTGTATTAAGCATGCAATATTAGAAGCAGCCCTTTGAAAACCTTCTAGAAAAAAATTGGTTATGAGAGGCCGTAACTCTACATATCGGCCTGTATAACCCTTTTGTAACACCAGAAATGTTTATGAACCAATTTTATCATTTAAATTTCAATGTTAGCTTCTTTTTTAATTTAGGTTTTGGATATCTCTTTAAGATTTTTGGATTTTGTGCCACTTAAAATGAGATATTCATGTCAGGAGGATGTCCTGCTGTTCTAGGAGAGGGAGGGGACACCATTAAAAAAAATCTTGATAATCAAGGCCACCTGTGATCCTGGGCGGCTTTCTGGAGCACAAAGGCACTGAGGAAAGCTGTTCTCCGAACCAAAGCAAATTTCTGTGATCCACAAGACACTTCAGCCTCTTCCCACTAAGAAAAAAAGAAAATCATGCTACAGGAGGATCAGCTGCTCTCTGTTCCTTCCTTAAAAAAAGTCGAGGTGGTTGCTATTTAACACAAAGCCCCATGACCTTAGTGCTGTGGCTGCTTTGAAACACCGAGCTATTTAATGATGCAAATTACAAACAGAGGGAAAACATCAGAAGAATCTGTCTGGAAATTAGCTTGTTTGACTGAAAATTAGCTAGCTTAATCGAACTTGCAGGACTCAGATTTTCTCTGCAGAAGCCTGGCTTGGCGCTTTGGTCCATTTGCATTATCTCGCCACTCAGTAGAAATGTTGAAAATTAGAGACAGGAAAATCTATCTTCTATTTACATAGTTGAAATAACCAAATGACCTCTTGGATTTTTAGTGAGGGCCTTAACAGTTTCCAAAGAAACATTATATTAAATACTTGTGAAAATTCAACCCAGAAAAATTAAATTAAATTATTACTGTATTTACCAGTTCCCAAAATGCTGAATTCAATTATTCTTTGATCCTAAAGAGCTAGGATGAATCATATACGTGTTGATATATAATTTTATTGTGCTTTAGTTTGAGGACATTTTATGGTAGCAACATAACCCAATTCATGCAGAGAGAATCCTTGTAAACATTGAATCTAGTCGAAGACTTCAAAGACATACTTAAAACATAGGACTTCATTTGAGGCTTATGAATAATTCAGAAGGTCAAAAACTTGTGCCATGTAGAGAGAATGGAGTCAGATCAAGATCTATATTAAAACGTTAGTTTTTAAATTAAGGGAGGGACTTAATAACTTTAAAGACATATTTTTACTTTCTGAAAGGTATAAACAGGGTTGTGGATAATTCCTCTGTGTAGTTTTAGAAATATTTTTGCTTTCATATTTTTTAGGTGGATGGAATGATTGTATTTGTTTGTATTTATAATACCAAAGTAGCAAAAGTACTAAACCATTGGCCAAGCAAATGTTCTGTATTCAGTCTAGCAATCAAACAGCTCTGATAGAGAAAAATAACATATATAAAGAAATGATGACACCTAGTAGAGTACATTCCTTAAGTTAAAAATTAATCTGTAAGTGGTAAGAGTATAATTATGAAATAGCCTCATCTTCTAAAAATATAATAATACAAATTTTAACTTGAGAAATGTGGTGGTTCAAAATATAGTTGGAAGCAGTATGACAGAACAGATTCAGTGGAGAGAAATTTAATGCTATACTTTGAGTATCAGAATAAAATAATATTTATGGCTTTAGGCAGAATTCATCAAAAGGAAATGATAAATACTTTTTATTATCTTTCTATTTTAAAAAGTAAAATATGTCATTATTTGTTATTTATATATTTTAAATTTTAATGAAAAACACTGGTAATTGTTTCTGAACTTCTTTTGAGAAAGCTCAGAGTTCATAAATATGTCTAATTTAGTTATTGGGGACACATGGTAATTTCTAACTTTTACAAGAAGGGTAACATATCTTTGCAACTATTTTACAACAACTGAAAGGTTGATATGAAAAGTTGGTCTTTGTTAATTTTTTTACATAGAATGTTTTTTAGTATGAAATTGCCAATAGTCTTTTACAGAATACCAGTATCAATAGACCAAGTGGCCCAATTATTTAATTGTGCTATTCTAGTCCTTCATAGCTAGAGCAATGACAGTTCTATTTTTAAGCAATTTTTGGAAACTAAACGATAGATAGCATTGGTTAGTATTCTGACAAGTGTTGAATGTAATTCATTGGCTATCACTGAATGCTTATGAAATAATATTTTACAAATTAATGTACAAATCTCATTTGCAAAAAAAAAATGATGCTATCAATATCAGCAGTCTCTATTTAAACAGCACTTAGTATGTTGAGTTATTGTTTACCTTTGGTGTCTTGTGATGGAGAGGCAAGACAGCAATGGTCCTCAAAGAAAATAGACTGAAACTGTATTAAGTTTCTGGATTTCTTTGATGTTCACAATCTGATGTTTGTTGATAGCATATATCAGTGGTTTCTGGTTTCATTCTGTTATGACTATGATAAACATCCAATACCAAAAATCATTTAAATAAGATAATTCATTATGTCACTGTGAAAAATGTGTTCTAGAGATAAAAAAAATGTTTTCTCTATCATTCGAGGTCAATTTTCATAGTGCTACTCAAATTCGATGCTTGGTTCTAAACAGCTTTAATTTTATAACCTGAACAATTTTCTGAAATGTTTCACCTCTAGAAGGAAACTACCCAAAATTCTCTCTCTTCACCTCCTCCATTGCCTATCCATGACTCTGCCTCCCCAGTTTTCTGCATAGGTGAATACATTAGCACCTGGCTCATTGTTTAAATGTGTTGCTCTTATCTAACTATTCTAATATATCCGTCTTACATTTTCTCATCCCTGGGGAATCCTTAGGCTGATAATACAGTGGTTATGCCAACAGAGAAACTCTAAAGCACAAAATCGTTGTCTTTATTCTGTGAGGTATGATCAGCACTGTGAAATTCACATTGATTGTTATACTTTTGTTATTATTTTATTTACTCGGCCTTGATTCGTTTTCCACATTTAGTGAGGCAAGCACCTTCACCCATTACTTAAAAGCATTTAATATGCAAGGTTTGCTTAGTGACTAAGCTAATTCTGAAGCCCAGCATGTTTACACAAAGAACTGGTTGTAATAGGGTATATAAAAATATATATTACAATATATAAATATATATGTTATATATGACTATATGTTATATATATGACTTATAAAATACAGTAAATATATATGATATATTTAGGAGGTATTAATATATATATGCATGGATACATTTATACCATTCTAGGTGGCAAATAAACATATTAGGTCATATCATTTGAAAAAATGTCTTCTGTGAATTAAAACTGCAGACGGTTTATGGGCAGAGTATACATTTAACAACGGGGAAAAAAATCTTTTCTTAAGAGACCATAATGGTGGCTAGCTTTTAACTTTCACTTTGATAGATTCTGAGTGAATCATCCCCAGAAGGTGGGAAGGGAGACGGGGGTCAGGATGCCCTGCAGGCCTCACTGCTCTGTGTGAGGCAGCTGTCTTGTCTTCCCTTTGCAGGGACGTGGTGCGGTTGAAGGGAAGCGGCTTCTCTGCAGCAGAAGCACATCCATCCTGATCCCAGACTGTGGACAGCTCCTCTGTGGAGGAATAGCTGATGACCGCATAGTTCCTCTTTCCCACCCCTAACCCCCATTGCCTTGCTCCATTCATAGCAATCTGAGCTCTGAATGTGGGCTGAGATGTCTGACATTCTGCAGCAGGAGTCTGTGGGAAGAAACAACATTGGGTGCATGTGCAGGGTGGGAGGGCATGGGCAGATGGGAGAGAGCTGAGTGGCAGGGGGCAGATGAGGCTTATCTCTTCCCACTCCATCTCCCTGGATCTCAAGGCCGAGAATAGGACCACCTGTTAAAAAAAGCAAATTCTATTTGAACATATTGCCTTCCTAGACCAGGTAGAGCTGTGGACTTGTATCATCGGACTTCATTCCTCCTCACCTTAGGAGGGTTTCGTAGGCCGGGAACCTTTAGCAGGGAGAAAAAAGCCACTTACCTCTTTTTCTTTTTCCTTTATAAAATTGCTCTTTCTAGAAAGCTTCCACACATTTACTTATTCTACACCACCAACAGATCTTTCTTGCTTCTGGACTACTGTGGTCAGTTCACAAAAGTAAATATTATTAGCAACAAGAATTGGAATTTGGAATTACTTTACCCACATTTAAAATGAAAGCTTTCCTTTCTGCAGGAACAATGCGAGTTTGAGAGGCTTATATAAAATGTGCTACAGAATTAGAAAACTAAAGCGTTACTCTGACCGGCATCCTCTTTATTTTAAAAACTAAGCATTTAAGTAGTAATTGGCAAAGAAAAGACTGCATATTGGACATGTTAGTCAAATAAATTGGGCATGTTAGTTAAATAAATTCTGTATATTCTAAACTTCTAACTTTTTTATCATGTGATTTCCTGAGTAATAAGTCTCACTTAGCATTTTCTCATTTTCTCAGTGTAGGCATCACTCAGACTTATTCAGTGGCAGTGAATACATGGAATGTACACTTACACCCTTCATAAAAAGATCTGATGCAAGGCACACAGCCAGAGAGAACTTCAAGGATTTGGCAAAGGCAAGGATATATCTTAACCTATCCCAAATTCTCATTTTGAACATGTAAAATTTCAGTCACTTAAAAAAATAAATTTAATTATGTGTAGTTCAGTACTTTCTTCACAGAACTGGTACTAGAAATAGTTTAAGAACAAACTGTTCTAGGTTTTATTTTTACTGGATCTGTAGGTAAGACTGCCAAAACTGTCACTTAAAAATGTTGTTTGCAACCAGATTTTGGAGTCCTCATTTCTGGTTCAGAACTTTGAAATTAGCAGCCAAATGTTTGGATACTTGTTCAGTTGTGCAGATTAAAAAAAAATCCAGGTTGGGCCAAACCATTCCTATTTCTAAATGGAAGCAAAAAAAAATGAAAATAAAAATTAATAAGAGAGAGGATGGGAGGGAGGGAGAAAGGCAGGAAGGAGCGGGGGAAAGCAACCTAATGGGAAAAGTTATAAACACTGTGTTTTGACCTACTTTGGAAACTTTTCCTTTCTACCAAATTATATTTGCAAAGACAAAGTCAGCTTCCTCTCAGAGTAACATGATTATTCTCTCATGACACCTTAGCAATCCAGAAAGAAAAGATCTCTGGGGTCACCTTGACATTTCCTTCCACTGCAGGCTGAGTCCAGGCCCTCCTGGCTTGTGCCATGTGATGCATTACGGCAGGCTCAGATGTTAATGTAGCATCTGTGATTAGAAGGGGAAAACATTGCTTTTATAAACTAGGTTTTGTTGCTGCCATTTCTGCATTACTCAGGCACAGGCACTAGGTCTACCTTCCCCCTGTTCTCAGTGCCCTCCCTCTCCAAACAAAAGAAACAGTACTCTAAACATTTTTTGTTCTTCTCTGGGTTGGTCTGGTTGAGCAACGATCATCATGCTCTGATTTAGTGTTTTCAAATAAGTATGCCCTCTGCTGCAGCACTCTATTGAGAGACAACACAGCCCAAGCGCGAGAGTTCAGCATGGCCACTAATAAAACACAAGTGAGGCTTTGTCAGGCCACGAGTGATTACTTGAACAAGTGCCAATGAAGAAACCAAACATTAGAGCTCAGCGCTTCAGACCCTCAAGACAAAGGGCCAATTGACTTTCCTCATTAGTTTTTGTGCCAAACATGTAAACACAGTTTCCTCTCTATCTTTGATGCTCAAAACATGCCAGCTTGTTAACATCTTGGGTGGTACTGTGGTTTATGAGGCTATAAAGACTTTTATGTTGGGTTGGGTATTTTCTTTCTCTTCTTATTGCAAAAGATAGGCTTATCCTTTTTTTATGAAAGGAGAGTCCTCAGGACATTTTTCACTTACTAGTATTCCCATTGATTCAAAGAAAAAATTCAAAAGTGTAAAAGAGTGACAGAGAGGGAAGAAAGAAGAAAGAAGGAAAGAAAAAGAAGGAAAGAGAAAGAATGAAAGAAAGAAAGAGAAAAGAAAGAAAGAAAGAAAAGAAAGAAAGAAAGAAAGAAAGAAAGAAAGAAAGAAAGAAAGAAAGAAAGAAAGAAAGAAAGGGAGGGAGGGAGGAAGGAAGGAAGAAAGGGAAGGAAGGAAGGAGGGAGAAGGAAAGAGAGAAGGAATATAAATGAAAAGGAAAAAACATAACAGCTGTGGTCCTCACTCATTTCCGATGAATATGTAACGTAAAATGTCTGTTACAAACGTTTCTAAAGGAAGACCTGTAAATAAGTAATTGTGAGAATAACCCTAGTGTATAAAGGACTGATGCAAGAGAACCGGTATTGGTAGTAGAGTCACACTGGAGTTCCTTCTTGGGGTGACTGATATTGTGTCTCCTACCACTCTCTATTGCAGTTAGAGTCTTAGATCAGTTTCTCAGTGGATTTCAGCTACTCCCTTTATTTCCTCTCTCTTCCTGTTCTCTTTCCATTTTCGTTATTCTTTTACACTTATCCTTACCAATACTTAATGCCCTCTTCCCTTCACTCCTGAGTTCTCAGTCCTGATGAGGTAGGTGTCTAAAAATGAGTTGTCATTTTCTTGGTTGCATGGAAACACTTGGCCCAAATTTGTTTCCATAACTAGGCTAAGAGGAGAAAAAGAGCATTGGCTCAGTGGTTATATAGCCATAATTGTGAGTCCTGGAGCCATGAATCAGCTGTATTGACCTCATTCTGAATTATTTTCACCTATGGAATCAGCAACATGAAATGTAATCATGTATAAAAATGTGGAGGGAATATTAGTTATTATAGACTCTATGGTTGGCTATTTAATCATATCTACCAATATTAAAATGCATATATCTTGTGTTTCAGCAATTCCATTTTTAAGGATTTTTATACAAATATACTCACATATACATATAAAGGCTGGTTTTAAAAAAATACGGTAGCATTGTTTGTAATAACAAATATTAAAGGAAAGAAACCCTAAATGACCTTCAGGAGGGGCTGGTTATATAAGTCATGGTACATCCATACAATGGAAAATGATACATTTGTCAAAAACAACATTGCTGTTTTGTATGCATTGAAATAAAATCATCCTCAATTTATTTTTCTATGTGAAAAAGGAAGGTGTAGAAAAATGTATCTAATAAGCTAACATTTGTATAAAAATATAAAATCTATCTCTATATAAATATATATAAACACACATCTGCATCAATATGTGAATATATTTGAAGAGTATCCCTGGAAAAATACAGATAATTGGTAAGAGAGGTTGCCCCAGGGTAGGGGAACTGGACATTCAGGATCAGATCAGAGATGGAGACTTATATCTCACTGTATCATTTTTTGTACTTCTCAATGTCTTATGACAATGTATTCCTTAGTCTAATAAAATAAAATGCTTATTGTTAAAGCATGCCATAGAAGTAACACATACATTCACTATTAGCTATTAATGGCGTAATACGAGTTATTTTGCCCCTTAATAAAAACTGGCTAGTATAAATCCCTATGAGCCTGGGTCTGAATATTTATACATTTTATCATGGAAGAAGGAGGGCTTTGGGGCCAAAGAAAGCAAAATTCTAACAAGAGAGAACAAGTCTTGAGGGCACATCAAAGGGCATACCTGAAGGCAGTATGAGGACTCTGGGGCTCTGATGAATTAGATACTAAGACAATGACCAAGGGATGGAGGGGGAATCCCTGAAGGCAGAGATGAAATCTCTGAAGCCAAAATAAATTCAAAGACAATTTAATATGGTGCTATTCTGGGCCAGGAAACCTTTAAAAATGTTTAAATGTTCTATGAGGTAAAAGGGGTGATAGGAGCATCTCTAAGCTTTACAGTAAGTTTAGCGTCATGGAAGGTGCATTAGCTCTTTTGGCCACTAGGGTATCATTTAGAATAGTGTTCTATCATTGCGGCCAATGGCCTAGAAACAAATTATTTCAAAGTAATGACATCCCAGTGGCCTGGAAGAGTTAATGTGCCTCCTAAGTAACTAACTTACCATTAGGGAGTTATTTAGCCTCTGGGGAAGATAGAATTTGTTTTCACAAAAGCAGAGTAGTTTCGTGGATAACATTGAGAAGTAGACACAGTAGAGCCTTGTTCTATTTTGAGTCATTTGCAGATTTGTTTTGCTGTCTTGGTCAACCACATAATATCTCTTTGTTCTAGCATATCTGTGAATTAGGGCCACTGTCCTTTAGTTAACTCAAGTCTCAGGTATGATATATGGATTTCTAAAATAGTACTACCAAAGGACTTGGAGGATATCACACTTTAATATAGGGATGGCAACCTATTATAGAGCCCAAAGCCATGTACTGTGTACTGAAAGACACATGATCAGATTTTAGTCCTCAGAGTGTTATTAACTAGTTGACCCCAGGTAAGTTTCTTAATTTCTCTAGGCCTAGGTGTACTTATTTGTGAAATAAGAAGATAAGACTTGATGACCTCTAACACATGTTCCAACTCTAACATTCATAAATTATAGTCAAATACCTAAGAAACAGTCAAATGAGAAAGTTTAAAACATTTACAATGAAATTTTACTATTTTTATTTTATCCCAAGCTCCACTATGATTACTTGAGCAATAACATAAACTAAGAATGTAATATTTAGAGAATGTGTCTTGGAGTAAGGAGACAAATATAAAATAAAAAAAAAGATGGTTCGACTTTCTTTCTCTCTTTTGAAAAATGGAGCATATACTTAACGAAAAAAGCAAAAGAAAAGTTAGAGGGAAAACATATTCAACAGCACAAATGCTATAAATAATCTGTAGCCATATTAAAAAGCATACAAAAATCACATGCAGTTAAACCAGGAAGACTTCTAGAAGATGTAAAAGAGGGGAAAATTTAAGTTAGCAGAGTAAAAAAAAGAAGATATTATAGTGGAGGAATAATTAAGGTGCAATGGCAAGAATTAAAGAAAAATACATAATATTAACTGAATAGTAAGCAAATTGACAATATTATAGTAAAAATTTCACATACAAATTAAGATATTAGAATGAGGAAGTTAAAATGTTATATAGGCAAAAAGTGATTCATAAAAAAGCTTACCCATGATTATTGAGAGAAAACTTGTATGAAAATATGAACAATTTAAGCTTCATAAATGTTTAGAACAGAATCATGACATCATGAAAACACAGTTTGAGGAAAATTACTCCAAAATAAAATGTCAAGGCTGAAAATAAATATAGGGAGATCGTTAAACATAAGTACATATTGATTACTATGATTAATAGTAATCTAAGACATCACATTGCTTTTTCTTCTGCCTATCTGGAATATATTTAAAAATAAGAACCCACAAAGTATTTTCAAAGAAATTAAAAGAGGGGAAATCTTATGGCTCCAAATACTCTACAACTTTATAGATTTTAGAATCTAGCCAATCACTAAGTAAGTTGATGATTAGCATTAAAATATTTAGGAATAGAGTTTAGAGGAATTCATTCACCATTTTCTCCTCTAATTAAGGATTAGATTGGATTGTTCAGAAAAACATAACATTTTATTGGGTGTGTTACATTTTACGTATTGGGATGAGCACCTTTGAAGACATTATTCTCAGACAAGTGATTGATTGAAACATTTGTTTCAGCTTCTTAATAAGCCTATTGCAGATGGAAAAAATACAAGTAAATTTGAAAATGTATCTAAATAACAAAACTTCTTATTCAATATCTTGTTAGTACTTGACTTTGCAGAACACCACAGTGCAGACAGCTCAGGCACAATGCTGTAATTCGTAATAGTCCTCTTGTTTTAAAATAATTATTTTATATAAATCTGAATCTTGGGATTTAAATATTGCAAGTCAAGTTGGTTGTATAGTTGAATGGCTTAAATATATACTAATGCATACACTAACACTCAGAGTAGTACGAGTTAGTGAACAAGTGATCTCTGGGGAACCAAAATAGATGTTATAACATTTACACATAAAGCGTATGGATTTTACTCATATTTTGCCCTCCAGGCCTTTGCTCAGATTCTGCTTATTTTGATGACGTACATTATTATAATTAGTCTGTCTATATTGATATATTTCTGTCAACTCCCCAGAACGATTAGAGTAAAAGTTATCAGGAGAAAGTGGCTGCTATTGGCAGACACACTCCTGACAGATTCTTGAAGGCTGTCACACAGAACAGAGGAAAAGACTATAAAACTACAGAAGTACAGACACAAGAACTTGAATGAACGCACACTAGAACTAAAGAGTGAACGAGTAAACATCTCTGTAGAATTCACTAGCTCTTCGGGGCATGATAACATGAACCATGATGGTTGTGTACAACAATCGATAGAAATAACAATAAGCCTGAATCACAAAGAGCAAAATAAATTATGTAAAGTATATGTTAATGACTAACAAATAGTTGAAACCAAAAGAATGCTGCACTTATAGGGGTTAAAATTCAGCTATCCAGAAAATTCAGCTGTATGGAAAAGCTTATTCTGTTAGGTTACCAAGGCTTTTTTCCTTTCCTTTCAGAAAGAGTGTTCTTTGAAAGCATCATTTGTGATATATGAGCAAAAGCTCTGCGGCTTGAGCTTGGATCTTAGTTTTACTATGTAATACATGACAAGTTTATGTATTTAGTTTCAGATTTTCTCAGATATAAATGGTGAGAGTAATAATCACCTCAAAGGGATAACAGTTAACTAATGACGATTTTTAAAAATCACATTTATGTTGCGGTCTCTGGGCTAAGGCTTTTATATATCAATACTCACAACCACTCTATGAAGTAGGAATCTATTAATATCACTCACAGATTACGCGTGATGAAACTGAAGAAAGGAAGAGAGAGATCCTGTAGCTTGTCTAAAGTCACACAGGTATACAGTTGTAGAGCCAGGACTCAAATTCAGGGATTTTGGCACCAATGTTTTTGCTTTTAATCACTAATCTAATATGTAAATAAGAAATACTTATAAAAATCCAAAATCCTGAGCATAAATTAGATTCCGATTAGCTTCTCCAGAACTTCCATTCCCTTTCCACAGAAACTTAATACCAAAACAGAGAAAAATAATTTTCTTTTTCTAATAACTGATCATATATTGATGTTAGTGGCTGTCCCTCTGCTGTATCACACAAATCTATGCTATGGCTCTGTGCTGATTACTTGTACCACTCAACATGGATTCATTGTGTGATTCCCATGTGCAAGGCACCCAAGATGTAGAGATGTCTTATATGCTCTGGCCTTTCAATTGCATGTAGACTGGGGATTGTGCAGCACTATTCAGAACTATTCAGTTTCCCAGTCAACACTCTGCCTTCATAGATAGAAAAGGAATTTTGTCCATGGGCTTTTGTGTTTTTTTTCTGATAGAGTGAATACCCAATTAATATGAACATACAGTTTCAGATCTCATTTTGACCATGACTTTCAAATATGTTCCAGACTTTTTGCTCTATAGATGAACCACATATGAGCTGTGAGGGTGCATTATTGTAGAATAAGGAACTTCTCTGAAGAAAATCTTAGGGAAAAACTCATGGAAAGAAAGTTAAAATTAAAAAAGACAAATACACACAATTAGCTTTGGGTAGTGCCTCGGAGGGTTAGGGGGTAGAACAGAATACAGAGAGAAGAGTTATCAATAATCTGATTCTGGAAATTGGTATAATTCACTTAGTGTAGTTTTACTAGAGTCCTTGACCATTTCTCACATTTTCTTTATGAGAAAGCATCTCTTAGGATCACATACCCAAGTGATTGTGAAAGAAAGAAACAAACAAAAACAGAGATACACCATTGAGAATCATATGTAAAAATCTGTCTCCTAAAATAAAAGCTATCTCTTTTAAATATATTTATATCTCATATACATAAATATATATGTGCATATATATTCAAAAATAAATATATACATATATGATTATAAAATAAATTTGAACATTTGACATAACATTTGGAAAGGAAAGGAGAGAGAAAAGAAGAATGAGTCACTTCTAATTTTAACATCCCAATGAACAAATCTTAGCAATTTGTATATATTTTCTTGTAGGCTTTATTCTAAATACATATGTTTTACAAAGTTATAGGCATGCTATACATACAATTTTGTGTCCTGCCCTATTAATACTTTTTATACACTTTAACTATTTCATGCTAAAAAATATATTTTAACCTTTGTATAATATAGTTTATTTATTCATTTATTCCTTTTTAAAAATTGAGTGACAAAAACATGGTACTATACTAAGAATGTGAAAATTAATAAAACATGGTTCTTGACCTCAAATACTTCATCGCTTTTTGGGGGAAGAAAAGAGGCATATACCAAGAAAGTACAATAGAATTTTATAGATACTGTCCTGGTCTGGCCTGCTAAAACAAAAATGTCATAGACTGTGTGGCTTATAAACAACAGAAAATTATTTTTCCCAGTCCAAGAGGCTGAAAGTCCAAAATCATGGTGCCAGCATGATCCAATTCTGGTGAAGGCCCTCTTCAGGGATGAGGACTGCTATCTTCTTGTTGTGTGCTCACATGGTGGAAAGAAAGTTACCTATGTCTCTTGGGTACCTATAATAAGGACTCTAAATCCATTAATGAGGGCTCTACTTTTATGATCCAATTACCTTCTAGAGGCCCCACATTCTAGTACCATCACATCGGGGCTAGGATTTTAACATAGGTCTTTGCAGGGCACCCAAACCTTTGGTCCATAGCAGGTGCGTGGTAGATTTATGTAGGGAGTAGTTTGGAAGCCAAAAAAGGAAATGGTCAATCCCCTTTTAGGGAAAGGGTCCTAAAATGCTTCATTAAGAAAAAATTATTTTGAAGGATGGCTACAAGTTGTTGAGGTTGAAATGCTGGGGGAAGCAAGAGAAGTTGAAATTTCAGGCAAAAGGAAAGCAGAGACAAGGAAACTGGGCACATGGGATGTGCAAGACATTGCAAACAGCTCCTTCTCACAGAAGCTCCTGGCATGAGAGAGATAGGCTATATATCATCAGGAGCATAAAAAAGAGGTCTTAAAAAATCATGGGAAGAATCAAAGCTAGCACAATTTTCTTTGTATTTGAGTTACGTCACCCTGGTACAATAGTGACACGTGGTCAAAAAGAGGCACAACTAATGTTACATATGTTTTCTAAATATTTGTGACAAAATTGGGTCCATATTGTATAATGATCTTTAATCCTATTGATTTAACTACTTACTATATTTTCTGACACCATTTCATGGTTTTGAGGATATTAATACATAACAGGGGAAGTCAATCCTGAAAATACCTTGTTTACTTTATCTCTCTGGAAATGTGTAAACTATATGTCCCATTTAAAAGTCTCTGAGTGGCCAATTTATCTTTTAATAAGAAATTATTTTTTTACATAAAAATAAAGCATGTATACCATAAAACAATGAAAATCCACAGGGTATAAGTGGAAAGTAAAGCTCCAATTCCTACACCTCCAAAGTTCCTGCTATAGTGCCCATCCTCACTCTGTCATTTTAGTGTATTTAGTTCCTCTGGTGACCACCAGCAACATTCTAAATAATATTATTTCAACTCTGTGTCTTACTTTTTCCATTTTAAAGCATATCTACTCTTTCAATACACTGAAACCATCCTCACAATTCATTAGTTATCTAGTTTTTTTCTAAATCATTTTATTTATGATGCTAAATAATATATTTAAATCTTTCTATTTCTGAAGCCAAAGTTATTATATAAATATTACTCTTCATAGAACAAAGCAGCTGCTGGACCTATACAGAAGAAATTTAATTCCATGTTTTATCTTTGTTGCTTGGAAAATAATGTGTTTCAAGCATTAAATTCAAGTGTAAGCATTTTCTTACTGGCCACCAATTGCTCATTATTCCTCCACATGTTCACACACTTCTTATTTTGATTATGATTTTATTGAACAACTTTTTTCCCCCTTGCATTTCTAAATTCCTTTTTTTCTTTTTAGTCAACAAAGTATATTTGTACCTTCTTCAACATCTTATGGAGATCTTCCAGTTTTTTCTTCATGCAATATTATAAATGAAATTAATTTTTTGTTTGAAAATACTATTTGTATGAAGACTTTGACTTCCTACTCTAATTCAGATCAATTGATTTTCGATTCTGTTTTATAGACTGATAATCTGGAAATTGTTTTCATACTAAAATAGTTCCCTTTTTTCATGAAGACCTCATTTTTGGCTTTTTAATAATTTTTATTTATGTATTTTATTTTTATTTTTTTATACATGAGGTTTCACTATGCTGCCCAGGCTGGCCTCAAACTCCTAGGCTCAAGTAATCCTCCTGCCTCAGCCTCCTGAGTCTTTCTCTTTTTTGGATTTATTTGTATTTTTTCTTTGCACTCTAACTTGTTTTGCTGGAGTACATCATCAAGAAGTTTTTTGTTTTTTCTTTGCTTTTTCAGAATGAGTAGATGAAAGACTTTGGATGGTTGGTAGATGATATAAACTAAAATTTTATATTCACAATCATTTTATTTTTCAACTTTGAAGACATTGCTTCATGGTCTTCCAGCATGCACTGGTTTCTATTTTCTTGTATATTTTAACGAGAGTGTGATACTAACCCAATGATTACTACTTTACTTTTGCTTTCCAAAAACTCAAAATCTTCTGTCTTTGGTGTTCTGACATTTCACAAGGGCATGTCTAGATTCATCTCTTTTTAAAGTCATCTTATTTAATAACTGATAGATCATTTGATATTAAAGTTCAAGTCTTTCTTTGGCTCTGTGAAATATTGTCCATGTAGTATTTTTCCCTATTATTTTTCCCTATTATTTCTTAGTGGAGAAGGTAGAAGTACACATTGTAGATACAGATTAAGTTCAAATCCCATATCCATTACTTTTATGATATAAGAATTTAGGCAGGTGACTTAACATTTCTTTAGAATAGTTTTTCTTATTTGTAAAATAAGAAATGGGTAAAATTTGTAAAATGGGTATGTCATAGCACTTAAGTCATAGGGTTTTTATGATGATTAAATAAGGGAAAATATATACAATACTTAGAACAGTGACTTACATTTAAGCCCAGCATAGTATATAGACTGCATAGCAAATGCATAGCCTTTTATATAATTGTAACCTATAGATTCTTTCTGAAATTTCTCTTATTACATATCGCCACTCCAGATTCATAGTTTATCTTACATTTCTACTATATTTTCCAGATTTCATCTTTTTTAATACTCCAGCAGTGATAAAATTAGACCAGAATGCTGGATCCAATCTAAAGATTTGGGGGGCTGAACAGATTTTAAAATTGTATTTAATTGCAAACATTTAAACAGACAATTTCCCATTAAAACATGTATTTCTGACTCCTCTTGAAAAATAACAGGCTCTTTTAACCCTGAATGACTCGCAGAGCCACACAGAATGGCGAAGCTGAGTTTGAGGTCTTGTGTACTCTCCTGGGGCATGTCCACTTGCAGGTTTCGTGTGTTTGTGTCCAGCACAAGCAGAATGTCTCTTGACCATGCAAATGTGGGCTTTATTTTAAAATATCAAAACTCACATTCAGTTTAGCTCTTCCTAGGCAGGCTTTTCCGTTTATTTTAAAATGTAGTTCTTAAATGCAAATTCTGCTACAGCCAGTCTGAATTTCAGAAGATGGGAAGAGAGATATGCTCCACTGTTTGCCTTTGGTCCTTTCCGTCACCTGGATTGCTGTCTCCTACTAGAGGTCTGTTAGTCCAGAGGCTTTTAAAATAACCTGCCCTTTCCCTTGTTTTGAAGATTTTGTTTTAAGAGTTTCTATTATTTTTGTTTGTTGTTTGATGCTCATTCTTTTTTAAGTGGGAAGCTATCCATCCCAATGTCGTGCTTATCCTGTGCCCATTGTCTGTTCATTTGAGTGCTTACTAAATCTCCTTTTCATAATGCTAGCTGGAGGGTAGGTTGATATATTCTGCTCCTAGACCAATTTCCAGCATCAGTAAGCATGTGACCTGTGGCTTCTATAGCGCCAAGGTATAATATTCTCCTATTCTTATTGCCTGGATCTCTTACTCTGATACAATGGAATTTATGAAAAACCACCATTCCTAGAATGCCCTAGCACCTGGACTCCTCCTGTTGCCACTCCACAGCCAGTGACTAACTGATCTGGGATGAGGCCTCTCAACATGCAACCTTCTTCTGCCCAACGCTCTCTGCCCTATTATTCTGTAGGAATTACAGTCTCCAAATTGATGTGGCAAGAAAATTGCTAAAAGGGAAAGAGAACCACCAATACAATGATCTCCTCAAAAAGCAGTAGAGGGATGGTTGCTCAGGTTTCATTACTACAAAAGTGGGTGTGGAGATGTGGGGAGTAAGGGCACGTCAGAAAAAGATAGACAGGAGATTTTATTATCTTCCTTTAAGCTGGCAGGTTTATTTGGGGTGGGTGGATAGAATATTTTAAATGAGTATCAACTTCTATTCAAAAATTACATAGATATATAACTCATGGTTAATAAAAATCTCTGATTTTGTCCAGCAGTTGACTTTCAGTAGTTTTGGTCTCTATTTGCCCTTTTTTTGGTTTTGTTTGTTGCCCATATTCTAGTAAGAAGAAGGAAGAGACTGAGGTAAGTGTCCATTTTTAACACGTATCTGTTGAAATCTGTTGTAAACACAGTAAGGAGTTTTGTATATAACCAAGTAGCTTTCCTAAGGTAATTTATGAAGTATCTGTTTCACAATGCCTACCAAGAAATAATGAATAGATTTAATTATATTAATTTAATAGATCAAATTATTTTACTTTTTGTGGAATTTTCTTCATGTTTCCAGTTATCTTTATTTTTTGGTGCATTGACTAGTCATGTCCTTTGAGCTAAAGCTTTTGTGTATTTTTTATCAATTTAAATAACCTTTTACAAAATAAAAATATCAACTTTTTCCCATCCCTCTTGCTGTATGTGTTTTTTTTTTAAGTCTGTTTCATAACCTTTGCTGTAGTGGAAGTTGTTCATATTTATATATGAATTTTTCTGTACAATGTAGTGGTTGAGTACAGTTTGGAATCAGCAGGGATGAATATGAACTCAAATCAATTAGGTAACCTTGGACTAATCACTTAACCTTTCTTAATATTTTTATCTTGTTTGTAAAATAGAAATAATAATATTATTTTCATCATGAGGGATGTGGATATTAAATGAGGTAATGTTATGGACAGGAGGCAGAGGCAGAAAAGGGCACGGTCCCTGGTGAAGCCCCACCCTGAAGCCTAGACCCAAGGCCCAAAGTAAGAGCATGCATTCCTAATTTCTTGCCCCAATGTTGCCTTTTCCAAAACCACCTTGGCCGGCCACACCCCCCATCCTGTACCCATAAAAACCCCAGACTCCATTGGCAACGGAGCAGCAGAGGAGAGAAGAGAAGCATCTGAACGTTGAGAGGAGAAGCAGCAGCTGGACATTGGAGACTACAGTCGGAGAGGAGTTCAACCAGAGATAGTTGGAGAGAAGTTTGGTCAGACAGCCGAACTCCAGGGAAATACCACCTTCTCGCTCCATCCCCTTCCCAGTCCCCCCTCCCACTGGAAGCCACTTTTATCAGCAATAAAATCCTCCGCGTTCAACACCCTCCAATTTGCTTGTGTGACCTCATTCTTCCTGGACGCTGGGCAAGGACCCAGGTGTGGGCACAAAAGGCTGTTATACTGACCCTCCACTGAGTTGTTTAGCACTTTACGCTGTCCAGAGATAGCAAAGCTAAAAGACCTCACTGTAACACACACCTTCTGGGGCTCCAGGGTGTCGTGGGCAACCCTAGACGCTGCCACCACAGGCCCGCACAAAATTCTGCTTCTGCCAGTTGCCCAGAAGTGCTCATCCTGATCTCTTCACCTGCTCTCCTTCATGCTCCCGCTTCCACAAGGGGTTGAGAGCTGTGAGATGAGTAAGCAAGCCACCACTTTACAAGTCCCTCGAAGGGGTCAAGGGAACTACTCCATTTCATTAAGACATGGAAGTTCATAGAACTAAACCTGCCACACAGTAAACATCAATACATGTCAATCTTTGTCAATTTTTTTAACTTCCTAATTTTTTGAGTTTTAGTTGTGACTAAACTTTGCAGCATTTTTTTTGTTTCTTTGTTTTTGTTTGTTTGTTTTTTGGGACAGAGTTTTGCTCTTGTTGCCCAGGCTGGAGTGCAGTGGCTCAATCTCGGCTCACTGCAACCTCTCCCTCCCGAGTTCAAGCGATTCTCCTGCCTCAGCCTCCACAGTAGCTGGGATTACAAGCGCCGGCCTCCACGCCTGGCTAATTTTTTGTATTTTTATTAGAGATGGGGTTTTGCTATGTTGGCCAGGCTGGTCTCAAACTCCTGACCTCAGGTGATCCACCCACTTCGGCCTCCCAAAGTGTTGGGATTACAGGCGTGAGCCATCGTGCCAGCCTGCAGCAGTTTTATGAGTATCCTAGTGCATCCTTTAATTATTTCTGTGACACGATTTTTTTAATGTAACTATTTAATACATATGGTATATATTTTGGTATACCGATGAATTCAGGATCTTAGATATCATCCCCCAGTATTCTAAGTACTTTTAAAACACTTTATTGAATATTATTTCTTCCATATTAATATGTTAATTTCATTAGATACCCAATTCTTAAAAAACATAGTGACACCTGTGACATTAATTATTCTGAGCTGTTAAAATGTCTATTCATACCTCAGGGTGAAAATATTTTAATTATGGTAGCTTTATAATTTGTTTGATTATTTAATGGTACCAATTCCATTCAAATCCACTCACAAAGACAAAGGCCTGGATTCTAGGTCTAATCTAGGTTGTCTTTTAGCTGAATGGAATGGAATAAAGAATGATTAATTCAAGAAGCCTCATTTTCAAGAATTCAAAAAGCCTCATAATTCAAGAAGAAAGGAAAAGCAGAGACTAGAAAAGAAAGGAAAAGAAAAGAAAAAAAGATAGGCTATTCAACTTTTTCATCAACCCATATGGTTAGATGGAGGAAAGGAGGAACATAGGTAAGAAAGAGAGAGAAGCCATGAGGCTAAGAATTAGAGATTTATCCAGGATGAATTACAAGAGCAAAGAGAATAGCATAGGCTGCTTTTTGTAGCTCTTAAAAATAGGAGAATGGAAAGTAGTTAAAAATGCCAACAAGACCTGACATTGACTTTCGACCATGTTGCCTTTTTTTAAGTTTATTTTTACTTATACTTGTTCATTTTTCCAATTGAATATAATCATCCCAGCTTTGCCACTTATTAGCTTAATTGATTTCTCAGTCACTTAACCTCTGTAACTCTGTTCTCATTTGCAAAATAGGGGTAGTAAAGTCTGCCTGTAGGGAACCTTAGGTATAAAAACACAAAACCTGGCCTGTGGTTATTAAAAGGAAAACAACCAACTTCCAACATGGTAGTTCACCTTTTCACTTTTATTATTTATTTTTTGTAACTATACAGATAAATGAGCCTGGATCTCAAATCAAATTATATGAATAACACGATTAGTGGAAAGTGGATAAATAGGAATGCTTTTTCTCTCTAAATCCTTTATTCCTGAGGTTGTAATTTCCTGTTCTCTCCTATGCCCATTGTTATTGCCAATCTACATTGCAGGTAGCAGTGGCCAAGTTCAGGCCCATTCTGCTGCTAGTCCTTGGTAGCTCCTCATTGCTTGCTAGCACTTGGAATACTCTTCCAAGCCCTCTTGCAAGGGCTAACAAGAAATGTTACACATGCTTGGATTTGCTAATGAATAATTGACTTGGAGCCTTTTTGGTTAAAGATCTTTCAGGAATGCCAAAACAGTAAAACTGAGCCTAAGAAACAATTGAAGTTGCCTGAGTCAGAAATCCTAGCTCCTAGTCACTCCATCCTCAGGGAATCCACTTTTGAGTTCCCTCTCTTGGTTTTTTTCTATGAGTCAGAGGCCAGGCTACCCACTTCCCCTCAGCATGGCAAGAAGAGGCACACTCTTGAGAACCTAGCTAGTCTAATGGTTATAGCATCTTACTTTTAACAGCATCATTTTATTTTAAAATAACCAAAGAGTAATTTTAATCTTGCTTTCCACAAAGCTATAAGAAGAAAAACCTGCCTACATAATTTACAGGGGAAGGAATAGATCAACGGGGCTGTGAACAGCTGCATGACACCACAATGTTAGTGTGATGAGACACTGTATGTGCAGTGCTGGTTAGTCTTGTTGATGATGATGGCATTGTTGTTACTGAATATAACTTGGAAGGCAAAATTTTATTGAAATCTACTATATTGGTCACAATGAATGAACACTAAACTTTTGGTGAGTTCTGGCCAGTGGGAAAATTGATCTGCAAAGCACAGGTTTGGCTACAGAGTTCATTATTATAACTTCTGAGTCTACTTCTGATCATGTTCTTTTCAGTGAAAGTACAAGTGCTCTGATAGAGGATACATGCCAAAGCTCCACTCTTCTCTGTTTAGAAAACAATGCTGCAAAGCATATTTTATAAATAGATTAAAATGATTACCAATATGCAACAAATGCTGCTCTTCATGTGTTCACAATTTTTTCTAATACGGGCTTAGAACTGTGCCAGATCAACACACCAAATGCTTTCCCAACTGCTGACAGGAATAATGCTGTTCCATTCTGGATCACTTAGTGTGGAGTTCTAGGCCTAACTTTACCTTTTAAAGTAATATTTCAGGGGCCCTGTGATTATATTTTCCAATCCAAGAGCCATTGATCATGAGCTGGTGAAAACTTATATAAATTAGAAAATAAAATGATAATTTTTCATTGATGTGGACTGACCAAAACTTTATTGACATTTTTACTTTTGTCTAAGCTTTTCCATGTGTAATGTGAAGAATATAATGCTATTCATAAGCTCAATGAAGTGTTTAACAGATTAGCTAGTTTATTACTGGTGATAAATGAGGAATAATTGTATAAAGATAATCTTGAAAAAAATGACCAACAGTAAACAAACATGGGGAATATATAATCAAAATGCCCTAAATGGCTTACAAAAGCATACTGAAAACCTATTGATGTGACTGTTGATTAAACTGATCACGTTGTTGAAATATATTAGCATGTTCATGCACACTGAAGACTGAATCATTGAGCCATGGCGTGAGATGTATGCATTTTTTTGGCAGTAAGTTTTATATCCTCAAGCACTGGCATTTTGTTGAAAGCCTACTTTTGTTCTATGAAGGGTACGCTGTAAACTGATGTCCTTATACAGCAAGGGTTGTTTTTCAATCTATTGAGCTCTAATAGAAAAAGCATCCAGGTAAAATAATACTGTATATGAAATTTTTTTAAGATTTTATAGTTTTTAAAATACGTATGAACTTTTGGCTACCAGATACTTCCTTATAACCCCTTTATGGAAAATTATTTGAAATCAAACACTGTAATATTTATTGAGTACCTACTATGTGACACTCAGTGTGCTACATGCTTTAACTTATCTGATTGATCTGAATGAACAATAGGAAATGTTTGTAAGTAAAAAGATATGGACAAATGTGTCTAATTGTGCCTTTTCAAGATGCAGTGGGGCAGTAATATATGTGAGTTCTGAACCAATCAATCACCTTAGAACACAAGGCGAATTTTGATTAGTCCCATGCTCAGAAACCTCTTTCAAATTTTGCAAGCTTTACTATATCCTGGAATTCCAAATATCATGCTGTTTTTCCTACCTTTGTTCTTCTGCACTGATAGTTTTTAAAATGAAAGCCTTAATCTGTATTATATAGGATCATTAATTTCTGCATTTTACACTTGAGCAAAAGCACTCTGATTATCTGCTGCAATGAAAAGTAAGCAGCCCTGCTTTTGCAGACTTAATTACCTACTGCAGGGCCTTTCTTCTCCCGTTACCACAAACAGTCTGAAAATGGGGTCAAAAGCATGATTAGAAACCAAATTAGCCACTGAATCCAGAAAACAAACATGGAAACAGATCCAATAAGTCATTCCGATACTGAAATCAGTCTCTATCACACCTGGGTTTATCCAGAGTGTCTCTTAATTCGATGTTCCCTACAAGAACAAAGCCACACAGCGAAGACAAGCCAATGATTTGTATATCTGAGAAAATAAAATCAACTTAATAATAGAAGTAAGGGATCACTGTTATGGGGGGGTCAGAATCAGTCTAGATAACAGGGTCTTTTAAATAATTGACTTGTAGATTACATACATGCGAGAAAAATGCTCTCATAGTTTTTAAAAATAAATCTTCAGATTTTAGCTTAAAATGGCAGAAAATAGGTAAGTTGCTGGTTTATATACAATGTTTATAATAATTAAAATATTAATATTAGTCTTGTTTTTTCACAAAGCTGTCCTTTATTTGAGAATTTCATTATATACCATTTTATGGATGCTTTCTAAATCCCTGTCAGTTAATATGACAAATTTCATCCATTTAGTATTTTTTCTTAATCACACACAGATTCTGAGCACAACACTAAAGTGTCAAGAGAATTTGAAGGCATTTTCTAGCTACATGTAAAAGAAGATATCACATAGATTTAGTCTTCCTTTTCAGGAACTTCAGTGAACGGTAATAGAATTTTATACCAGAAATGAAATGCTGATCAATTTATATTAACCGGAATAATAGTGTTTACTTATAATACTGATAAGAACAGTAACATGATGATCTAATTTAAAAGATTGTGGGGCAAGACAACTACTGTTTAAAAATAGGTATAAAAAGCAATAGGGAAATAAAATGATAAAACATTTAAGGAACATACAGGGAAATGAGTCAATAAAAACCAGTTATAAGAGATCATTCAGTTCCATTTGGAATTTGCTTATTTGAATATATTGCACACAATTAAATGCAACTAGTCGCAGTAGCTAAAGCTTAAAATATCAAATTCAATTCCACTTTATTTATAGGATGAATGTTCAGAAAAGAGATTGTTTAACAAGATTTACCTTCAGTAAACCATCTTGACTAAATCATCTGCCTATATTTAAAAATCATTGTTATGTATTTTAGGTGGCTACATTTCCGTAAGGTATAATCCCCACAGTCACTTTGGCTCTAGAGTAATTATCTGTAAATCACCATGCCCATTACAAAAATTAAGGAAGTACATAGGTTTCTTTAGGACAGCTATTCCTTTTCTAGATTTCTTTCCATTTTATTTGTGTATTATCTAAACTCTTTAATCCAGTCATAACCAGAGAAGAAAAACCTAAACTCCCTAATGAACATAGCTAGGTCTCCATAACTACAGTAAGGAAGGGTTGGAACAGTTACATAGTGAATATATGTGAAGCATATGGAAGAGACAGGATTAGCTAGATCACAAATCTTTTCCTTTAATCAAAATTCATTTTCTTCGGAGGGGGCAATAGGGTGTATAGGGTTAGAGGAAGATTCTTTTTGTTTGAATTGTCTATTAATTTGATGAATGCTTCTATTTTGTGACTGCAGACTTAACTAAAGTGAAGACTGAAAGCTCACTGAATTAGTTTTGAAACAACCTTAGAGATGGACTACTATTTTCTGATTTCTGATTCTGCAGAGGATATCAGGAAAATGTAATGTCCATGTATTATTGAACTGAGGATATTTTCAAGGAGAAAATGATCTCATTGTTACTAGCTCATTTTTCTAGAGCTATTTTCTCTCATCAAGGGACCATTGTCCAGTGAGTATAATTTTGGAGCAGAAAAGCCTTGCTGCCTATTCACATTGAGCACACCTCTGTTACCTGCCTATTCGTATCTTGAGGAATTGTGACACAAAATTCAACCAGTTGATCAATATTTATTTTTTGCTGAGGCAATTTGTGTGTGGAGTATATAAAAGATCTCAAAGACCTCAAAAACTTTAAAAACTGGCAACCCTCATAACATAAAATACATCCAGTAAAAGTGAGTTGTGGGACCTTAGAATATATGCTTTAGAATCTTGTCCTTTCCTCATATGGGGCATGAGGCCTTACACAAATGAGACAATTTTGAGACTCAGTCTTTTTCCCTATAAAGATAGAATTATCCAATTCAAAGAGATTTTGTGGAGATTAGAAATACTGCATTTTTTGCACCTAGCATATAATATGTGCCAAAAACATGGTTGCCAATTATGATTATAATTAATTCCTCACAGCAATACTATGTATAAGCACATGATATATAATACACATGCATGTGTTCCAGCAACTATCTATAAGGTGGTTTGGAAGACAAAGATATGGGCAGAAAACAAATAGAAATTGTAGAAACCTAAACAAGTAGTGCTAAGGAAGTGAGATGATTATTTGGAAACAGGATGGAAAAGCAGGATTTAGTAGAAAATATAAAGAAAGAACTGAAGAGACTCAGTGGTAGTTTGGACATAGGTACAAAGAAAATTGAAATACTTAACATTCAGTATATAACTACATAAAATTTACAATGTTTGACCATCAACCAAAGATTACCAGACATACAAAGAAAGGAGAAAACATAACCCATAATGCAGAAAATAAATGCTCAATATAAATCTCCCTGGAACTGACACACTTGTTATAATTAGCAACTTCTACATATTATCCAGACTAAAAAATAAATTGCACTTCTAAATACAGCTAGAAAAAAGAAGTAAAATTTAAAAAACAATGTTATGTAAAGTATTATCAATATTTTAAATACATAGGAATAGGAATAAATGTACTAAAAGATTGCCACATAGAAAACTCAAAACATTAAGGAACACCTAAATTAGCAGAGGAGTATACTATGTATTACACACATAAATTGAAGGAAATAATATTGTAAAGATGAACATTTCTCCCAAATTGATTCATAGATTGAATGCATTCTCAACCAAAAATGTATTTTTCTGGAATCTGACTAATTCTAAAATTAATAGAGAATATCAAAGGCCAAGCCCAGCTGACTTATTTGTGATGAAGATGAACAAAGTGGGATAACTTGCTTTACCATTGATATGGTTTGACTCTGTATCCCCACCTAAATCGCATCTTGAATTGTACTCCCATAATTCCCACATGTTGTGGGAGGGAAACGGTTGGAGATAATTTGAATCATGGGGGCAGTTGCCCCCATACTGTTCTCATAGTAGTGAATAAGTCTCACAAGACAGGTGGTTTTATCAGGGGTTTCCATTTTTGCACCCTCCTCATTTTCTCTTGCTGCTGCCATGTAAGAAGTGCCTTTCACAAGCTGGGCACAGTGGCTCACGTCTGTAATCCCAGTACTTTGGGAGGTCGAGGTGGGTGGATCACCTGAGGTCAGGAGTTTGGGACCAGCCTGACCAACATAGTGAAACCCCGTCTCAACTAAAAATACAAAAAAATTAGCTGGGCATGGTGGCAGGCATCTGTAATCCCAGCTACTCGGGAGGCTGATGCAGGAGAATTGCTTGAACCCAGGAGGCAGAGGTTGCAGTGAGCTGAGGTTGAGCCATTGTACTCCAGCTTGGGCAAAAGAGTGAGATTCTGAGAAAAAAAAAAAAAAAAAAAGTGCCTTTCTCCTCCTGCCATGATTCTGAGGCCTCCCTAACCATGTGGAACTGTAAGTCCAATTAAACCTCTTTTTCTTCCCAGTCTTGGATATGTCTTTATCAGCAGTGTAAAAACAGACTAATAAGCCATATATCAAGAGTTACTCAAGAGTACAGTTATTAAATTATTGGATTGTGCAAAGGTACCATATACAGCATTGAGAGATACTGCAAAGATGAAACTAAGAGACCGGGCATGGTAGCTCATGCCTGTATTCCCAGCACTTTGGGAGGCTGAGGCAGGTGGATTGTCTAAGCTCAGGAGTTCATGACCAGCCTGGGCAACATGATGAAACCCCATCTCTACTAAAATACAAAAAATTAGCTGGGCGTGGTGGCGTATGCCTGTAGTCCCAGCTACTCGGGAGGCTAAGGCAGGAGAATTGCTTAAATCCAGGAGGCGGAGGTTGCAGTGAGCCTAGATCACACCACTGTACTCCAGCCTGGGCGACAGAGTGAGACTCCATATCAAAAAAAGAAAAGATGAAAATAAGAGACAAAAATAAATGAAAGTTTATGTCAAAGGTAGCATTACAATATAGTGGGAATAGGAGGATCATTTCAATGATTCTGGGCTAATTAGATATCCATATGGATCAAGCATGAATTCTGATCCCAATCTCACACCATATACAAAAGTTAATTTCAGTTGGACTGTAGATTTGTACGTGAAAGTCAAAACTAAAATCTTCTTAAATAAAACATGTATCATTATAATCTATAGTATAGAAATATTTCTTTTCTAGAATTAGAATATTATTCATAAAAGACAAACTTGGTAAGTTGAAGTATATTAGAATAAAAAATTTATGTTCTCTGAAAGTGAAAAGTAAATCACAAATTAGCAATTTTCACACACATATAACTAATAAGAGGCTTATATCCAATATATGTAAAGAATCTCTTTCAGATTGTTAATAAAAAGGTCACACAATAGAATAGTAGGCTGAAGATTTAAACTGGCATTTCATAAAAAAGATATCCAAATGATCTATTAGCATATGAAAAGTTTTCAACTAAATTCCTCATCAGAAAAATACAAATTAAAATCACAATAAAATGTCACTGCACACCTACCAAAATACCTAAAATTGGAAAGATGTCACTAGAAAAAGTTGGTGAAGATGTGGAGTGACTGTTACTATTATACAGTGGTAGTGGGAACATCAATTGATACTATACCTTTGGGAGACCTTTTGAAATTATCTATTAAAGTTTAACATATGCGTACATTAGAACTTGGCAACTCTAGCCTTTGTTATATATGACAACAGAAATGTATGAGAATATTTACCAAGAGACATGTACAGAAATATATTATACATAGCAGTATAGTTGGTAATAGAAGCAACCTCAACAGTAGAATAGATCAAATAAATTACAGTATATTTGTACTGTGGAATAAGATGAGGTAATAAAATGAATGAGCTGCAGCCATGTGCAACAATATGGCTGAATCTCAAGAACATAATATTGAATGAAAGAAGCAAGGCAAAAACAAAGATGCAATATAACTTCAATTACATAAAGTCTAAAAGAAGGAAAAGCAAACTACAGTGTTCTAAGTATGAGAAGAAGAAAAAAACTATTATTCAGGGCCAGGGAAAGAACTACCTGAAAGCATCAGAAGGAACAGTACTCAGAGCTCACATAGGGCCAGTAATAGTGCCCATTCAGACCAGTGAGACTGGAAAAACTCATAATTCACAAGGAATTGGACAGAATACTCAGAATGAGCTTTCCTTAATAGTGGGGAATAATTTGCCATAGAATGAACACTGTTCTAGATTTGCCTACTGAGTCATAAAAGCAAGACCCACATAAAAGCAAGACCTGCAAGAGTAAAACTATTTCTAAATAACTGCATCCTAGAACAAAACTCAAGAAAATGTATAGATATTCTAAAAATTCTGACACCCAACAAAGTAAAATTCATAATGTCTGGTATCCAACTAAAGATGATCAGACATGCAGAAAAGTAAAACATAGCTAATAATAAGGAGAATTATTAATGAATTGAAGCTGCCCCACAACTAACACAGATGTTCAAATTCACAGACAACTGCATTAAAACTGTCTTCCAGTTATTATATATTACAACTGTATTCTATATGGCCAAAGTTATGTAGAAAGATACATAAGAAATATAAAAATATATTTTCCAGAAATGTAAAATACAATGTCTGAGACAAAAATGACACTGGAAGGATTTAATGGCAGATTAGACATTGCTAAAGAAATGATTAGTAAACTTGAATACATAGCAATGAGTAACTATCCAAATGAAGCAGACTGATAAAAAATATTTTTTTTAAAAAAAGAAAGAACATCAGTGACCTGTGAGACAACTTCAAGGAGACTAACATAGATGTCGTTGGGGTTCTTGAAGAAGGAAGGAGGACAGAAAAAATACTTGAAGGAAAAATAGCTGAAAACGTTTCCTCCAAATTTGAAGAAAACTATGAACCCCAAATTTTCAATGACCCTAAAACACAAGAAGCATAAAGGAAACTACATCAAGACACATAATAATCAAGTTGCTCAGAACTAATGATAAACAAAAAATCTGAAAAGCAGCCTGAGGCAAATTAAATGTTACATGAAGATAAACAAAGATAAGGATAATAGTAAATTTCTCTTTGAAATTAATACAAATGGGAAGATACTGGAGAAAACTCTTTAAAGTAGTGAAAGAATAAAACTACTTATGTATACATATATGTGTGTATATGTGTATATGATTTTTATTTAGATAAAATCTGCATAACAAATATTAATATTTTAACCATTTTAAAGTACACAATTTAGATTTTAGTATATTCACAATATATGCAATTATAACCACTGTCTAATTCTAAAACTTTTCAGTCACACAAAAAGAAGCCCCATATTTCTCAATTTCCCTCTCCCTCTTCCCCGAGAAACAACAAATCTACTTCCTGTTCCTATAGATTTGCGAACATTTTATATAAATGGAGTCATGAAGTGCATGTTTCTTTTTTTTTGTCTGACTTCATTCACTTAGCATAATGTTTTCAAGGTTCATCTATGTTGTAGCATGAATCAGTAGTCCATTCTTTTTTAAGGCTGAATGATATTCCATTGTATGGGTATACCACATTTTGTTTGTGCATTTATCAGCTGATGGACATTTGCATGGATTTCATATTTTGACTATCATGAATAATATTGCTATGAATATGTGTGTACAAGGTTTTTGTGTGACAAATGCTTTCAATTCTCTTGGACATAAATTCTTTAGGACGTATACCTAAGAATGGAACTGCTAGATAATAGGCTAACTTTTATTTATGTTTACCTGCCCAACTATTTTCCACAGCAGCTTCACCATTTACAACTTTATCAACAATGTATGAGGGTTCCAATTTTTCCATATATCCTTGCAAACACTTGCTATTTTCCATTTTGTTGATAATGGCCAACTTAATGTGTAAGAATTGGTATCTCATTGTAGTTTTGATTTGTGTTTCTCTAATGACTAATAATGTTTGGCATCTTTTCATGGGCTTATTGTCCATTTGTATACATTCTTTGGAGAAATGTTTATTCATGTATTTCATCCATTTCTAAGTTGGGTTGTTTGCCTTTTCATTGCATAGTTGTAAGTGTTCTTTACATATTTTGGCCACTAGACCTTTCTCAGATATGTGATTTATAAATATGTTATTTCATTCTGTGAGTTGTCTGCTTACTTATCTGATAGTACTTTGAAGCACAAAAGTTTTTATTTTTATGAAGTCAAATTTATCTATTCTTTTTTTGTTGCTTGTACTTAAAATTCTCTACCCAGTGAAAACAGCCTTTGAAAGCAAAGACAACATGAAGATATTTTCAGACACAGAAAAGTTGTAAAAATTCATTACCAGTAGACCAGCCTTCTAACAATATTAAAGTCCTTCAGGCAGAAGGAAAATGACATTAGATGGAAACATGGATCTACAAAAAGAAATCTCCATTGCATGTAAGGACCAGAAATTGTCCTTGCATGTATAAACACACAAGAGTTTCTTTCTGATAATTTAAGTTTTGTAAAATTAATTGACTGTATAAATAATAGTAACAACACTGTATTGTGAGGTTAATGACATATGTAGAAGTCAATATATGACAACAATAACATAAAAACCAATAGGAAAAATAGAAGTATAATATTTATATATGAAGTGATATAAAACATCACTTGAAAGTAGACTCTGCTAAGTTAATGATATATTGTGTAACTCCAAAGCAACCACTATAATAACAAAACAGAGTTTTGGTTGATAAGCAGTCAAAGTTAATAAAATATAATAAGAAGAAATGTGCAATTAAGAAGACATGAAAGGAAGAAAAGGGAATTAAGAATAGACAAAACAAATAAAAAACCAAATATGAAGATGATATAATTGATCTAGCCACATGAATAATCACATTAAATGTAAATGGTCTAAACATTACAAATAAGTCAGAGATAGCTTGGGTAAAGAAACAAGGCCAACATATGTACTGCTGCCTAAAAGAAACAAACTTTAAATATAAAGAAATTTATAAGTGAAAAGTGTAAGTATATAAAACTATATGCTATGCTAATGGTATTCAAAAGAAGGCTGTAGTGACTATATTAATATCTCAGAAAATAGACTTCAGTGCAAAAGACATTTTCTGGCAGAAAGAAGGTCACAAGATAATGACAAATGGGTCAAATAATCAAAAGTACATAAAAATCCTAAATGTGCATGCTACTAATAACATAGCCTCAAAATATGTGAAGTAAAAACAGAGAATTAGAAATAGAAACAGACAAACTCACAATTATTGTCAGAGATTTCAATATTTTCCTCTCAATAATGCATAGAACAAGTAACAGAAAATCAGTTAGAATACAGAAGATTTGAATGACACTATTAACCAATGTGCAGTTATAGAATAATTCATGAAATAGGAGAAAACATATTCTTTTCAAGAGTACATAGAATATTTGTAAGATAAGCCATTTTTAAGTCATAAAACAAGTCTCAGTAAATTTAGAAGGACTGAAATAATAAAAATTATGTCCTTCAACCACAATAAAATGAAACTGGAAATGAATAGCTGAAGAAAAGTTGGGACATTTATAATTATTTACAAATTAAATACCATCCTCTTAAATAACACATGTCATGAGAAGAAATCAAAATGGTAACGAGAAACTTTTTTGAAAGGGAAAACACAACATGTTTGAGTTTTGGAAATTCCACTAAAGTAGTAATTTGGGAAAAATTTATACCACTAAATGCCTATATTATGAAAAAAAGGATGATGAAATTAATCACCAACAGTCTGACCTTTAAAAACTAGAAAACAAACATATTAACTCTAAAATAAAGAGTTAAAAAAGCTTTAAGGTCAGAGTAGAAAATGATGAATTAGAAAACAGAGAAACACTAGAGAAAATAAATGAAGCCAAAAGTAGTTCTTTGAGAAGTTCAATAACATTGATAATTTTTTAACCAGACCAATCAGGAGAGCAGAAAGAAAGAGAGAGAAGAAAGTACAAATTACCAATATCAAGAATGAGAGGCAAGACATCAATTGAGATTCTACAGTTATTAGAAGACTAAAATGAGCTTAATACTATAAATTCAATAACTTAGATAAAATGGACCAATCTCTTTAGAAACAAAAACTACCATAGTTCACTAAAAAAGTAATAGATAATTCAAATAGCCCTATATCTATTAAAGAACTCAAGTTTTTTTTTTTTTTTGCTTAAAACATTTCCATAGAGAAAACACTAGGCTAAGAGAGCTAAATAAAAATATTCCTTTTATCTAATTGCTTTAAAACTTCATCCTATATTATGCCCAAAAATACCTCAATAAACTCAAAATATAGACATAAGATAAACCATATTTACAATGACAACTTAACAAAGCCAAAAAAAATTTTTAACAAGTTGGGAAGAAACAAGCCACTCAACAATTTCAAATTTTGATTTGTTCTTTCTAAAAACTCATAGTTCAAAAAGGAAATAATAATTACAATCATATATTTTATTATTTATATACTCCATGAGGTTTAAATTAATGGTCATTTGATTTTAATAAAGATGCCTAGAAAATTCATTGAGAAAGGGATAGTCAAAAATTACTACAGAGACAATTGAATATGCATATGCAAAAATTAATTTAGACCTTTACTTCATGCAGTACACAAAAATTAACTCAAAACAAACTGAGTATATAAATGTACATGCTTAAACTATGATATTTCTAGAGAACACATAAAAGAACATTTTGTGACCTTGGGTTAAGCAGTTTTTAGGTAAAACACCAAAAGCATGATCTATTTAAAAGGAGTTTGATAAAATGAACTTAATCAAAATTTAAAACTTTTATGCTTAAAAAGACATCATTAAGAAAATGAAAAGACAACACAAACTAGGAGAAAGTATATTTAAAGTCGTACATCTAGTAAAGAACTACTAAGAATTTACCAATAACTATAAAAACTCAATAACAGGAAAACTAACAATCCTTTTAAAATATGGGCCAAAGATATGAATACACATTTTACTAAAGATGATATCCAAATGTCCAATAAGCACATGAAAAGGTGCCAATATTGTTAGTCATTAGGGAAATGTACATTGAAACCATAATGAGATACCATTACACACCTACTGGAAAGGCTATAATAAAGAAAAGAGACAATAAAAAATATTGGGAAGAATGTGTGGAAACTGAAACCCTTTTATTGCCAGCAAGAATTTAAAATTGTACAGTCTACTTGAAAAATAGTTTTACTATTTCTTAAATTGTTAGACATATACTTACAGTAAGACTCAGCATTCCATCCAAGAGAAATAAAAACGTATTTCCATGAAATTACTTATACAAATACAATCATAAAAATATAATAGTAAAAATTGGAGAGAATCAAAATTGTCATCTTCTAAAAGATTTCTGCCACTTTGTTTAAAAAATTAATATAATCTACTCATGTGATTGAAAGCAATGATAAGAGAAAATTCACAAATAATTTTTAAATGTTATTGTTTTGAAGTTGTATGGGTCATGTATGACTATATTGACAACTTAACAATGTATACAAAATATGTAAACATCACTTCTGCTTAATAAGAGTTATGAAAATACATAAATCCAGTTTTGTCCCCTCTTTAACTTCCCTGCTAACCACCTTTCAGCACACCACTGACTCCCTACCTGATTACTCTAAAGTAAAACTAATCATCTGATAAGCCACACACATACACACAAATTTTAGTGTCTCACTGTTAAATATGAATATGTATCCAAGAAACCCCAGTGACCTGAAGAAAGTCTCCAATAGAAAAACAAAGACTTCAAGAAATAAACAAATAAAGGAATGTAATGGAAATAGGGATGATACTGGGAGAAAAACAGAACTTCTACACTTTCACTGTTCCAATTTTCAAAAAGAAAGTGAAGCTATATTCAGAAAATCATGAGTGTGAAAAAAACAAAAGAACACTCAGAAAACAAGAAAAACAAGAAAGAGCTTTTGGAAATGTGAGGACTGAGATGAACAATCAATAGAAGGATTGTTAGATGCAAGAATATTCCAGGAAGTACAACTAGATGTCAAAGGTAATTAAAGTATCACTTCAGGGGGATGTACCATCTGACAGAAAAGCATGAACAGAGCAAATGTAAGGCTGAAAAATATCAGAAGTAACAAAAGAATTGTTCCCAGAACTCTAGAATATGACTTCTTATTGAAAAGGTACACCAAATGTTCAAAACAATAAATGAAGTACGTATACATATATACACACACACACCAAGACATAGCACCATACGCTTTTGGTACAATTAAAATAAAAAAAATAAGATCTTTTGAGCTTGAGGAGTGAAGGGATTTGGTCTTATAAGGAATGAAGAAACAAAATGAGAATGCATTTCATAACTGCAACACTGGAAGTTAGAAGACAGTGGAGTGAAGTCATCACAATTCTAAAGGAAATTTGTGTTTGATATAATTTTGGACCCAATCAAACTACTAAATGTGAGCAGAGATTAGCCATTTTAGACAGATAATACCCCAAAAACTATTTCCCACAATCCCTCAGGGAACTATGAGAGCATTAGCTAAAACATGAAAGCAAACAAAGAAAAAGAGAGGTAGCAGGTCCGGGAAAGAAGAATTCCCACACAAGAGAGAATGGAAGGGGAATTCTGGAATGCAAGTTGTGAAGAAAAAGCAGCTAACCCCAAAATAAAAAAGAGGACAAAGAGCTCCAGCAGGGATGGGGTCACAATTGATCAATCAATTTATATTATTATAAATAATTATGTTATTTACAAATAATGTCATATCATTTAAAATTATAGAGGTAAATACCAGAAGGCACAGCTAAAAGGATTGTGAATGATTGCCTCTAGGGTTTGAGAGTAGGAACAAGTGGGAGAAAGGACTGCTGTTTTGCATTGTAAAACAAAGTATTTTATGATGTTTAAAAATAGATACATGTATCTCTCTCACCAAAACAAAACACAGTACCTGGGTGACAAAGTAATCTGTAAAACAAACCTCTGTAAAACAAATCCCAGTGACATGACTTTACCTATACAACAAACCTGCATATGCACCTTTGAACCTAAAATAAACGTTTTTAAAAATAAAATAAAGTAAATAAAAATAAAACAAAAATATTAAGGTAAGAGCCCCCAAATTAATGTAAGAACCAATGGACATAGGTTCCATTGATTAGAAATGGAATTTCTAATTAATTATAAATTAATTAATGGAACCTATGTTAATTCATAGAATACATGTTGATAGGGAAATATAAAAGTTACAGTACTGCGTTCACAAAAATTGTGCATATCTGAACCAAGTCTGCTCTGCACTTCAGTTACTATGGATCTGTGCAAATGAGAGTACACAGGTCTGGTATACATGTGTTCCCATTAACATAGTGGCAGGCAAATCAGACTGCCTGTACTAATTTGAATAAATCTTATTTGGAAACCGATCCTTTATTATTATTTTAACTAGTATACTAGAAAGAAAATCAATTTCTTTAAGAATATATAGGTCTGAGAAAAGATATCATTTTATATGTATTTTGGAAGATAGTTTTATATGATTCCTGCCTTGTCACAAGTACCAAAAATCTTTCCTTGAGGAAAGTTCTGCTTATAGTCCTCGGTGAAAATAGAGTACTTAGGAGTGCACTGGTGTGTGAAAATCAATTAAAAACACAACTAAAGTTTTAAGATTTCCCTTAATTTTGTTCTACTTTTAGATGAGGGTTCAGGTCAATTCTTACTTTATTCCTATCAGTTCATCCATCAGAAATTATAATTACCTTTACTCTAGTCCTTAATTACTTTTACCAATAATCTGCGTAATATTCAAGATTATTTCAATTGTGTTATCAAAAGAAAATGTTTAATTCAGTGATTAGTCCGTAGAATTGATAACTACATTGTTTTCCCTACAGAGAAGGGGTGCATGTTCAGGATAATGGGTTTTAACACAAGCAAGGAAATAAATTTATCCCATATAATATTAAAGTGCTAAAAAACTCAAATTTCATTAAATAAAATATATATATATATATATCGAGAGAGAGAATGTGAAATTTTGATATGCTAAGTTGTTTGAATATGTTTAAAATTACATATTGTTACTTTTTAAATCAACTTTAATGAAATATAATTCAAATATATACACCTCTGCTAACACCACCACAATTGGGATATAGAACATTTTTTACCCTCCAAGCTTATATTATGATGATTGACAGACACAACATTCTCGCCCACCCCAAGCAACTACTATTCTGCTTTCTGCCACTGTATTTTTGTTTGTCTGACCTAGAGTTTCAAACAAATGGAATAATAGAGAAGGTACTCTTTCCATTTCTGACTCCTTTGTTCAACATAATGCTTTTGAGATTTACCTATGTTGCTGCATATGTTGATAGTTTACCACTTTTTATTGCTGAGAAGTATTGCCTTGTTGATGAACATTTGAGTTCTTCTAAATTTTGGAAATTATAAATAAAATTGCAGTGGACATCTGTATATAAATTTTCTGGGGATATGTGTTTTTAATTTTTGTAAATACCTAGGAGTAATATCACCAGATCATACAGCAATTTTCTAAGAAACTGCCAATCTGTTTCCAAAGTGGGTGTGTCATTTTATACTCCCACCAATAACATATGAATATTCCAGTGGTTCCTCTTCCTTGCCTATATTCGCTATTGTCAGTGTTTAATTTTAGCCTTTCTAGTGTGTTTAGCGGTAAGTCATTAAGGTTTTAATGTACATTTCTCTAAGGACTACAGACGGCTAATGATATTGAGCATCTTTTTATGTGCTTATTGGTCATTTATATATCCTTTACTTGTGAAGTGTCTGTTCAAATATTTACCACATTTTAAAAATTGGGTTGTGTATATTCTTATCATGGAGTCATAAGACATTCATAGATACTTTGGATACATGTCTTTTGTCAGGTATGTGTTGTGAACAGTTTCTCTCTTTCCATACATGCTATTTTATTTTCTTAATGGTGTCTTTTTTGTGATGAATTTTTAATCTTAAGAAGCCTGACATATCAATCTCTTTTCTTTTATAGTTAGTATTTTCTATGTTTTATCTGACAAAGGGCTAATATCCAGAATCTACAAAGAACTTAAACAAATTTACAACAAAAAAAGCAAATAACCCCATCAAAAAGTTGGCAAAGGATGTGAACAGACATTTCTCAAAAGAAGACATTTATGCAGCCAACAAACATATGAAAAAAAGCTCATCATCACTGGTCATTAGAGAAATGCAAATCAAAATAACAATGAGATACCATCTCATGCCAGTTAGAATGGCAATAATTAAAAAGTAAGCAAGCAACAGATGCTGGAGAGGAAGTGGACAAATAGGAACACTTTTACACTCTTGGTGGGAGTGTAAATTAGTTCAACCATTGTGGAAGACAGTGTGGAAATTCCTCAAGGGTCTAGAACCAGAAATACCATTTGACCCAGCAATCCCATTAGTGGGTATATACCCAAAGGATTATAAATCTTTCTACTATGAAGACAAATGCACATGTATGTTTACTGCGCACTGTTCACAATAGCAAAGACTTGGAACCAACCTAAATGCCTATCAATGATAGACTGGATAAAGAAAATGTGGCACATAAACATCATAGATTATTACGCAGCCATAAAAAAGGATGAGTTCATGTCCTTTGCAGGGACATGGATGAAGCTGGAAACCAGCATTCTCAGCAAACTAACACAGGAACAGAAGACCAAACACCACATGTTCTCACTCATAAGTGGGAGTTGAACAATGAGAACACATGGACACAGGGAGGGGATCATCACACAGTGGGGCCTGTTGGGGGCTAGGGGGCTAGGGGAGGGATAGCATTAGGATAAATACCTAATGTAGGTGACGGGTTGATAGGTGCAGCAAACCACCATGGCACGTGTATACCTATGTAACAAACCTGCAAGTTCTGCACCTGTATCCAGAACTTTAAGTATAAATAATAATAATAATAAAGAAATTGGGCCAACCCTGAGGTAAGAAGATTTTATCCTATTTTTAAAATGTAAAGTCCTGTAATTTTAGTTTTTAAATTATTTTTCCCAGTAATGTTTCTTTTCTTGGCATCTTGGAGTATCATTTTATGAATAGGTAGCTTATTATTCAGCTGAAGATGCGAGAGGGCCCCAATGCAGATGTCTGGAGCCCTTTCTCTGTGTTACTCCATTTTCTCAGTAGGCTGCTTAACAATGTCCAGCCATTGCTGGCCCCTTGAGCTTCAGCCTTTGTCTTTTCAACTTGGCTCTGCTTGAGTTGAGTTTGCGCTCCCTATGCCGTAGTCATTAAAGTTCCTAGGTAGAAGGCTCATATTCTGACCTTTGTAATCCTCTTCAGGATCACATCTGAAAACTTTTCCTTTGTATGTTTTCCCAGTTTTTTACATGTTCACAGTGGGAAGTGAGGTCTAGTTTTATTAACTCCATCGTAGCCACAAGTAGAAATCCTGTTATGATTTTTGGCCACTCAGGCAAGTGAGATCATAAACAAAATACATAAAATATATGCTAGGAAAAGCAATAGATACTCAAAATCAGTTGATTTTCCCCAATTTTTGCATTTCTAAATGAAAATCAGCAGTTTTATTTGATACAAATAATCTGGAGACTTCAGGATGTTTCCAGTAAATTATTTAAAATATTAAAAGATAAGACATTTATATTTAAAACTATATTGAGCCTTTATGTTAAAAGAAATAAAGCTGTGTGAATTCTAGCATGTGCAATAGTACCAGAGAGCAATTTACTTATTCTTCAAATAGTATTAATTTTCACATAAACTTTTCCATAGTCAACATTATGATAAAAAAAATATTAGGGCTGGCATTGGTTATTAGCTTTCCTTCACATGATGTAAGAAGGCATCCTGTGGTTAGCATAAGATTTGAGGCAAGATTGTTGCTTCTGGTTAAAAAAATAAAATGGGAGAAAACAGTTGCAAACTATAAATCTGATAAGTAGTTAATATACAAATAAATAAGGTCTCAAACAACTCAATAGCAAGAACACAAATAATTGAAAAATGGGCAAAGAACTTGAACAGTAATTTTTCAACAGAAGACATGCAAATGGCCAGTAGGTACATGAAAAATGTTCAACATCACCAATCATCAGGAAAAGGTAAATTAAAACTACAATGAGAAATCACTTCACATCTGTTAGAATAGCTTTTATAAAAAAGATGAAAGAGAAGTGTTGGCAAGGATTTGGAGAAAAAGTAACTCTTGTACATTGTGGTGGGAATATAAATTAGTACAACCATTACGTAAAATTGTACATAGTTTCCTCAAGAAACTAAAAATAAAACTGACATTTGATCCAGCAATCTCACTTCTGCATGTATATTTAAAGGAATTGAAATCAGTATGTCAAACAGATATCTACATTCTCGTGTTCATTGCAGTATTACTCACAGTAGCCAAGATATGGAATTAAACTAAATGTTCATCAGTGGATGAATGGATAAAGAAAAAGTGGTATATACGTACACACACAGTGAAATACTATTCAGCCTTTAAAAAGAAGAAAATTCTGTCATTTTTGACAACATGGGTGAACCTGAAGGACATTGGGCTAAGTGAAATAAGCAGACACAGAAAGACAAATGCCACATGATCTCACTTATCTTTATAATCTAAGAGTTGAAGTCACAGAAGCAGAGAGCCTAGAGTGGTGGTCACAGGGGCTGGAGGGGGGAAGGGGAAGAAGGGGAAGGGAATGGGGAATTGCTGGGCAAAGGGTACAAAGATTCAGATAGGCAGGAAGAGTAAGTTTTGCCATATCTTGTACAGCCAGGTGACTATAATCAATAGTAAGTATTGTATATTTCAAAATAACTAAGAGATTTTAGATAACTAATTTCAGATGTCTCACCATAAAAATGATAGGTAATGAGGTGATGGATATGTTAATTAGCTTGGTTTAATTATTTCCCATTATATATATATAAAACAAAACATCACAATGTACTCCATAAATGTATACAATTATGACTTGTGAATGGAAAATAATACAGATAAATAAAAAAGTCTGACATGTAGAAGAGAATGGATGTTAGTGGGGAAAAAAGAGAATAGTGTAAGAAGGTTTTCCACATATGTATTTATGACTGCCTGCTCACTCAAAGGATTCTGATGAATTTATTAATTTTAAAAATTAACCACCTAATTGAATCTCACACCGGTTTTTATGACTTTTTCTCACCACAATTTGACTGTAAGCATCTGAGTATAATTTTTATATTATGCAGAAATGGTTGAATTTTTAAGCATCTATTTCTTTTTATCATTTGCTTTCCTCTGTCCACTCAGTTAATTTAGCCTCTTTGCAAGCATGTGAATTTTTCAGGCCATAATGGTAGCATAGATTATGTGAATGATGAAGTGTTTACCAAAGTCTCTTCCAAACATCCATGGTTCCATTCTGCCTAGATTTATGACACACAAAAAATAATACTTATTAATTATGGTGACTAGGATCAGCTAAGGACTTACACAGTGAGCCAGTAGTAATAACTACTTTGTATTGAACATATGTGTATGGTGGGTGCTTTGCCTCCATTATCTGTGTTGTGAAGTAAGCATTGTTATGTCACATTTGCAGGTGAGTACTTGGAGAGTGGCTGAAACTAGGACTCAAACTCAGATTTATCTTACTCCAATACCCATGGTCTTTGATTGCACCACATTGCCACCTGTTTTACCTAAGTTCTGGTGGATATACCTCAATGCTAGTGGATTATCTTAAAGGGTATAAGAGACTCACATGAAGAAAGCTATTAAACACTGATATATTTCCAAGAAATTTTTTTCAAGCCTTGAAGAGGGAGGTCTTGAGATACAGAGGGGCTTCTTCGTCATACACAATGCATGGAAGGAGAAAAAGTGGCACAACTCCACTTCAAGCATTCCACTGTATCTGGGACTGTCCCCTCGTTCCTCTAACACCATTAGCTTCTGCCTTCCAATTGCATTTATAGTCAGTATTATATGCTCCTAGATACAGATTGAAATTGCCAGGCAATGAATCATGAATACATCACTAAGAGCTTATACTGCTTCGCTAAAATATGCTTTGCTCTTTTCTGTTACTAGTACCTGAGATCAAGTGTTGCTTTAATGCCATTTCACTATCTTAAAATAGAAGAAATATATTAGAACATTGACAAAAATATGTTCCATTTCCAGATGAGCTACTATGATTTTGGACTAGTCACTAAAAATTCTCCTTCCATCTCTACATTTCAAATATGAAAATAGTAATAATTCTCCTGCTCCAGCTGAATGATGTGTCTAGGTAAATAGTAACTTGAAGAACTAGGAACGCCTTTGATAGAATTTTAAAGAAACAAGTTAATATAGACTATTCTGCCCCGGAAAGTGTAGGATCTGAGTTCTTACCTCTACAAACAATTTGGATTAAAAAATACAAAATTATTGGACCCATGAGACGTAATGGGAGGATAATAACAAGACGAGAGGAGAGATTGAGGTATTTTATAGTCCAAATAGGGCATGTGAAGATTCCTTGAGGTATCCAGGCCTCACTGTTCCATGTTCTCTACTGTCATAGACACTATTCCTTGCTAATGTTATATTTCCCACTTGGAGACAAAGGTAAAAACATTGTTGTTTAAAAAATCACATTATTCAGAGCATGTTTTCATTGAATCTGTATAGACCTCCTTGCCTCTACAGTTCCCTAATAACATATGTAACGATGCTTTGCTCCAATGGGGGCTTCCAATGACCCTAAAGTTGTTACTACCCTGACTTGACAATGACCACATGCAGAAAAACATGAATGGCAATTTATTTTATGGTCAATTTAAATTTACCCATCAGAATTTTATCATAAAAAGTTAGAAAACTTCATCTTCCAACCATGCATTCCCTTGAACTTTTTAGGCTGTAATCACCAAATTCTGAAAAGCGATCTCTTTCAGTGTCCAGGAACCCTTTCTTACTTACCACCAGTGAGGAGACTAGGCTTGATCACTTGCCCGTGGTCAAGCAAGAAGGGAGGTCTTTTCTCGAGGAATGCCCATTCCTGTCCAGCTAGAGGGAGAGCACAATGGCAACACATAAGTGGCTTTGAGAGGATACTAATTAGGATCGCTTGATATGTGGTGCAGAGCCCATGGAGTTGTGGATATCTGCCCTGGATGCCAGCAGCATGGGTATGGGGTAAGGCTCACCCCAGCAACTCTTGGGTGCTGTGTCTAGGAGCCAGCATCTGGCCACAACATGGGCATATGAGAGACCCTGCATGAGCCACAGTAACTCACCTCTGCTCAACTCAAATCCAAGGGTTGGCTATGGACCCTCAGTAGGCTAGAGCCCTGAACTGCTCTGGTCCATGTACCACGTGGGTATGAGTCACTCAATGCCACCGTGTCAGCACCGGTTTTGAGGGTTAAGTAAATGCCAGGAAAATAAAGCAAGACTCGCAAAAAGATGATCCTATGGGCATGGGTCCGGGGGACCCTTGCGCCATCAGTTTGACCTTACATGCCAGGTAGAGGGGTCACAGCATGCAGGAAAGGAAGAAATGTGGCCATGCCCTAGGTGGGTCTCAGGCAGGGTGTGGAGCACAACAGCAAAATGGGGCACCACTAGCTTTGCTGAGAACCACCCACAGAAGGGGGACTTGGAAAATTTCAAGGTAGGCACTTATGGAGACCAGGATCCACATAGGACGAGGTCCAGGCTCCATTCACATTGCTGGCCAGGCTATCCTGGTCACTGGAGGAGGAGGTAGAAATTTCAGAAGAAGGTAACTCTCAGTGATGGGGGAACCCAATGCCTAGGCCTAAGGTGGATACTGCAGACAAAGTCCAAAAGTCCTATAGAGCCAGAACCAAATTACATACACCAAGTAGGCAGGCAAATCCCCTCTATGACAGGCCACTAGGTAGCATTTTCAACAGTGACTGAGTGTCACTGATTTTTACTCTGTCTTCCCCTTCTAATCTTCCCACCACCTTGAGAGAGAGAGCATGGGGAATTCATATAACAGTTCATATAAATAAGAGATATAGTTCTTATATGACAAGTTCTTTTGTTGATCACCATGAGGACCTCTAGGAGAACCTTAAAAATGCTAGTCACAACCACACTAATGGAATAGTTTTCAAGAATGAGAGGGTATTGGAAATGTTCATATATTTGATCTAGTTTCATCAATGCAGTTTGACCTGACCTTTACTTTTTTCCTTTGTCTTATACCAAATTTAGTCTGAATCAGGCTTTGTAAATTATACTGGCAACATAATAAAGGGAGAAATGAGGTGAAATGGCACTGGCAAGCTGATCTTCAGGATTTCTTTTGTGTTCTTAGCATTATAACATAGGGCCCCATATAATGTCCTTAATGTAACTATACTAGAATGAAATTATTTCCTGGAAGGCACCCCTAAATTGCCGCTTTAAAATCAAAGCTTTAAATGTACTAACACAGTTACCTTTAATCCTAGATTTGTAAAAATGAAATTAGAATTTTTATTATTTTGTGGAATATTAATTTTCTATGAGCTTATATAAACTATAAAGATGTGCTTCAGAAATAAACGATGAAGGTAGAAATTAAGGACTTTTCTCAACATGATTTCACTTTTATTGTCACGACAGTATAAAATGAAGTTCTTCAACAGTTATATGTGTTGCAGTTTTCTCCCAGTTTGTGGCTTTTCCTTTCTCTCTCTTTATGGTGTCTTTGATGAACAAAAAATGTATACATTTTAATTTTTAATGTAATCAAAATATATCAATCTTTTCTTTTATATACTGAACTTCTGTATACTAAGAAATCATTCTTACCCAGAGACCATAAAGAAATTTTCCTACATCTCCTATATATACGTAAGTATATATCTCATATATATACATAACATATACTTACATATATAGGGGATGTAGGATTATATATATATATTCATATATTATATATTTTATATAATATATATTATATATAATATCTAATATATATTACTTATATAATATATATTTTATTATATAAATAAATTATCCTAGATCCTCCTCTCCCCTCTCTCTCTCTCTCTCTATAGGACATAAATTAGAATATTAATAAATTAACATAATTATTGTATTAATACTTATATGTAATATATAATAATTATATATAGTAATTATTAATATCCTTTCTAGACAGAATATTTAAAATTAATGTTATAAACATATGTATGTTTAATTATGACATTTAATATTATATTGTTACATTAGCATTATATATTTATATAATTAAACATTTATATGTTTAATTATAATGTTACATGTTTATATAATTAAACATATATGTTTGATTATAGCATTATATATAATATGTAACATTATATATGTGTTTAATTATAACATTATATATTATATATAACATTTTTTATATATAGATGAGGAAAAAGACATAAATAAATTATCCTATCTCCTCCTATACATATGTTTCAAAGATTTGCCTTCTACAGTGGAAGTCCTTATTCTTTCTGAAATTAAGTTTGTGACTGGTATGAGGGAGGAAATTATTTCAGTTTTTTAAAAAATACCATTTATGTAACCAATTTTCTAATTGCAATTTTGTTGACTCATCCATTGTTTCCCCCATTGACATACGGCATAAACTTCCATGTTTAGTCTTTTGTTTGAAATACTGGTCTGTTGCTGGGTTCTCTTTTCTATCATGCTGATCTTTTGATCTATCCTGTACCAACATCACAAGGTCGCAATTGCTATAACTTTGTAATAAGTCTCAATTCTGGCAGAGATGGTTCTCCCTATATCCTCTTATTCTAGAAATGTGTTGTGGAGGTGTGCTCCAGTGCTATGTATTAGGGTTTCCCTCTGTCACAGTGTCACTTCAGCAAGTTACCTACCTTCTCTGGGTTCCAGTTTGGTATCTGCAAGACAGGATGAGAAAATAATAGAACTTATTGTGTATGCTTTCTCTGATTGAATAAATTAATAACTGTATAACACTTAGAATGGTTCCTGACAGTAAGTACCACATACTTATTTGTTACTATATCATTATTATTATTATTATTTACAAGTATCTTCACTGTTAATTTTCAGTTTGCTCACCCACATAAATTTTAGAATCAGCTTGACAAGTTCTGTGAAAACATCTTGTTCTGATTCTTTGTCATTGTACTGAGACTATAAAATAAATAGAACTGAAATCATTATGCTATTTATTCTCTCCCTATATGAACACTGTATGTTTCTCCAATTATTTAGGTAATATCTTCAAAAAATTATTTAATTTCCTAAATAAAGTATTAACTTCTCTTATGAATTCTTTAAGGTTTTCTATGGAGAATATTTTGCATGTTAAATGTTAAAGTTTTGTATCTTCCTGTACAAACCTTGAATCTTATATCCATTTGTATTTGTGATTATTGTTATACTCTTGTTATTATTAATGCTGAGAGCAATGTGGAATAGTAATGGGGAGAGTGAGCATGTCTCCTTGTATTCATTGGAACTAAAACCTTCTATTATTTCAGTGTTGAGTCTGATATATACTATCACTTTTCTGTTTTGTTCATTTTTTATAGATACCCCTTTTTTTTACAATAAGGAACTTCCATTACATGCTGAGTTCTCTTTTTATTATAAATTATGTAAAATTTATCAAATTTTTTCTACATAGTAGATCTTATATTGAGAAGATCATATGATTTTCCTTTTTTAAATCTGCAATGCAATAAATTTTATTAGTAAATGAATCTTTAAAAGAGATTTTCTGATATTGAAACAATCTTGCATTCCTAGAATAAATATATCTTGGCCATGATGTGTCATGTCATGTATACATTGTTAATTCTTTCATACATTGTTAATATTACTAGGATTTTACATCATTGTTTGCTAGTGAAATTGGCTCATGAGACTCCTTTCTTATGTTTTGTTCTTCTTAGCTTTGGGTGAGAACTTTATACTAGTCTTAATAAAGAGTTGGGCAGTTTTATTTATTTGCCTTTGCACTTAAAATATTTTATTGAGGCTTTTAATTGTTTAATTTATGTTCTTTAAATATATGGTAAAAGTCACATGTAAACCCATCTGGAATTGATATTTTCTTTGTGTAAAGACTTCTAATTACTGATTGAATGTATCATTTGGATTTCAATTTCTTCCTGAGAAGGTTTAATTTATTTTTATCTTTCTAGGAAATTTCTCATTTTATCCCAATTTCTAAATCAATGGGAATATGTTATTTCAGATATCCTCTTATTCTTTTTAATCTCTTTTCAATCTGTTTCTATACTCCCTTTTTATCCTTAATATTATTTGCTGTTTATTGTTGCCTTTTGCATTTTTTCTTGATTAATCTTTATAGAGGTTTTGTTTCAAACAACAAACTTTTAGCTTTATCCCCTTGATTATATCTTTCTTTTCCATTGTATTAACTTCTGCCATGATTTAATTAATGTTTCTTTCCCTCTAGTTTCCTTAGGCTTATTCTGTTCTCTCTCCATCTACTTCAGATAAATACTATTGTCATTTAATTTCAGTTGTGTTTCATTTCCAATATAAATATTTAAGTTTACAACTTTTTCTCTAAGTACTGTTTCAGCTATGTCTCAAATTCTGATACGCAATAATTTATCATTCCGTTATTTGTGTTTTAATGTGTTTATATTCACAGATTATGTAGAAGTGTCTATAGATATAATAATTAAGTGGGTCACTCAGACAGGACTACCAATGAACCAGACCCTTCAGGATTGGGCTGTTGTAGTTTGCCATTGACCTTAATAATAGGGCATGGTAATACTAAGAGACTAAGAGATACCCTAATGGATCTTCCATATTCCATGCATGCTTTTTCTTACCTCCGTTGTGGAGTAGTAGATGGATTTCATCTTGATAGTCCGAGTCAGTCACCCCAGCCAACATTGTAACTCCCTTCTCAGCCTGCTGATTTAAAGGTAGAAGGAGCCAAAAGTGTCCAGGTGGCAATCTTAACTTCCAGTTTAAAGGGATTGTTGTTGTGTCTCCTGGTGGCAGTGTTCCTCCCTCTGCAACTAAGACCCCTAGGACAGCAGAACGTAATGTCGCAGGAACAGGAAGCAAAAATTTTTCTTGTGGATCACGAGAAGTGATGGTGAGTGGTGCCACTTCCACTTCCACCCCTTGATTCCTGGACCCGTGAATCCTAGCTATGGGAGAAACAGTACCATATATTGGATGCTGATCCAGAGCATACATGGCCTTCTGAAGAACTTTGCCCCAGCCCTCCACAGTATTGTTGCCTAGTTGGCATTGCAATTGTGATTTCAACTGGCCTGTCCACCATTCTATCAATCTAACTACTTCAGAATGATGGGGAACATGGTAAGACCAGTAAATTCCATGAGCATGAGCCCACTGCCACACTTCTTTAGCAGTAAAGTGAGTGCCTTGGTCAGAGGCAATGCTGTGTGGAATACAATGATGATGGATAATGCATTCAGTGAGTCCACGGATGGTAGTCTTGGCAGAAGTATTGCATGCAGAACAGGCAAATCCATATCCAGAGTTAGTGTCTATTCCAGTGAGGACAAACCTCTACCCTTTCCATTACAGAAGAGGTCCAATATAATCAATCTGCCACCAGAGAGCTGGCTGATCACCCCAAGGAATGGTGCCATATCGAGGGCTCAGTGTTGGTCTTTGCTGCTGGCAAATTGGGCACTCAGCCGTGGCCATACCCAGATCAGCCTTGGTGAGTGGAATTCCATGTTGCTGAGACCATGTGTAACCACCATCCTTGCCACTACGGCCACTTTGTTCATGGGTACATTGGGCAATGACAAGGGAGACTGGGGAAAGAGGCTGAGTGGTGTCCACAGAACAGGTCATCCTATCCACTTGATTATTAAAATCCTCCTCTGCTGAGGTTACCCACTGGCAAGCACTCACATGGGATACAAGTACCTTCACAGTTTTGGACCACTCAGAGAGGTCCATCCACATACCTCTTCCCCAAATTTCTTTGTCACCAATTTTCCAATCATGCTTCTTCCAAGTCCCTGACCATCCAGCCAAACCACTGGCTACAGCCCATGAATCAGTATATAGTCACACATATGGTCATTTCTCCTTCCATGCAAAGTGCACAACCAGGTGGACAGCTTAAAGTTCTGTCCACTGGGAAGATTTCCTTTCACCACTGTCCTTAAGGGATGTCCTAGAAAGGGGCTGTGGTGCTGCAGCTGTCCACTTTCAGGTGGTGCCTGCATATCATGCAGAACCATCTGTGAACCAGGCCAGAGTCTTCTCTTCCTTTGTCAACTGATCATAGGGAACATTCCATAAGGCCATTGGTGCAGGCTGGGGGAGAGAAGGCAGGGCAGCAAGAGTAGCAACCATGGGCATTTGAGCCACTTCCTCATGTAACTTGTGCCTTCAGGACCTGCTCAAGCCCAATCACAAATATACCACTTCCATTTGATGATGGAATGCTGCTATGCATGACCCACTTTATGGCTAGATGGGTCAGAAAGCACCCACTTCATGATAGGCAGTTCAGGTCACATGGTGACTTGATGACTCATAGTCAAAATTCAGTTTCCACCAAAGCCCAGTGACAGGCCAAGAGCTATCTCTCAAAAAGAGAGTAGTTATCTTCAGAAGATGGCATGACCTTGCTCCAATATCCTAGAGACCTCCACCGTGATTCACCTATGGGGGCCTACCAAAGGCTCCAGTCAGCATTCCTGTCTGCCACTGACACCTCAAGTACCATTGGATCTGCTAGTTTATGTGGCCCAAGTGGCAGACCAGCTTGCACGGCAGCCTGGACCTGTTGCAGAGCCTTCTCCTGTTCTGGACCCCACTCAAAACTGGCAGTCTTTTGAGTCACTTGATAAGTGGACTGGAGTAACACACCCAAATGGGAAATGTGTTGCATCCAAAATGTAAATAGGCCCACTAGACGTCATGGCTCTTTCTTGGTTGTAGGAGGGGCCAAATGCAACAACTTATCCTTCACGTTAGAAGGAATGTTTCAACAGGCACCACACCATTGGACCCCTAGAAATTTTACTGAGGTAGAAGGTCCTTGAATTTTAGTTGGATTTATTTCCCATCCTCTGGCACTCAAATGTCTCACCAGTAAGTCCAGTGTGTTTGCTACTTCCTGCTCACTGAATCCAATCAGCAAAATGTCATCAATGTAATGGACAAGTGTGATATCTTGCAAAAGTGAAAAGCCATCCAGGTCTCTCCAAATAAGATTATGACATAAAGCTAGAGAGTTGATATACCCCTGAGGTAGGACAGTAAAGGCATATTGCTGGCCTTGCCTGCTGAAGGCAAATTGCTTCTCGTGGGCCTTATGGACAGGAAGGGAGAAAAAGGCATTTGCCAAGTCCATGGCTGCATACTAGGTGCCAGGAGATGTGTTAATTTGCTCAAGCAATGAAACCACATCTGGTACAGCAGCTGCAATTGGAGTCACCACTTGGTTAAGCTTCTAATAATCCACTGTCATTCTCCAAGATCCATCTGTCTTTTGCACAGGCCAAATGGGAGAGTTGAAAGGGGATGTGGTGGCAATCACCACCCCTGTGTCTTTCAAGTCCTTGATGGTATCACTAATCTCCACAATCCCTCCAGGGATGTGATATTGGTTTTGATTTACTATTTTCCTAGGTAGAGACAGCTCTACTGCCTTCTGTTCAGCCTTTCCCACCATCATAGTCCTCAGCCTACCAGTCAGGGAGCCAGCATGGGGGCTGTGCCAGCTGTTAAGTATGTCTATGCCAATTATGCATTCTGGCACTGGGGAAATGACTACAGGATGAGTCTGGGAGCCACTGGAATACGTGTATGTCAGACCTGAGCTAAAACTCCCCATAAGCCTCTATTTTAACAGGAAAACCACGATGACATTTTGGGTCCCCTAGAATTAACATCAACTCAGAGCCGGTGTCCAGTAGTCCCTGAAATGACTGATAATTTCCATTTCCCTAGTGCACAGTTACCCTGGTAAAAGGCCAGAGGTCTGCTTGGGGAAGGGTGGGAGAAAGATTAATAGCATAAATGGTCGGTAGTGTAGTGGGGTCCTTCCTCAATGGGACTGGCCTGCCCTTCATTCAAGGGGTTCTGGGTCTGTAAAATGGCTCAACTCTGGAAATTAATTGAAGGGCTGTGATTCTCTGTTTTTATAATTTGAATTAGTCTTTTGTCCATTCAACCTAGAAGTTTTCTGCTTATATAAATTAAGTAGGAATGCAGTAGTCTCCCTATCAATTTCACTTCTAGGAACACCATGATTAATTAGCCAATGCCAGAGCTCTACATGAGTCAGACTATTCTGATTGCTGCTTTGTCTCTGCTGTCCATTAAAGTTGCTATACCCATCTTGCCTTTGACCGTTGAGTACCTCCACTTGGCCCCTGCCACCTTGGGATCTATATATTCCCATTATATTTAAATTTTGTAGTTGAGTGACTGTAATTCCCACTGTTCGATCTGTCATACAGAGAAGAGTGATTACAAGGCTCTTCAAAGATGCAGGTCCTGCCCTCACAAATCTATTTCACAAGGCATTGGTCAAGGGTATATCTTCTGAACCCTTCCTGTGGGAATGAGTAAGTCTAAAGTGACTAATCCACTACAGCATCTCAATCTCCCTAAGCCTTTGGATCCCTTCCTCTCCATTAAACTGAGAAAGACCAGGCATTTCTAGCTTACTCACAGCGGGCCATCTTTCAATCCATATTTCAGCCAACCAAGCAAATAAACTGTTAGAAACTTTTTTTTAACTCCCCAAGCTGCAGCATTAAATGCAGAGTCCCTACTTAGTGGGCTCAAATCAATAAATTCAGCCTGATCCAACACTATGTTTCTTCCACCATTATCCCACACCCTTAAAATCCATTCCCATACCTGTTCTCCATATTTCTGTATATATAAATTACAAAACTCAAGCAGTACTTTTCAAGTGTAGCACATGTCCTCATGGGTCACACTCAACCTCACCTCTAGGTTCCTGCTGGGACTTTAGTTATAAGTTTAGAAGCAAATAGGGGTGTTGGGGGTTGTTCTTGCAGAGAATCAACATTATCTTGCCTGGCAAATGCCTCAGGGGAGGTCATCACTGTTGCTTCAGGTAGCACAGAGTTTATCTCCTCAGACAAAGGTGGAAATGCTGATGGCAGCATGTGTTGGGGAGGGGATGTAGCCACTACTGGGGATGGGGCAGCTGTTTCTTCTGGCAAAAAAAGTTTGATCAGCATTTACAAACTCAGTGTCCCCAGCCTCATCAGGGTCCTCCCATATGTCCCTATTCCAAAATCCAGGTTTTCATTCTTTTCCAATCAATGGCCTCATTTTAACAGTAGACACCTGACAAGGCCGTGCATGCACTTTGTGTTCCAGGTCAGCCACTCACATAATAGGAGCTTGTGCCTGTCTTTCCACAACTTCAGCTCTTTCTCTACAGGAGATAGGACTCTTACTCAGGGCAGTCCTAGCAGATTTGAGGCTCAGTATTTGCTTCTGAAGCTGAAAAATAGAATCCCTGAGTTCATAATTTTCTTTCATCAATTTGTCCGCTGAACTTAGGAGCAACCAACCAGCTTCATTGTGTTTCTTGGTTCTCCGCATATGGTCAAATGTATTATGTATAGAGTCACTAAACTTTCTTGCCTCTCACAAGTGGCGTATCAGGATCGTCAAATGCATTTATTTTTCATAACTCTCTGAACAGTTCATGCCAAGGACTATCAGTGTTCTCTATATTATTAGAAGTAGAGTCCTTAGCATTTTTGGGTTTAATCATATTAAGCAGCCAACTCCAGAAACCCCCAAGCCAATGAAAGAACACCATTCTTAATATTCTGTTCCTCTAGAGCCAGTCCTGGTATGAAAATCAGTATTGGTTAGGGTTCTCTAGAGGGACAGAACTCATATATATATATATGGATACAATTATAGAATATGAAAATAATCAGTTTAAAATATTTAAGAAATAAAGATGGCATTAAAATATGACAAAGAAAAACTCGATTGACAAAATTGACAAGACATTTGAAAATGAAACCTAAGAGACACTCAGAAAAAAATCCCAAATATTGTAGTAAAAACTAATTGGATATACTAATCTGGAATTTAGAAAGAGATGAAAAGAGAAAAGAGAAAATATATATATATATATATATATATATATATATATATATATATATATGAGTTTATTAAGTATTAACTTACATAATACAAGGTCCCAGAATAGGCCATCTGGAAACTGAGGAGCATGGAGAGGCAGTCTAAGTCCCCAAACTGAAGAACTTGCAGTCCGATGTTAAGGGGAGGAAGCATCCAGCATGAGAGAGATATAGGCTGGGAGGCTAGGCCAGTCTGGTCTTTTCACATTTTTCTGCCTGCTTTATATTCTATCCATGCTGGCAGCTGATCAGATGGTGCCCACCCAGATTAAGGGTGGGTCAGCCTTTCCCAGCCCACTGATTCAAATGTTAATCTCCTTTGGCAACACCCTCACAGACACACCCAGGATCAATACTTTGCATCCTGCAATCCAATCAATTTGGCACTCAGTTTTAACCATCACACATCATTATTGACACATTTGGACACATTTCTTTTTTTTTCTTTTTCTTTCTTTTTTTGGGGGGGCGGATAGCTTCTCACTCCATCACCCAGGTTAGAGTGCAGTGGCATTATCCTGGCTCACTGTAGCCTCAACCTTCTGGACTCAGGTGATCCTTTCACCTCAGCCTCCTGAGTAGCTGGGACTATAGGACAGACAAGCCTTTTTTTTTTTTTCTTCGTAGAGACAGGGTTTCACTATATTGCCCAGGCTGGTCTTGACCTCCTGGGCTCAAGAAATCCACCTGCCACGGGATTCTCAAAGTGCTGGGATTACAAGTGCGAGCCACTGTGCCTGGCCTGGACACATTTCTGTCTTCTAATTAGCATTTCTTTTTAATTACTTTTTCTCATTTTCTTTATATTTATTCTCTTCTTTCTTAATTATTTGGATTGAGTTTGTTGGTTTGTTCATTTATTTTTCTTCTAATGCTATTTCCTTCCTCTCTACTAAATTGGAAGCTACATATTTGGTTTGTATTTTTATATGGCCATCTTCAAACTTTCTACATGCACATTTACCTCAACAATATCTAATGTTATTAATATAGTTTCTCTTCTTTCAAATGATACTAGGATTTTCAATACTAGTACTTAAAATCTGATTATTTCTCTCCTGACTCATATGCCAATAATGTCTATGATTTCGGTTACATATTGTTGTTCTTTTGTATATACTCAGTGCTTCTTTCTTACCCCTCAATTCTTCCTGCATCTTAGATATTCTATCCTTATTTTCTTATATCATTTAGAAGAAGTTTAGTAGTTGTTATGGTTGGAATTGTATCTCACAAAAAGATATGTGAAAGATGTAACCAGTATTATCTCAGATGTAATTAGTTAATATAAGGCCATAATGTAGTCAGATAAGTCCTTAATCCAATATGACTGGTTCCTCATAAGAAGAGGAGACACGACACACACACACACACACAGACACACACACACACACACGGGGAGATACCATGTGTTGATGGAGATACAGATGCACATTATGCAGCTACAAGCCAAGAAATGGGAAAGACTGCTGGCAAACCATCAGGAGCAAGGAAGAGGCAAGGTTCTCCCTAGGTTCTCCCCTCCAGGTTTCAGATAGAGCATAGCCCTGTGAACACCTTGAATTTTGAATTCTATCCTCCAAAACCCTGAGACAATGAGTTTTTGTTGTTTTAAGCCACCTGGTCTGTGGTACTTCATTACAGCAGCCCCAGGAAAATAATACAGTAGTCAACTATCTCAATTATTACATGTCTGAAAGTTCCTTTATTATGCCCTTATTCTCAAAAGATAGTTTTACTGGGTATAGAATTCTATTCACTGCTATTTTATTCATATTAAATATTGATTAGTCTCCTCTTAGTCTAGTTATCATTACCTTTAAGCAAATCTACATTTTTCTTCTGTATCTATTTAAATTTTTTATTCTTGTCATTCTTAAGTGTCACTCTGATGTGGCTAGGTTTGAATCCCTTTTTATTTATTCAGCTTAGAATCCACTGAGCTTTCTATATATTAGGGCTAATATCTACATCAGTGCTGAAAATTCTCATCATGTATCTCTGCTCTCCTTCTTTATGCTGTATCTTCTTCTGGAATTTCCATGAGGCCTATCCCAGACGTATTCCTCCAGCTTCTGCATCACCTGAGCTCTCTCACATAGTTCCTCCTTCCTTGTCATTTTTGATGCCACTTAAGTAATTTTCTCACCTCTGCTTCCTGCCCAATTTTCTCTTTTCATCTCTTTCTAAATTCTAGATTAGTATATCCAATTAGTTTTTACTACAATATTTGGGATTTTTTTCTGAGTGTCTCTTAGGTTTCATTTTCAAATGTCTTGTCAATTTTGTCAATCGAGTTTTTCTTTGTCATATTTTAATGCCATCTTCTATTTCTTATTTTAAACTGATTATTTTCATATTCTATAATTGTATCCTTTTAATAATTTTCATTCAGTAAATTATTAAATAATAATTTAATAAATCCAAGCACCTTCCTTGTACCAGGCTCTTGTCTAGGCACTTGGAAAACATTAGCAAAGAATAAAATATGAAAGTTCATGCCTTCATGGAGCTAACAAGCCAGTAAAGGGAGGAAAACAATACATAATTTTATATTAGCAGACAATAAGTTCTGTAACAGAAAGCAAATAGCAGAGAAAGCAGGACTGAGAGTGCTGGTAGGGTTTGAGCTGGGCTGCAATTTTAGATAAGGTTCTGAGAGAAGAAGTCTTACCGGAAGGACATTAGGGGATCTCACAATTGATATCTGGAAGAAGAGAGTTCAAGATAAAGGAATAGATAGTGAAAAAATCCTAAGCCACGTTTGAGGAACAGAAGACCAGCATGACTAAAGTATAGGAAGCAAGCAGGGAGAGTTGTATGAGATAAAGTCAGAAAAGGACCAGGATTCAGGTAAAATTTTGTTTTTCATTGTGAGTCAAATAGGAAGCCACTGGAAGATTTTGAACATTGGAAGACATGATCTGATTCATGTTTTAAAAAGTCTTTATAGCTGATATTCAGATAGTCACCCAAAAAGGGGCAGTGATAGAACTAGATACTTTAGGAGCCTTATAATAATTCAAATAACAAATATTGATACCTTAGTATTGGAAGTGGTAAGAAGTATTTGGATCCTGGTATTTTGGGCTAATAGAAGTGAACTCTGACATACCAAGAGGCATAAAAGATTATTCCAAGATTTGGGGCCTAAGTAACTGAAAGTATGGAGGTTCTGTAAACAAAGATGGAGCGAGTACTGTGGGTAGAGCATGTACAGTGTGTAGGGAGGTAGATTATTAAGAAGTAATGCACAATGGACTTTGGGGACACAGGGGGAAAGGATGAGAAAGGGGTGAGGGATGAAAGACTACAAATTTGGTGCAGTGTATACTGCTTGGATGATGGGTGCACCAAAATCTCACAAATCACCACTAAAGAACTTACTCATGTAACCAAACACCACCTGTTCCTCAATAACCTAGGGAAATAAAAAAAATTAAAAATAAAATTCCTGGAAGGAAAAAAAAATGTCAATTTGGAGACTGTTATGATTGCAATTTCTGCTAGACATACAAGTGGAAACGTTGAGTAGGATTGGATATCTGGATCCAATTGGATGTTTCTGGAGTTCAGGAGAAAAACATAGGTTGTGGATATAAACTTGGAAGTCCTTGACATATAAAAGGCATTAAAGTCATAAGCCTGAATGAGATTACCAAGGAAGTGGATGGGAATCAAAAAGAGAAGGGCAAGAAGGCTCATTTGTGCAACATGAAGAAACTGAAGGGCAGAGAAAGAACTGACAGAGCAGCCTAGGAAGGAGAAGTCACTGAGGCAGGAAGGACTGCAGGAGAATGTGTTGTCCTCAAGGGCAAGTACAGAGAGCTTTTCAAAAGAGAAGGAGTGAGAAATTGTGTCAAATGTCATTGTTAAGAATGAAATTCATTCTTTATTGTATTTTATAATGCAGAAGCAGGGATAAAACAGAATTGGATGTATGTATGCTTCTCTCTGTGTGTGTGAGAGAGAAAGAGATATTGGGAGAAAAGACGAGAATTGACAACTTGTTAGAGGAGTTTTGACTCTAAATGGACAGAGAAATAGGGCAGTATCCAGCAAAAAAAAAAAAAATGGAATAAAAAGATTTGTATTTTGTCTTGTGTTTGAGATGAAATAAATGAGAGCATGTTTGTTTGGCTAAATAGAAAGAGAGAAAAAAGAAAGATGTAGGAGTAGGACAGAGAGAAGGAAGTTTACTGGAGCTCCCTGTAAAGGCAGTAAGGGAAGAGACTTAGCACTTTACTGCAACAGGAATGATCGATCAGCTTTAGGTTGGAGCAGGATTAGTTCACTTAAAGCAAAAGATGGGCCTATAGGTGAAACTGTGATTGTGGGCATCTGGAGAAGTTCTCTTTTGGTGGTGACATTAAAAAAAATTTATAAAGTCTGATAGCAGGGAATTTAGAGCTGAGAGGATTTCAAGAGGAAGGGAAACATGATTTGGAAGCAGCAGTGAGGAGCAAGGAGAACATCCTTACAATCTTAAGGTACAAAGGTTTTCAAGGAAAACAACAGCAACAACCACCTCAAGAGATGACAGTGGGGAAGGAGTATCCTCAAGGCTCCTGTTGGAGCGAAATTTTGAAGAGAAAGATCAAGGAAAGTTAATGATGGAGTAGATTTTGTTAAAGGCAGATTATGCCTTCCAAAAAAGCACAGAATTGAGGCAGGATGGGAGAGGGAGGCCTGGCAAGAGATATACAGAGAATTATAGAGTTTACAGTGGAGACAGGGAACTTGAGAGTCTAGGGATCCTTGAGATGAATGACAGGGGAAGGCTAATGGAAGAATAAGATTAGTTCTGACGCCATCAAGTCATGCTGTGGTGGTATGCCTCTGATTACCACAGGGATGACTGGCGCGTTTGGGACCCTCCTTATTGTCACGTGTTAATGTGGTCTGGGAAAGCCAGGTATTTGTTATTTGAGAGTGCGGCTGCTGGAGGTGCAGTTTACTCCCACTGAATAGAAGCTGAGGGCCCCAGAAACCCTTACTTAGCCCTTGGCTAAGGGCAGAATAACATTGCTCATGGTGTTTTTATTTCCACATCTGTCTTAGTGATTTTTTAATATGAACTCATGATACTTGGAGTTTTCTTTGTAGGAATTTGTTTGAGGTCTTTACTTAAAATGCTTTTCTCTAGAGAGGAATTTCTTTTACTTCTACCAGTTACCTGGTTGCACTAACAATCTGAAAGCAGCATTAAAAATTGTATTATGGTAACTGGAATACACAGTTAGTTATATTCCCAACCATAAACCTTTATGAGTACAGATTTGTGGTTAGAAAACCTCAGAGAATGTTTTGCTTTTCTTCTGCTCTACTTGGCCAAGCCTGGAAGAGGCAGTGATGCACACTTCCACTCTTTTTGTGTTAGTTTTCTCTAGATTACCCCTTGAGTCTAACCCTTCAGGAGTTTTCATTTTATGCTGTGATGGGCAATTCACCCTCTCATCCTGCTCAGGCTGCAGGTTCTGTCTCCTGCCTCTGTCGGAGGCTTTCTAAATGCAGGGATCTGCAGGCAAAACCTGGACAAACAATGACTCCAGTGCTCCCTTGCCCTTCTGGGTTCTCATGTTCTATGTTTCTGACCTCCAGGAAATTTCTTTCTTCTATACCAGCTCAGCTATAAACTTAATATTTAACGCACAATATTATTTCTTCATTGATTTTACATGTGCTACACCTAAAGACATTGCTCTGAATGTCTAGTTTGGCCTGTTGCCAGAAATTAAAATCCCATCTTCTTGGTTACAGTAAATATTCTAGACATTAACAAATGGTATATTCAAACAGCAAACACTCATACACTGACCACACAGCTTAAGATAAGACTATATTGCAAACATAGATATTCTCTGATTCCATCTTTCTCCATTTCTTTTTCAGAGTTCACTCCTATCCTGAATGCTGTGTGCTTAATTTCTGTATGTTTGTCTACTTTTACACTATATGTATTGTCCATAAACAATATATTACCCTAATTAATTCTTCTAAAAGTTTATACAAAATTTATATACATGCCATAGTACGATGCCTTCGACAACTTTGTTTCACTGTTACAATTTTACAATTTAGTGGTTTCATTTCAGAGGTATAAAGTATTTCATTGTAGGTTTTTATCTACAATTTATTTATCTACTCTCCTGTTAATACGTATTTAGGCTGCTTTCATGTTTTTCACTGTTACAAACAGTATCACTACAAAGTTTCTTGTATTCACCGTTTGTTGAATTTGTTCCTTTTTCTAGTGTATACATAAAGATAGAATTGTAGGTGCATACCCAATGTCACTAGATAACTTCAGATTGCTCTCTAAACTGATTTTCACAATTTATACTCCCAGTACTTTTTCACAAGTTTTTTGCTATTCAGGTTTCTTCTGTTGTGAACTGTTGTTTAAAATTTTTTAAATTTTGTATTTGGTTGGATTTGTGATTTTACATTTTAATGTGCATTGTCTAAATTCTTGGGAAAGGTGTAGCAATTTACATTCTCGTCAGCAGTGCATGATGAGATTGCTTCTATGCATCCACATGAGTAATTGATATCATTTTGCTTTTTAATTTTTCCTAACCTAATGAGTAAAAAGTGATTTCTCATTGTTGCATTATTTTTGTGTTTTTATTACTAGAGAGGGTTATCTTTCTCTAATTTGTTTCTTTTGTGAATAACCTGTTTATATATAATAAATATTTATCTAATTTGTCTAAACACTCCTACTCAACTAATACATATCATGTTGTTAGAAAGAGACAGAAAACACTGTAGGAAAATACACTACAGATATAAATAGGCTAAATACAAAAATGCAATGAACCACACTTAAACTTCCATTTGATCACGATACGTTAATTTTTTGATGCATCATTGGATTGGTTGTTTGGAAGGAATATATATATTATATATATTCAAACATATATATGACTTCACTTTTTGGATTTCCATCTGAAATCCACTGAGCCTGGTAGTTCAGTGTTGGCTATATTATAGGAAGATTTTTATCAAACATGGAACTCTATATTTATTGGAATTTTTCAGTGCAGATAAGAATTACAAATATTAATTTGAACTGAAATTAATCTGATCTGAATGAACATAATTTTTCCATGATATTTGGAATCTCTGGTTCATTTATGATATCTTCTTCTGAATTTTGTAACTTCCAAATGCTTTTTTGAAGAATTGTACAAAGGGATTTTCATTTTAGTGCCTGAATGGGTGAAAAGAATGGATTTGCAGATTTAAGCTAAAAGTGAAAACTATTTTCTGTCATTATTGACTCTTACACATTTGCAGCCCCAAGTAATTAGCCCTTGCATATTGCTTAAATCCCTCTTGATTTAAATATCAAATTAAAAAAGAATAAATGTATTGGTATATAAAGCTATGCCATAGTCAGTATTGCACAGTGTATTTCACTGTCACTGATCAGAGATTAAAGCTTATTTCTAGAGGTTAATTATAAATTTTACACCTACAGTTAAAATTTCAAAATCTGCCTTTTTCAGTCTTGAAGAAAACGAGTCTTTTCCCTACGGGTACATTGGTCAGCTTTGTCACTACAAAGACTGCTTTTCTTTCCACATCCTGTAACAGTGGAAGAAAAAACAAAAATAAAGGATTAAAAATGAACTTGAAGTGTCTGAATTTCTGTCTCTTATTATTTTAAGACTGCTTTGTTATGATACAGAAAATGTCATAATCTCTATTGAAGAATGTGTGGGTTCATAGAGAAAATATGTAAGAAACAAAAATCGATAAAGATATCTAAATCTCTTATTTCCAATTTATGCAGTTCTGCCACTTATAGTAAACTGACAGGCAATAATGAGAACAATAAGCATGCTTAATTTCCTGATGTAACATAAAAGCTGTAGAGAAAGACAATTCCTGGACAAAGTATGAAACACATTCAAGAAAACAAAAAGTTTAAATGCTAATACCAGACATGGAAGGACAAATATTGCACGATCTCACTTATATATAGAATCTAAGTAAGTCGAACTCATAGAAGTAGAGATTAGAACAGTGGTTACCAAGGGCTGGAGTTGGGGTGGGTGGGCAGACTGGGGAGATGGTTACAAAATTTCAATTAAATCATGTTATGCATTATAAATATATATATAGATACTTTTTATTTGTCAGTTTTTAAAATAAATAATTTTAAAAGGTAATACCAACAAAGGAGAAGATTTTAAATGTCAGTAAAGTGAAATGTAAACAGATTGTGAGAAAAAATAACTTACTGTTAATGCAGGGACAAAATAGTCGCATCACTTAATACACTTTCAAAGAATCTCTCTTGGGAAACATATCTTTAAAATTATATAGAAAATTTATTTTGAATACATCTCAATATATACAAGTTTTTGAAGGTAAAAATTTATTTCTACTTAATGTGCTAATCTTCAGAAAAAAATAATGCTAAAGCCGGGCGCGTTGGCTCACGCCTGTAATCCCAGCACTTTGGGATGGCAGAGGCGGGTGGATCACGAGGTCAGGAGATCCACGCCATCCTGGCTAATACGGTGAAACCCCGTCTCTACTAAAAATGCAAAAAAAAAAAAAAAAACATTAGCCGGGCATGGTGGCGGGCGCCTGTAGTCCCAGCTACTCAGGAGGCTGAGGCAGGAGAATGGCATGAACCCAGGAGGCGGAGCTTGCAGTGAGCTGAGATCGCGCCACTGCACTCCAGCCTGGGCACCAGCTCGAGATTCCATCTCAAAACTAATAATAATAATAATAATGCTAGAAGAACGTATTTTTTTTCTATTCTTGGTGTCTATTCTTACAATTTATTCTTGAAAATATGCATTTACTCAGGAAAATATAAGTTGATATTTTTCCAAAGTAACACTACAGTCATGCGTTGGTTGACAGTGGAGAAATGTGCCATTAGACAATTCCATCATTGTGCAAACATCATAGAGTGCACTTATGCAAAACTAGATGATATTTAGTCTATATGGCATATCCTATATCTCCTAGGCTAGAAATCTGTACAGCATGTCACTGTATTGAATACTGTAGGCATTTGTGCCAAAATAGTAAGTATTAGTATATCTAAATATAGAAAAGGTACGGTAAAAATATAGTATTATAATCTTATGGGACCACCATTGTATATGCAGTCCATCATTGACTGAATCATCATTATGGAGCACATGACTATATTAATTTATATAATTTTTATTAAGAACATTGCAAATATTTGTTTTTATATTTTTTAAAAAAGTTACTAAGTTACATCTCTATAAGTGACATTGCTGAATATTGGATTCTATAATATTTCAGTTAGAATTTTAATTAACTGAATGCATTTTTAATATAAACAGCTGAATATGTATATGAAAAAGTGTGAAAATATTTAAAGTAAAAATGTAATGTTATAAAAGCATCAATTATTAACATTTAGTATTTATTAAAATAATTATATATAGTGTTTATTAAGCAACCTGAATCATATTTCATACCTTTTTTGAAAAGTGTTGTTATAATGTGGTTAAAAACTTTGAAAATTTTCTCGTTAAGAGTATTTAAAAATTAAAACAACGTACCAGCTATAATTGTTAAAATTTTATGAGTTGAAAATATTTCAATTAATATCTGCTCCCTCCCAAAAAGGAAAGACTATCTCAATGTCAAACTAAAAATATCTTGAAATGTATAGACTTTGCTTTATGAAAAACTTGCTCTCTTGGCATTTTTCACATTTTCAGGAGGCAAGTAAGAACTTTATAAAGAACTAATTCATGGCCGTGGTGTGACATTTGGGTTCAAATTTTAGGCAGCATCTGTGGTTTCCGTTGTCTACTTATCCAGCTCTCCACTAATGGACCGTATTGAGCAATATGTGCTTGAGAATCTCTGGGAAATCTCTCCACCACTGCCTTTACTACTGGTGTTTTCCATCAAGAGCTTGCTCTCCAGTTGTGTCAAAACTGTAATAATTGTTTTATATAGCAGAGAATACCCTGGGAAACCACTAAAGGCACAGAGCTATTAAGCTTCCAGAGTGTACAGAGAGGGTTGCTGCAAGTGTCCGTGAAGCTTGGTTGTCACTGCAGAGAGCCCTGAAGTTCAGCCATATGGCAGGCTCTGCAGCAGTCATTGGTTCTGTGCCTTACTATGCCCTTTCAGAGAGTAGAGGATCTCCTTCCCTAGCCTTGGATTGTAACCTAGGACATTGGTCCCAGAATAGTTCTCTGAATACTAATGCTTAATGTGTGTGTGTGTGTGTGTGTGTGTGATATGGTTTGGCTGTGTCCTCACCCAAATTTCATCTTGAATTCCTGCGTGTTGTGGGAGGGACCTGGGGGGAGGTAATTGAATCATGGGGGCAGGTTTTTCCCATGTTGTTCTCATGATTGTTAGTCAGTCTCACGAGATTTGATGGTTTTAAAAAGGGGAGTTTCCCTGCACAATCTCTCTTCTCTTGTCTGCTGCCATGTGAGATGTGCCTTTCAACTTCTGCCATGATTGTGAGGCCTCCCCAGCCATGTAGAACCATAAGTCCAATAAACCCTTCTTTTGTAAATTGCCCAGTCTCGAGTATGTCTTTATTAGTAGCGTGCAAATGGATTACTACAGTAAACTGGTACCAGTAGAATAGGGCACTGCTGAAAAGATACATGAGAATCTTTTCTGAAAAGATTTTCTGAAAATCTGAAAATATACCTGGAAGCAGCTGTGCAACTGGGTAACAGGCAAAGGTTGGAACAGTCTGGAGGGCTCAGAAGAAGACAGGATAATGTGGGAACATTTGAAACTTCCTAGAGACTTGAATGACTTTGACCAAAATGCTGATAATGATATGGACAATGAAATCCAGGCTGAGGTACTTTCAGATGGAAATGAGGAACTTGATGGGAGCTGGAGCAAAGGTGACTCTTGTTATGTTTTAGCAAAGAGACTGGCAGCATTTTGCCCCTGCCCTAGAGATTTGTGGAACTTTGAACTTGAGAGAGGTTATTTAGGGTATCTGACAGAAGAAATTTCTAAGTAGGAAAGCATTCAAGAAGTAATTTGGGTGATGTTAAAGGCAGTCAGTTTTATAAGGGAAATAGAATATAAAAGTTTGGAAAATGTGCAGCCTGACAATGCAATAGAAAAGAAAATCCCATTTTATGAGGAAAAGTTCAAGCCTGCTGCAGAAACTTGCATAAGTAATGAGGAGCTAAATGTTAATCACCAGGACAATGGGAAAAATGTCTCCAGGGCATGTCAGAGACCTTTGCAGCAACCCCTTCCACCATAGGCCTGGAGGTTTAGAAAAAATAATAATAATAATTGTTTCGTGGGTCTGCTCCAGGGTCCCCACGCTGTGTGCAGCCCAGGGACTTGCCCTGCATCCCAGCTGCTCTAGCTGTGGCTGAAAGGGGCCAACGTAGAGCTTGGGCCATGGCTTTGGAGGGTGCAAGCCCCAATCCTTGGCAGCTTCCATGTGGTATTGAGCCTATGAGTGCACAGAAGTCCAGAATTGGGGTTTGGGCACCTCCAGCTAGATGTCAGAAGATATATGTAAATGCCTGGATGCCCTGGCAGAAGTTTGCTGCAGGGGTGGGGCCCTCATGGAGAACCTCTACTAGGGCAGTGCAAAAGGGAAATTTTGGATCACAGCCCCCACACAGAATCCCTACTGGGGCACTGCCTAGTGGAGCTGTGAGAAGAGGGCCACAGTCCTCCAGACCCCAGAATGGTAGATCCACTGACAGTTTAAATTTTGTGACTGGAAAAGCCATAGACACTCATGCCCACCTGTGAAAGCAGCTGGGAGGTGGGCTGTACCTGGCAAAGCCACAGGGATGGAGCTACCCAAGGCCATGGAAGCTCACCTTATGCATCAGTGTGACCTGGATATGAGACATGGAGTCAAAGGAGATCATTTTGGAGCTCTAAGATTTGACTGCCCCACTGGATTTTGGACTTGCACGGGGCCCATAGCCCGTTTGTTTTGGCCAATTTCTCCCATTTGGAAGGGGTGTATTTACCCAATCCCTGTACCCCCACTGTATTTAGGAAGTAACTAACTTGGTTTTGATTTTACAGGCTCATAGGCGGAAGGGACTTGTCTTGCCTTGGATGAGACTTTGGACTGTGAACTTTTGAGTTAATGCTTAAATGAGTTAAGACTTTGGGGGACTGTTGGAAAGGCATGATTGATTTTGAAATGTGAGGATATGGGATTTGGGAGGAGCCAGGGGCAGAATAATATGGTTTGGTTGTGTCCCCACCCAAATCTCATGTTGAATTCCCACATGTTGTATGAGGGACCTGGTGGTAGATAATTGAATCATGGGGTATGTCTTTCCCATGCTGTTCTCATGATTGTGAGTAAGTCTCACAAGATCTGATGGTTTTAAGAAAGGGTGTTTCCCTGTGCAAGGTCTCTTCCCTTGTCTGCCACAATGTGAGACATGCTTTTCACCTTCTACCATGATTGTGAAGCCTCCCCAGCCATGTGGAATTGTAAGTCAAATAAACCTCTTTCTTTTGTAAGTTGCCCAGTCTTGAGAATGTCTTTATCGGCAGCATGAAAAGGGACTAATAAAGTGTGTGATTCCTTTTAGTATTTTCATTTGCAGAATTTCATTCTCTAGGACTTGGGTATGAATTCTTACACTCTAGTCCAGAAGACAAATCTTAATAGCAAAGACAATGTCCACTCTGACAACTGGAGCACTGTAATTATATTGAGCAATGGTTGTGTGCTCTCCATTATGTGTTCTATTAAAACAAGTTTTTTCTCCAAGTTTCCCTTCAATTAATTCATTGGCACAATCACTTCATCATTTCTCCAGACATGCATATATGTGTTGATGAATGCTAAAAGCTCTGATTCATTATGTATTTTGAGGCAGTTCTAATGAAGGACAGTTTGTGAATCTTCTCTATGTATCATTGCCAATCAATCACAAAACTGCTTCACAGCAGAAATGTATTATTGTGAATCTTATCATTTTCCATTGAAAACACTGTGTGTATGTGAATAATTCTCAATACTAATACAACATCAGTGATTACTGTGTGGATCATAAATCCACCAAGGTGTAATGAGGTGCTTATGGGAGATAAGTTATCATGAGTCCTCTTCATAACAAATACCAAAATCTAAAAGTGTTTTGTTTAAGCAGGGGGCTATTGGAAGAATAAGATGGTTTATCTATCTGAAGGAAACATTTTATATACTGATTTAAGAGGAGAGATTCTATTGTCAGACAACCTAGTGCAGGATTGAAATCCCAGCTCTATCATTTGCTGAGTTAAAATTCCGGCTCTATCATTTACTTGTTCTATAAACCTTTAGCAAGTTATGTAGCCTTTTATTTCTTACCTGCAAAATGGGTATGGTGTTACTTCCTCCTCTATACATCTGTTATGAGACTTAAATGCCTTAGTTTGGAGAAGATGCCAGGGCAAAAGAAAAAAAGGAAAAGAAAAAAGAAAACAACAACAAAGACAAACCAAAAAACAAATAAACAAAAACACATACCACCTGCTCGGTATGGGACACAGACATTTTGATGCCAAGTTTTTCTGGAAGTATCCAGGAGAGCTGCTGCTGAAATTAGAGATGGGGACCTACTACTATCATATTTATATTCCCCTCCAGGGGAAGAAATAAAAAGTATGCCAGTTTCAACAAATAAATGCCCTTTGGAGTTTGGTTTAGTTTTTATAAATATTCCTAATATTTTCTGACTCCCTTTTCTTTCAAACTTTTTTCTTGTCAAGTAAACACTTCTTTTACATATAGATAGTGAAATGTTTCAAGATATTACAGGATATGAAAACAAATCAATATTAATCAGAGATTTTTATATTTATAAGATAAATTGAGCAAATAAAAATATAAATTCATTTTTGGCAATAAGTAGGGTAATTTCAGTTTTCACTGATCATTGAGATTTTTAATAGAAAACTGTGGTTGAACAAAATGTGGGCAATAGTTAAATCTCTACAAAGGTGTCTATTTGTTTCTGAATCAAGTTTACTCTATAAAGCGGTAAGGTTTGTTGGTCACGGTAGCATCCCTATTTCCATCCATTTGATACTTTCAAACATAATGTACTATAATCAGCATTATCTTCTTGAAGGCCATTAGGAACTGCTAAGAGAGAAACTTCCAAGTTTGTTTAGGATACTCACATACATTAGAATTCTACTCCTTCAGTCCATCAATGTATCCGCAGCCAAGGCCACAGTGTGGTGATTTCCTATTAATATGTCCTCCATTACAGACCTCACACATTCAATTTTATGACCCAATGCATTTGAACTCTGTGTCTTTTCTGACTCCACCAGGTCAAACCACAAGCCACCAGAAGGCATAGGTCTACTAAGACCTGATGTACTCTGAAACCTCAGCTTGAGTTCTTATAAACACTCATCTATTCTTTTATCTGCTCTTACATTTATATTTTAAAAGATATAATTAATTCTGAATGTTAATATTTTGAATCTTAAAATATGCTATTTGTCTACATGTTAAATCTACTGCATTTTTGTTAGTCTATTATCTGTAAAGAAAATCTTTCTTAAAAATATTCTATTTCTCTTATGTAATGGCTCTCCCATAAATTGAGAAAGTTAACTACGCTTTCTAGTTGCCTAAAAATCTTTATTCTAACATTTTGATGAGTTGCATCCTAGGGGATAAAGAAAGAAATATTTTCACAAAAAGCCCAGCTAGAAATTTTATACTCTGCATTGCAAACCTCATGGGAAAATACTTGATTACATTTCTCACATTAAAGCTACAACTTTCTTATGCATAAAATATCATGATATTGTATCAATTCAAGCCTTAGATTTCAGATAATTGGGAATTGATAGTAACAGGGAATTGAAAATTTCCTGTTAGATTCTTTGTTTCTCCTACTAAAGAATGGACAAACTAAAATTTTAAAAAGTTTTATCCTTTGTACTTCAACAATTTTACTGCTTATAGTGGTCTGTGGGAGAACATACAGGAAGACTATTTTGAAATGCAAAGTGATGACTACCACAGAGCAATGATTTTCATTTCACATTGTCAGCCCTGGCCACCCTCCCATTGACATACAGTCATGTCGACCTTTTAACTGACAACATTTTACAGTGGAAGGACCGGTGAATTTGTTCTTTCCTTCCACTGATTCTACAGATGACCTTCAGGAGAACCTGTCTACCTATTGAGTCTTGAACAGTTTAGTGCCTCTTTTTTCAAAATAAGGAAAGTAGAACTTCCTTAGAAGCCAAGTAGGAATTACTGAGACCTCACTAGTAAAGCGCTTCAAGCCTAAAGATGAAAGACCTCTTATGAGGGTAAACAATTACCTTTTCCAAACTAAACCACCCATCCTATGAAAGCCTCCACATATCAACTGATTCAGATGTATCTAATTTGATGGGGCCATCTCAGGATGAAGAGTTTTCGTTTTTTACTTCCTTGATGCTAAGGAAAGAAACAAAAAGTTTCAGTCCTTTAAATACGTAGCCATTTATCTCAATATAATTTAAACGGTTCCCATAGGAAATAAATGAAAGAGGAAGATTTTAAAAATCTCAACTGTTTTAAAACAAGATGATATTTTTGTCAGGAAAAGTAGCAAAGAAGTCTTAAATCCCTAGCCTTCGTGAAGAAATATAAAGTTGCTTTTATTTCTACTGGCATTTTAGTGAGCAAACTCTCTCCACTTTAAACTGGAGATGACGATTTGTCTTGAATTTGAGCTGGAAATGAGATAACAAATATTGCCTAAGGCTTTATGGGATGCCTTTTATATCTGAATTAGAATAGACAGTCAGAAACTATTGCAAATTCTTTATTATTTTGTTTTTAAGCCCCCAAAATCAAAAGCAATGCGTATAGGCAAAGTACATTTAAAAGGTTAGCATTATACCACAAAGGTTTAATCTATATCTTTCTCTATATTTATAAATTTATATAGGAAATAAACAAGAATCTCCCTTGTCTATTAAACCATTACTTAAAAAAAAATCATAGGTTTGTGCTGTCATAGATTGGCATTTTTAGGACAAATTGGATTGTGGATATAAACCTTAGTGTTATTAGAGAAAAAAGTTTTTTTTTTTTCCTTTTCATAGGAAAAATTCATGTTAATTATTCCTCTGCACCTGCCTAATGGGGCTGAAGTAATTCAATTGTCATATTGTTGTAGATTGTTGCTTTGTGTAATGTATCACCCCTGCTGTTCCATTAAAAAAATTCTATACTGTTCCATTATTCAGCAAGGCCTAATGATCATTCCAGCATTTGTACATGCTGCACTGTTATTTTGATTTTAATTGACTTCACTTTTTTAATTAAGCACATTGGTTTTAACACTGTTGTTGACAAGCTTGGTTTTGTCATTATCAATATTTGCTTCCCTGAACATTCCATACCTGTTGACATTTTATTTAGATTCATTGTAAATGATAAGAGCAATGTACACTGAAGATTATCATCAACTCTAACATAAATTCATGTCACATATTATTTATATATAACGGTCTGCAGAATATTTTAAAGGGCCACTTATTCTGCTTAAAATATCTTCTAGTGTTCAATTATCAAATTTGTACTTTGAAAATTAAAAATAGAAGTTTGACTTCTTTTTAATGTGTAAGAATCTTTTAATGGAAAGGACACATGTTTTACACCATCAGCAAATATAGTCACATGTAACAAATTCACATGGTGATTTAATGTTGTCTGTGATTAGTGAGACATATATAATTATGGTTTGTCTATATTTTAAAATTGGTCATTTCTGGTAGCCTTTTACTTTGTAGGAGAATTATTTGTTTTCTTGTAAAAATATATTTAAAAATATGTAAATGATTTATAAAAAATAAATCATTTAAAAATATTGATTTATCATAGACACTATGTGCCTTTAAGAATAGCTTAGCACTCTGAAAGAAAATAATAATATCCTTGTAAAACCCATTGAAATATCTCTTTTTGAAGGCTATCTTGGTCATTTATCACAAAACAACATAATGAAGAATGGGGCATAGACAGAAAAATTCGAGCTTTATTTAGCTGAGATGCTAGACATTGCTGAACTGAAAAGAAGAACTGGAGCGATAACAAAATAATGGTAAACTTTAAGATGAGTAAATGTCTTTTTAAAAACTATATGAAAATGTTTTATGCTTTTCACAACCCTCTGAACACAAAATCTGGTCCAAATATGGTTTGTAAAACTCCATAGATGGTACAGACATATCTTATTGAGAAGGTTGACATGAGAAATTTTATTTCCCCTATGCCATTTGTGTCTTGTTAATGGACATGAATGAATGAATGAATGAATGGGAGGGTGAATGAATAGGTCCCATGGGATTCGACTGCCATTTGGTCATCTGAGGGACAGAGGACAAAGATTTAAAAGTGGGCCCTTCTGCCCTTGTTTGGTACAGCCTCATTGCCACTGAGGTGATTGTTGATGAGCCTGCTGCCTGGGATTTATGTTTAACCTCTCCTTATGCCTGGGTGTGCCTGACCCAGCCCTATTAGCATAACTTCCATTCCCAGTGACAACATGAATAAAAGATGCCTGGTGTGACCTCAGAAAGTGCCAAGATAGTATTGATGTAATGAGCCCAATATCCACTGTTTTATGTATTGCCATAGAATAGCAATCTTAATAAAAGGTTAAACAGCATTATAATGTGTGTTTCTTTGATGTCTCTCTGACTCCCTGACTTCACTTTTTCATTCACTGTTGCTCCTTTGTGAATCACCAATAATCAAAGTTTTTATTTGTTTTGTTTCTGCCATATTGTCAGTCTTTTATTTTGATGAGCTTAAAACAAAATAAGACAAGCCAAAGAAAAAAGTTTTGCTTTCAGCGTTTTCTCAATTTCAGTAAATGATTTTCTCTTTTACTTGGTATTGGTTTCTCTTTGACAGCAATCAACATTGCTTATAAACAGTAGAAATTACTGCATATCGTCTGTTTTGAACAGTCCATTTTAATATTTAGAAGTCTCCAACTACAAGCTCATCTCCTTGGCTTGCCACATTTTTCTGATTGTGAAAATCTAAAATATAATCTTACTATTGAAAGCCACTTAATACTAACCTTGTATTACATTTTCCCTTTTTAGCTTTATATATTTTAAAGACCTATTATACATGAAATTCTTAAATGCAGATGCCTTGATTATCTTGCTCCAAAAAGCCCAGTGAAAAGAGCTGCAAGTGCATATAGAAAAAGATCAAGGAATCTTCTTTTTCTGGAAGTTTTTGACGAGAAAAAACATCAGTCAGTTAAAGTTTTCATCACCCTTCTGTGTAAATAGGCTGTGTAATAGGCAGGAAGAAAAAGGCAGATGAGAACATAGCAAGCACATGTCTTAAGTAATATCACACCTTGCCAACAGCATCGTTTATTATATTTTTCTTTAAAAACAAAAGCACAACTAGACTAATATTCACCCTTTTAACAACAAAGAGAAAATGGTGTGCATTTTATACTTCTTTTAGATAGCAAATCACAGGGGCTCTTGTAATATTATTCTTTGCTTTCTTGAAAGGCTTGTTACTTAGATGGTCTGGAAATATGACAATATGTTAACAACTAACATTTTATGTATCTTTGGACTTTATAGGTAGATTAAAAAAATCATTGAAAAACAAGCAATTGCTAAAGCATCCCACTACTTCAAACCTCAGATTTACTGCTTGACACATTGGTTGTGTCATTCTGCATTGTGAAAGGCTGATGGTGAAGCAGCAAACAGGATACAATTTTTTCAAATATCTACCATGTTGCCTTGATAATATCATGTCTTGTTGGGGCATTGCATATCTAACATAACAAAGTGATCTGATATGAATTGACATGACATTATGCTGGTAGACACTACTGTCAAAGATGTGAAATGATAGTTTGGATAATATATCAAGCTGCAAAGTTAATTAGGCCACATTCATTGGGACTTTGCCTTGGAAGAAAACAATCTATCCCTTATACCTATACAGCCTCTCTGACAGGATACTTGAAGAATGGTAAAAGTGCAATACTTATATCTACTGAAGACTCATGGGAGATTTATTTTTTTAAAGAAAATTCTAACAACACTACTTTATTTTCCTCCCTTCAATTTGATCATGACTTCAACCGATGATAGTGAAGTTTCTTGTAGGGGGAAAAGTTGTAGAAAATGGAGATTCTCCTAATAAAAATTAAGGTGAAATTTGATGTTAATAAATAGAGGAGTAGAGAAGAGCCAGGATTCTAGGACACAGTGTGATGTGGAGTATTACACTACTTAAAGAGGGATACTTGATGAGGATTACATAGATTTGAACACAACCTGACAAAATTCATCCTTGAGGTTGCCAGAAAAAAAGTCACTGGCTGCTCAAAAAATTGAAGCAGATGTCAGATGCAAGCAGCTGTGGCCTAGGAAATTCAACAAAATTCCAATATTCAAATTGCTTCTCTGGATAAAAACTGCTTGATAGCACAATTTCAGATTTGATCTGGACTGCCAGTGAACCATCTGTGTAAAATGAAAGTAATCTGCTGACACTGTCCATACAGGTAGGCATCAGTGTCATTTGGTTGAAAAAAGAACACTGCTAAGATGTTTTCTGGAGTCAGGAAAGTTTTACAGTATAGCAATTAGCCCCAGTTGCTAGAATATTGAACACCAGAATAAAGAGTAATAAAAAGCTTTGCTTCATTGTTTAAGGATGATTTGAAGAAAGGAAAACAAGAAAGAGGAAAAAAAACCTTTCACTCTAATTTTAGATTCATAATGAAATATTCGGTATAAGAATTGAGACTGGGTGAAAATATTGGAAAAATTACATTCTCAGCACCATAAAAAAAGGATGATAAATTTGTTAAATCAGACCTTGTGGGAATGATAGAAGCGAACAGTAGGTTAACAAGCAAATGGTTAGGCAAATTGTGAGCTTTAAAAATTCAGTATCACAGGCAAAGAAATAATTCCCTGAAGGGTCAGAGAAAACACTTTTTATTTTATCCAGCTATGTGTTGGATAAAATAAATATATGTAGATGCTGAAAGGTTGCTCACAAATAGGTCAGCTTGTGGCGGAAGTCTTTCATAATTCAAGATATATCAGCCTTGGCAGTAGCTGAGAATAAGAGCGAGTAATCAAAAGTGACCCAAACAATGACACCAGAGTTTCCAGATGGTATAGAAAAAAGTCTATAATTTATGATTGCCGGTGCAGTAAATAAATCTAAAACAATAGGTGTGGATGGGGAAGCAGTCACAGCTGACCAAAAGAGCAGTTGTAATGCAACCCACAGAAAGCTTGGTGCCAGAAGTAATTGACATAGTCGTCAAATCAATTTCCTAGGGTGCAGACACTCAAGCACTCAATCTGATTCTGTATGCTGCACAACATTTGGATTATACAGCTGCCTCTAATTCAGATAGCCTTAGCTCAATGTGAATCCAATTCAAGGAACTGTCTGGAAGTGAATGGTAATTATTTAGGCTTCCTTTCTGCAGGTTTACTGTTTTCTAGTTAAATTACCCTCTTTTGGAATTACATACATTTCACATTAATTTTTTAACATTTAGCTTATTTTTTTTTCTCTCCTTGTGTCATCTACCTCAACAACATCCACAGAACCCATCATCTTTCTTCACAAGGCACCAGTGAGGTAATATTTCAGGACAAGAAAGGCACCATGTGATGTTCTTCACATTGACTGTAGAATCAGCCACTTGATTGCAAATGTATCATACCCATGTGGAGGAGGATCAATTAATTAATTAATTATTTTTCTGTGTTTTAATTCAATGCAAGTATTCAAAGATAAATTAAATAATCTTCTGCTGCAAATAATTTTATTGGCATTCATTCATTCATTTATTTATCCCATGTTAACAGAGTGTCTGCAGCCTACCAGATACTTGATTAGATTTTGATACATGGAGAGAAGGGACAAAACTTCTGCCTTTAAAGACCTCACAGCTTAGTGAGCTGAGAAGGCAGGTAAAGAATCGTGTGAGAAGTAGAGAGAAGGTACAAAGGTCAGGGGAAGGCACAGAGAAAGTCCCTAACCCAACTGGGGTTGAGGTGTGATTGGGAGAGCAGGAAGGCACAGATTTTATAGATGCCAATATCACTGTTGAGAATTAAAAGATGAGGCAAACTTTGCCAGATTGAGAGAGGATTGTTGATATTCCAGGAAGGCCTAACACTAAAAAGAACATGGAATTTTCAAATAATCACATACCCTTCAGCACAGGTGGAACATAAGGTTTAGCAGAGAAGAAAGTAGAAAGTGTTGAGGAGGGTAAAAGGAATAGTTAGGGATTAGACACAAAGGACAAGGACTGGGACGTACTTTTGAGTTTACAGGGCATTTTCCCTCACTATATTTGGCTTGATGTTCACAGAAGCTTATAAAAACATGATTGTCCCTATTCAAAAATAAACAAGGATCAAGGCTGAGAGAGGTTGAGTCATTTACCCAATGTCACAAAGCTGGGAATTAGGCCTGGGTCTGTCTGCTTTAAAGACCACAGTAGGAATATAGCATTTACTGGCTTCTCAGTCAAGGAGTTTCTATGGTACTGGGCTCAGTCACTCATGACAAGTTTCAAACTTTTAGAAGGCAGAAAGGTGAGATGATGGGTCTGATAGCAGTATACAAAAGGGAGAAGATGAAGGAGGAAGAGTAAGTGAAATAGAAAGTAGAAGAGGAAGAAGGGGAAAATAATGTATATTAATTTCAAAACACTACAAAGCCAGTACCTTCTCAGGCATTTGTAAAGAAAGGAATTCCACCGGGGCTGCAGTCAACAAAATTTCTATTGCTGCAAAAGATGTTTATGCGAGTAGATTCAAAGATGATAAATCCCATCATTAATGAACTATTCATCTGCTATTAACTTAACATTCTATCTTTTGAAATAGGGAAGGCTGAAGGGTCAGGAAAATGAGACAGCAAGTTGATTATGAGTGTAAACTGGCTCTGCCATCATCAAGTGCAGAAATAGAAACCAAAAATGAGGATATCCGCCAAAGCTAGCGTTATTAAGGGAGCAGTGAAAACACAAAACTGATAGAAGTTAGAACTAAAAAAAAAAAAAACACTCTGAGAAGCTAGAGAAAAAAATTAAAGAAACAGGATAACTCACAGAGCAAAAGGATCTAAATAGATGGAAGGAAACAGTTAAACTGAGAAGAAATTTAAAATGAAAATAAAATAACTAAAGGAATACATACAAATCACTTTTAATAAAATGTGTTTTGTATATATTTATAAAATTATACTGCCAATTGTAGAAAACAGAGAATAAAAAATAGTAGAAAAAAAGAGAAAAATACTGCTATTTCCCTAAACAACCACGATTTGTATTTCGATGTACTTCCTTCCAGTCATTTTTCTTTAGACATTTTTACGTAATTGTGATCATAATGTGGAAAATTCTGTTCCATTTTTTCTTCTAGTATTTTAGAATAAATATTTGCAATGCTACATAATCAGTACTTATAAATAATTCCTTTCAAGCGTAGTTTAATGTCATTGGAAAATAGCTTACTGTTACTTATCTTTGAAAATAAATAGTTAGTGTATATTTTCCAAATGTATAAGATTGTCTCTTTGTTGTATTTAAAGATTTTTATAACCAAAGAAACAACTTTCCTCTTAAAGTTAAGGGATATTTAAACATGAATATATTAGAAAGTTTAATTGATAAATGACATAAACACAAATTGTGTGCATAGGTATTTTCTGCTTTGTCCAGTAATTTTAAAAAAATCTATTTTTTTACTTTCCTTGAATTTTATGAAGCCAGTTTAGATGTAGGTTGGAATCCATGGTCCATGTCATCCACGTACATGATTTATGCTTGACATCAAGCCACCTATGAGGAAAAAAAGATGTGCTGTGGGAGAAGGCAAGGATTTCACTTTATTAATACAGAAATGTAAGATCACACAAGTGGATAGAGTTAAAAACACTTCACTCTTCTTTCTAGTTAAACATCTGGGGTCACCATAGCCCTTTGGTATATCTCACTAGCTATCAGATTCATGTATTCTGACAGCCTTGTTGCATACAAATTTGTTACTTTATGGTAGATACACTTATCAAATTAATTATGTCTAGTTCCAAAACAAGTTGAATTTATTACAATCACTGTTTAATAAATGTTGCCAAAATTAACTAAATATTACCTTTCACTCTCTATATTAGTTAAATTATTATTTTGAATTATGTTTTAATACAATATATCAGTCTTCTTATCTAGCATAAATAAAGTAATATATCAGGGGAAAAGAATGGCAACACCAACATTTTTACACAGTGAAGATGAGATGATCTTCTGAATTCCCCAAAAGAGAAAAGTTATTGGTGAAACAGTAATTCTTTCACGGTGTTTTCATGAAAATATGTTATAAAGAGTAAGCCTATTCAAATTACAGTAATATGCATTTGGAGAAACAATTAGTAGAAAGAAATATGGAACTGTTTGATCTGTTGGTATTACTAGATTCAAGGTTTCAGATGAAAATATTTACTTGAAAAAAAAAAGATGCCTTTAAAATGTGCCTACTTCTAAATGGAAAGCTATTGACACAAAATAGACACTACATTAATTCAAGTAACAAAGTTTGTTCCTGTTACATGTCATCTGAGTAAACAGAAGTGAACAAAATAAACATAGCTTTTGCCCTTTGATTAGAACATGTTTCAAACTTTTTTTTCAAATTTTTTGCAAAAATGACAAAAATACAATTAATTTTAGTAAAATTCATTATTTCATATATTACTAAGAAAGCTCATAAGCTACACTTTTTGGACACAGGTATATGTGTAACAACTTGCCTGCGTTGGTTATAAAAAGCGGAGAACTACTGATATTTAGAGTTTCATGTGAGGATAAGATAATAATGACTAGCAAGAACCCTATACGTGATAACATTCTGGCCTCTCATATTATATGTTTAACTGCCTTAGCTGTATTTTTTGATATTTTAAAGTACTGGGAAATCTTTGAAGAAAATATTTCTCTTTGATCCATAGCATTTCCTGCAATATTTGGTAGTTACATTTAGGATTCATCTTTCTGAATTTCAGTGTATTTATTCAATCCAAAGAACACATTTTTAAACTAATGTGCTACATAAAATAGATGTTTGAAAACATCGTTTTATTAATTTCAATTCATATTACCTATTTCTTTCAAATGAATATCTTAAATTCTAAAGCCATAGGAGCCATGAAACATCTTTGATGTAAATAAGATTAAGCTAATAATCAACCTCAGAATTTTCAGCACTAAACATGAAAGCAAAATGAATCAGTGTTAATGATGGAGATTCTAGACCTAATGGCCCTAAGGTATCAAGACTTTTTTCTTTTAGTCAAGAAATGTATCAATTATATGTATTTTTTCGTGTGTGTGTGTGTGTGTGTGTGTGTGTGTGTGTGTATTTTTAAGGAAACCACTCTAAGTAACTTTTCGTGAGTGATGATCATGGTAGTGTTTTTCTCAAAGCTCATGCTGAGGAACAATTTCTTGTAACTTTTTTTCTGTCCAATTGACATTACACATTTATTTATGTGAGGTAGATGACTAGCCTCTAACCCCCACTGTCAGTTTCTGGTTTCAGAGAGCATTGCTCACCATGGAGTAGTTACTAAACACTTTTATTGATGCACCTACCAGTTCTAATTGCTGAACCAGTTCATTATCCTCCTGTTGCTAATAGAGTGTGCTACAAAATAAGGATGTGAGAAACTTGTTGACTCATCTATCTCACTCCCTATGCTTAGGGTGGGCTGCCTCAGGATGTTACCACCATTCGGTAATTTGATTTCATTAAAAGTAGCATTGATTTCAATTTTACCATTGTTCAAATGTACAATTCAAGAAAAGAATAACATTTGTCTTTTTTACGAGATAACATAGATGTGTCAGTCAGTACTTTAAAAACAAATACATTTGTCTACCATGATCATGAAATTAACACATTGCCTAGGGGAAAATGTATTTCATATAATAACCCAAGTGATTTATTAGCAAACATGTTATATAATGTGTGTAAAACTTAATTTATTTGAAATGAGAAGCCTAAAATATATTTCCTTACCGTTTGGGGAATAGGAGGTGACACAATGAGTCTAGAAGAAACCAAGTGTTCAGCTAAAATGTCAATTACAGCAGAAAGAATGAAAACTGTCAAAGATTTATGGCTTTATATTGCATATTTTTGCTGAGTATCTGCCCACAAAGAAGACGTTGCAGGAACTATGCAAGCTGTTAAGGTAACTGTGGAGAAGACAGCAGTGACAAAAGTGAAATGAGGAAAACTGCTTATTTAGAAGGAGAGTTCACCTTATTTGTTTTTCCATAGATATGGTGCCTCCCTCTGGAACAGAGCGCAGTTATATTTCCTGCATAGTATGGTAAGAATAATGTGTTCCTCTGGGGCCAGTGTTGGGAAAGTCTGTTTGATGAAAGATTTGGGTTTCCTAGTTCAGGATTCCTTAGCTGTGATGTAAACCCACTGTATGTGCAATATCTGTCTGTCACCCTGAAGGGGGACAAGAGGGGTCAAACATGAAGCTCATGCTGCTGCTGTGTGTTGAGTAACAACGTCCTAGTGATAGTGACAGGAGGCAGCCAAATGCCTAGGCAGATAGGAGAGGGTCCTGGTGAAACTCTACCTCCAAGCCAAAGATAGTTTAAAGCCTAAAAGCCAAGCTACGAGTTAAATCCTCAGACTGGATTGAGAACTTGTCTTCCTGATTGACGCACTTTCCTCTGATTCATCCCCACCCTTCACATATTTTACCTATACCTACCCTTTCCTAATTGGTTTTCTACACTGTCGTGCCCACCTCTGACTGGTGTCTTCGCTTTAACCCTCTTTGTACACTCACAAACCAGTCAGCACACTCTCCCCATTTTGAGTCCATAAAGGGCCCTGGACCCAGCCACCTGAGAGCCTTTCCCGTCTTCAGGTGGGGGACCACCCCATTGCGTTCCCTCTCTGCTGAGAGCTGTTCCATCGCTCAGTAAAATCTTCGCCCTCCTCACCCTTCAATGTCCAGCATATCCTCATTCTTCTTGGGCACAGTACAAGAGCTCAGGAACCACTGAATGTGGGTACAAGCTATAACACAGGCGAGCTAGGGGATGCCAGTGTGCCTGAGTGAGGCCTAAGCCGGGGGGTCACCAGCTGGGGGTCCCTGGCTTTCAAAATGACTGAGAAGAAAAATCCTGCCTCACTAGGATGCATAAAAGCAGCAGACTAACTGGTTAGGTGTAGCTAGGATAAAAATCTCAGACCCCTCACTGTCTTGACACTTCATGTGGAATTTTTTGGGGCAGGGGTTGGTATAACTGTCCATTATCCAAACTGAAACAGTTTGGATATAAGTATAACTGTCCATTATCCAAACTGAAACAGTTTACTTATATTTTCCTAGTATTATGCATTTGTCTCCTCACCCCACCTTTTCATTCTCTTTCTCTTGTGTACTTTACTGTTTTCACATCTAATGGATAGCACGTTCTGTCCCATCACTCTCTAAACTCATTGAGGTCTTTGCTGAGAGCTTTTACTTGATGCATCTATGTTCCCACCATGTGTTTTCTGCCTGTGCTCTCACGACACCAGTTGTAAAGAACTCCATTGGGTTACCATAGTTTCCTCTCATGATTCAGCAGAAGATGGCTCCATGCTCTCTAAACAGGCTCTGCTGGGCTTCCATCAAGGGCCCAAGTGGTCCAGACAGGAGGAAGAACTGTCTTTGGGTTGGATTTCAAGTATTCAAACAGGGCATATAAGCAGGGCCATTTGCCTTTCACAGTGTTAGAGCTATTTTGTTTTCTTTATATGCAATGACTAAAAAGAACTAAATGTTGCATAGAACATGAATATGTAGGACCAAATATTTGAAGGAAAGGTACTTATGATAAAAAATACCTGCGTCAGTTGCACAGCAGACTGTAGAAGCCACACTTTAGGACTTTGTCTAAAGGACATCAAAATGTCACCCAAAGGTGATTCACATAAAGTGATTCATATAAAAATGTAATTATATGATGTCCTAAAACTGACTATAAAAGCACAAAACCTAAACTAAATTTCAGCTCAGAAAAAAATACTGGCCTCTTGTTCTTTAGTACTCTGTACAGAGATCATGGAGGAGTTTCAAACATCATGCATTTCAGTGTGGCATGATATTAAATTTAGTCAATGTGTGAAATCTCTGCAGAAAATAGGTGGGAGGAAGGATGAAATTTTTTTCTGCCAAGTAATTCCTCTGAGCCATGAAAATAAGCACTAGCCATGAGTTCTGAATAAAACCAAGGTCGTACTAATCACAACATTCCATAAGTATTTTTTTTTAAATGAAGTCTCACTCTGTTGCCCAGACTGGAGTGCAATGGTGTGATCTTGGCTCACTGCAACCTCCGCCTCCTGTGTTCAAGCGATTCTCTTGCCTCAGTCTCCCCAGTAGCCGGGACTAAAGGCGCCTGTATTTGTATTTTTAGTAGAAATGGGGTTTCACCATGTAGGTCAGGCTGGTCTCAAACTCCTGACCTCAAGTGGATCCATCCACCAGCCTCAGCCTCACAGAATACTGGGATTACAGGCATAAGCCACTGTGTCCAGCCCCATAAGTAATTTTATATGCTTAGGTAGTTCTTTTAGTTTTTTTTCTGGCTTTATTTTCCAGGGGCTGTGCTAGATTTCCCACAGGCAGGCATTGTACATCAGAGCCTTGTGGAGTTTATTGTCTCAGGAAGACAAAACAGAAGGTGGAGAACATAGAAGCTCATAATGTTGCCCTTGAAGTCTAAGCTCTGAGACTAAAGAGGCCTTAATATGAGGTTATTTGGGTAGCTTCTAAATTGACTTCCTGTAGGTGAGTGTTTGTTTGTCGTTGTTGCATTCCATGCTGGAGCAAAACATCATTACATTGGTAACTTCTAAGATGTTTACAAATGGGTGCAGAGTTAGTTTAAAAAAAAAAATCGGGACAAATAAAAACCTTTACAAATCCAATACTTTTCTTAACTTTTCTTCAAAGTCAGATTAATCTAGGTCCTTTTATGAATACATCTTCCCTTCATTCAATACAAGGAGCCCCCAGGATTCTCCTAGCATAGGTACAAAGAGACCACAGTACAGAGAATGACTGAAGGGTTCCTTTTTGGTTGAGCCTTGATGACTCTGAGAACTTACCCACAGAAGAGAACGCCCTTTTGAATTAGATGTACTATGTGTTGGATTTGATGTTGACAAATTTCACATCTATAATTTCTCCTTCAAAAGCAACAGTTATAATCAGGGTCATGACATTTCCTCCCAACAACACACAATTGATTCCTCACTTCTGCTTTGTTTTGAAAATGCAGAACAGGCATTCAGGGGCTAAATATCAATACCGTGAAAAATGGAAAGATGTCAAGAAGAACCATTTGCAGCCGACCATGTGCCTGCTCTGAGAGCCAGTTACACAGCTCAGCAAATACACAGCATGCACTTGTCTAGAGGAAGATGAACTGCAAATAAATTATTAAGCTTTTCCTACTGGCAGATAGGACATTTTCACATAGACTGCAATGCGTGTCATCACATACAGCAAAAGGATAAACAGGCATGGACCAGCTTGAGAAAAATTGATAGTGACTGGTGCATCCTTATTCATAGCCACTTCTTTCCAGATTAAGAAAGCTTCAAACAGCAATTTCTATAATAATCCAATAGAACTCTTTACAGATCCCCAAAATCACCAAAAAAATAAAAATAAAAAACCAAACCACATAAGTTCCACCACTGATTAGAAACTAAGAATTTTAATTTGCTGGTTCAAATAGTTGCTGAATAGCCAAACCAGATTGTATATTAAGGGAGGTGAATGTGTTGAAGCATACAGTTGGAAAGAAGGTAAAAGATGAAAACTTATTTTCTTGTTATTCTATGCTAAGAATATCTGCTCTTTTCAATCTTATGAACAATTCTCTTTCTCCTGAGTCACAGATGTCTATCTGTCTCTGCCTATGTTAATAAAAAGAGACAATTTGAGGCAATAGGTGTGGTAACTTTGATTTAGGAAGAGAAAAAAAGAGAGGCTAGTGTAGAAATGAGACCTAAATGAACATATTATTGTTCTATTAAAAAAACAGTGTAATAACTATTAACTAATAACAAAGTGGTGAAGAAAATAGCCAAAAAAATAAGAAAGGAAAAAAAGACATTCACTGTATTTGTGTGAAAAAGGTGTCAAGGATTGGAAATGCTTGAGTAAAAAGAAAGTATTGAGAGTCTATCCTTTTGATCAATAGCAGGGAAAGCAATTAAGAGCAATTTTGTGGTCAATCCAAGCTTCAACTCAGAGCAAGATCACTGAGTCGAATTCGTGCTCCATCCTCTACGTTCCCTTTTCTGTAAGGGAGCATGTGGTGAGAAAATACTTTTGCAGAGTATCTAGCTCACAACAAATCTTACCCAGCAAATCTTTCATGAATCTATATATGCACAGGACATTCAGATGGGTTAATTTTATTTTATTTTTTAAATGCTTGCCTGTGGATGGAGACGTGCTTCTGATTTAATAGTGTAACTATAAAAAGTGGCAGCTTCTGTTGAATTTAACATCACAAAGGATCAGAAGAGTTGTGCAGGTATCTCTGGAAAAATCAAGATGAAATCTAAACTCTAGCTAAATATCTCAATGCGACTTCACTATGGCCACTCACCAATTCGACAAATGTATCAAAGTAAGTGACACGAGATTGTACATAAAGAACTTTCCACCCTCACTAGCATCTGGTTCTGTACTTCCTTTCCAGCAGATGCAAAAGGGATCTGAAATTGTAACACAATATCACAGACAGACAAATCTTGATGGCCTGAGAGGCCTATTTACATCCTACTCAGTAACTCAGCCAAAAGATGGCTCAGTGGATGTGACTTAGCTCAATGGGAGAATTGCTGATACTAAAGGCTGAGTCACAGAAGCTCTGTGGACCGGGACTTTCACTCTGCGTATTCTGCTGCTCTGAAAGCTGGGTCTCTCTCCCGGAACCCTGTTTGTGGTACAGTCTGCCCAGCGTACCTGGCTTGACTATGCTGTGACCATCAGAGCTAGGTGATCTTGGATGCTTTTCTGCTTCTCAGTTAGTACAGTTTTCTCCTTAAATCCTAAGTATTTCCGCACCTTGTGGTGTTGATGTTATGTGTGCCTGTTTGGCCTCCTTTGGAACAGCAACTATACGACAAAATTAGCAAAAACTAAGCTGACAACTAACTTTGTTCCTTCAGAAGTTCTCTGGCTGCTGTCCTAGACACTCAATCCTGGCCTTAGATTCCACTTGACTTCTCTTTTTTTCTAAAGAACTCTCCTAGGACTCTAAATCCAGTCGACCTTGCTTTACTGCAGACACAGGCTGTGCCTGTGTCTGTGTGTGTGTTTTATTCTATTATTTTAATAAATAATAATAATAAAACACTTTTCTATGTCAGGCACTCTTCTAGCTGCCTTATGAGTATTAATTACTTTTGTTCTCATAACAGCTTTATAGGGTAGACAGTATTATTATTCCCATTTTAAAAATAAGGAAAATCAGCCACAGAGTCAAGTAGTTTGCCCAAGCTCACCTGGCCAGGAACTGGCAGAGTCCAGCTTGGATCCAGGTTTTCTGGCTTCTAGCTTCCTGTCTGTGTTGTCTCCCACTATGCAATGCTGCTCTCTACACAATCCTTTTCTTTTTAAAATAAAAAAATAAAACTCAAAATGTACAAAATATTTTGTGAAAGAAAGTCCTTTCATCCCCCAGTTACCCAGCATTCAGGTTCCTCTCTCTCTGGAAATCACCATTACTGCTGCATCCTTGAGTAGGCTTTCAGACTTATTCTATGTAAATAAGGGTAATAACAATATCTATTTTTTTTTCATTTTGTTCATGGAAGTTTCAGCTTACTAAATGGATTATTTAACATCTTGTTTTGTTTTTTCGTCACTTCATTTTGTACCTCTTTTATATCAGTTTATAAAACATGGCTTCATTCTTTTTAAATGGCTGATAGCTTTTCCCATATATGAGTGTAACAAATTTATCTGACCATTCTTCAATTAAATTATATAATTAAGTTGTTGCAAGTCATTTGCCATGCATAATGTCTTACATGTCATGTTACATATCAGTGAATGTTTCAGTTACATGAATTTCTGAAAATGGAATCCTGAGTTTTAAAATATCTTGATTTTTAATTTTTACTGCCAAATTGTCCTTTACAGGGGGCTGTGTTCATTTATGTCCCCACCAACAATGTGTGAGTGTTTCCCCCACCCTTGTCCACAAAGAACATTTTTGGACTCTGCCAATGCACATTTGGGTCTTTGCCAATCTGAGTTGAAGATAATATCTCATTGTACTTTTAATATCAATTTTTATATAATTAAGCTAAGAAATGTTTCTTTTCCCTGAATGCTTGTTATATTTTCTACTTCTTTCCATTGTTTCATCAGACTTCTTATAGATTTGTAGGAGCATTTTCCATGTTAAGGGGCTAGCCCTTTGGTATTATGTAAATTGTAATTTTTATTTCTCTGATTGGCATGTGTCTTTTGACTTTATTTATTTTGAGTCATAAAAGAATTATTTGTATATAGTCAATTTAATCAATCATTTGTTTTATTGACTTCAGAGATTTATTTCTTACTTAGAAAAGCCTTTGCATTCCTGGAGTTAAAACATTTTTCCAATTTTTTTCTTGTAATTTATGGTTGCATTTTTGTTTTTACATTTATATGTTTTATATATCTTATGAATAAAAAGTGGAGCTAAAATCCAGTTTCTTTTTTGTTTATTTTCCCAAACAGCTATTCTGTCCTATTGCTTTTCTACTATTTTAAAAATACTATTGCTTTCCTGTTTTGAAATATTAATTGTATCATAAATTGTTTTATGTATGAGTCCACTGATACGTTTTCTATTCTGGTCCTTTGATTTGTATATTCGTGTGCCAGTGCAAAACTCTTTTAATTGTTACCGTTTTATACTACGTTTTGATACCTAGTAGGGCAAACCATGTCTCACGGCTCTTCAGAGTGTTTTGGTTGTTATTGCTTGTTCAAGGTTTCTATATGAATTTAAGAATCATCTTGTCTAATTAAAAAAATGCCAGGTTTTTTTAGTGGTCATATTAACTTTATATATTAACTTAGGCAGGACCCACGTCTGTATGTCAATGTGAATACAATGTATGATAGGGAATACTCCAAGAAAGAAAGATACTTTCCATTGGCTTAAGTTTCCTTCTGGATCCCGTAGTAAAATTTTAGATTTTTTTTTTTTTTTTTTTTTTTTTTTTAATGTGAGAAATAAAGCTTTTAATCACCTGGGTGCAGGCCGGCTGAGTCTGAAAAGAGAGTCAGTGAAGGGAGATAAGGGTGGGGCCGTTTTATAGGACTTGGGTAGATAAAGGAAAATTACAGTCAAAGGGGGGTTGTTCTCTGGCAGGCAGAGTGGGGGTCACAAGGTGCTCGGTAGGGGAGCTTTTGAGCCAGGATGAGCCAGGAGAAGGAATTTCACAAGACAATGTCATCAGTTAAGGCAGGAACAGGCCATTTTCACTTCTTTTGTGGTGAAATGTCATCAGTTAAGGCAGGAACCGGCCATCTGGATGTGTATGTGCAGGTCACAAGGGATATGATGGCTTACCTTGGGCTCAGAGGCCTGACATTTTCTACTTTTGTTTTTTCCCTTTGATTTATATTTAGCAATTTTTAAAGAATATCATAAATATTTCTTTTTACAATCTGTCCTATTTCATACACATTGCCACCACTGGTACTGTAGACTTTTCATCCACCACATATCCAAAGTGGCTGTTGTTTTTGTTTATGAAGGCTATTGGTGTCTATATTAATTTATTTTTGTTTTACTTATTTCTTGTCCTCTACTGATGTCCTCTAATTTATATTCTGCTGATTGCCATTTCTTCCCTGAGAATTTATACCTCTCTTTTGTGCTTTTCGGTTATAAACTATTTACTTTATTAGGTTTTTAAACTTCTGGGAAAATGTTTGATCACAACTTTCGTATGTACTATGGCAAGACTTTTAAAAAAATGTTCTTTTTTCTGTAATCCCAGCACTTTAGGAGGCTGAGGCCGGCGGATCACAAGGTCAGGAGATCGAGACCATCCTGGCTAACACACTGAAATCCCGTCTCTACTAAAAATACAAAAAATTAGCTGGGCATGGTGGCGGGCACTTGTAGTCCCAGCTACTAGGGAGGCTAAGGCAGGAGAATGGCGTGAACCCGGGAGGCAGAGCTTGCAGTGAGCCGAGATGGTGCCATTGCACTGCAGCCTGGGCGACAGAGCAAGAAAACTTGCACAGATCAAGGAAATGTAATAATTGAAGAACACAATAAATCAACTAGACTTAGCACACATATAGAAAACTCTACCCAACAACAGGATAATATATATTCTTCTGAAAAGTACATGAAATAGTATCCAGGATCTATTGGGACAAAAAACAAATCTCAATTTATAAAGATTGAAATCATGTATTGTAACTTTTTTGACCACATGAAATTAGAAATCAATAAGAAAAAAAAATCTAGAAAATTCACAAATACGTAGAAATTAAACAGTATACTCTTAAATACTCAGTGGGCCAAAGAAGAAATTGTGATGAATATTAGTAAATGCTTTGAAAGGAATAAAAAGCATAGATAACATACCAAAACCTATAGGATATAGTAAAGCAGTTCTCAGAGGAAAATCTAAACCTGTAAATGCCTAAATTAAAAGAAAATAAAGATTCTCAAGTTAATAACCTAAGGTTCCACCTTAAGAAAATAAAAGAAAAAGAGCAAAAAACACAAAGCAAGCTGATGGAAAAAATAATAAATATTAGAGCAGAGATAAATGAAATTGAGAATAGAAAAACAATAAAGATACTCAATAAAACCAAAAGTTGTTTCTCTGAAAGGTTAAAAAATGACAAATATTTGATAAGACTTATCAAGAAAAACAGGGAAACTTGATTTACTAAAATTAGAAATAAATTGAGGATGTTACTACCCACCTTACAGAAATGAAATGATTATAAAACAATACATGAACCAGTGTATTCCACCAAATTAGGTAACCTAAATGAAATGAAAAAATTTCCAGAAACATACAAAATACCAACACTGACTCAAGAATAAGTAGGAAATCTGAATGGACCTATAAAAAGTAAATTTATTGAGTCAATAATAAAAAAACCACCATCAACAACATCAAAAGACTCAAGACTCAGTGGCTTCACTGGTGAATTATACCAAACATTTAAAGAATTCAAAGAAATACTTCTCAAACTTTAACAAAAAATAAAGAAGAGGTAAAAATTTCTGAACTCATTCTATTAGGACAGCATTACCCTAATGTCAAAGCCAGACAAAAAGGTCACAAAGATCACTTGTAAATGTATTAAAAATTATTCTAAAAATACTAGTAAACTGAGTCTGGCAGCATGCGACAAAGGTTATACCCCATGACCAAATGGGATTTACCCAAGGAATTTATCCTAAGTTAAACATAAGAAAACCAATCAATATAATATTCCATATTGGCAGAAAAAGGAAAAACTAACATGATGATCTCAGTTGATAGAGAAAATGACAAGATCTAATGTCCTTTCGTTATAAAAAGACTCAGAAAACTCAGAGTAGAAGGAAACTTCCTCAGGCTTGAGACAGGGCATTTGTTAAAAAATATAAAGCTAATATCCTTCTTAACTGTGAAATACTGAAAGCTATCCCCCTAAGATCAAGAATAAGACAGATATCTACTCTCAACATATGTATTCAATATTATACAGAAGTTCCAGCAAGGGCAATTAGACAAGAAAAAATATAAGTGTCAGCCAGATTGGATAGGAAGAAATAGAACTATCTTTATTCACAGGTGCCATGACAATATGTATAAAACTAAAAAAAAAAAAACCCTGCAAAAAAACTATTAGACTGATAAGTACATTAGGCAAAGTTGCCTGATACAACATCCACACACAAAAGTAAGTTCTATTTCTATGTAGTGTCAATGATTTATTTGAAAACAAAGTTAAGAAAACAGTTCTCTTTATAACAGCATAAAAATCACTTACAAATGAATTAAAATAAGGAAATGCAAGACACATAAACTGAAAACTAAAAAATATTTTTGAAAGATATTAAGGAAACCTAAATAAATGGAAAGACATCCTGTGTTCATTATTGATATACTTAATATTATTTAGATAGCAATACACTGCAAATTGATCTATGAATTCAGTCCAATGCCTATCAAAATTCCAAATGCCATTTTGCAAAAAATGGACAAGTTAATTCTGTAATTTATACTGAATTGCAAGTTTTCCCAAATAGTCAACATTTTTGAAAAAGAAAAACAACGTGGAAAGACTCATAGTGCCTGATTTCAAAACTTAAAATAAAGCTACAATAATTAAAACAGTGTGGTACTGGTCTGAGGATAAATAAAGAGATCAGTGGAATGGAATTGACAATCCATGAATAAATCCATATATCTATGGTCAATTGATTTTTGACAAGGGTGCCAAGATTATCAAATGAAAATGTTGGAAAGAATAGTCTTTCCTACCAATAGTACGAGAACAACTGTATGTCCATATTTAAAAGAATGAATTTGGACACTTACCTTACACTATATACCAAAGTTAACTCAAAATGTATCAAAGATTTTGAATTAAAAGCTAAAAATGTAAAACTCTCAGAAGAAAGTATAAATGAAAATTCTCATGACCCTAGATTAGGAAACAGTGTTTTATGTATGATGCTAAAAGCAGCCAAAAAAAAAAAAAAAAAAAAAAGAGACAGAGAGATAAATTGTGCTTCATTAAAATTAAGAAGTCTGTGCATCAAACAATACTATGAAGAAAGTGAAATGGGAGAAAATATTTGCTTGTCATATATTTGATAAGGGTCTAGTGTACAGAATACATAAAGAATCCTTAATTACAAAAATACAAACAACGCTATTTTAAAATGGGCAAATAATTTGAATAAATAATTTCAAAAAATATAAAAATGGCTAATTATATACATGGTAAGATGTTTAAAACCATTAATTATTAGGGAAACAAACCACAATGAGATAGAACTTCATATCCACTAATATGGCTATATTTCTCAAAAATCTGAGAAATAGCAAGTGTTGATGGGGATGTAAAGAAATTGGAAACCTCATGCATTGCTGGTGGCAATGTAAAATGGTACAGCCACTATGAAAAACAGGTTAGTGATTCCTCATAATGTTGGGACACAGAATTACCTTATGACCCAGCAATTCTATTTCTACATATATACCCAAGAGAAATGAAAGCAGTTGTCCAAACAAAAACTTGTACTTGAATGTTCATGCAGCACTATTTATAATAGCCAAACAGTGGAAAGAGCCCAAATGTCCTTTAACTGAGGAATGAATAAACAAAATGATCTATCCATACAGTGGTCTACTATTCAGCTATAAAAAGCAATGAAGTACTGATGTATGCTACAATATAACTGAGCCTCAAAGAAGCCAGCACAGAAGATTACATATTGTATGGTTCCATTTATATAAAATGTCCAGAATAGGCAAATTAATAGAAACAAAAAAATTGATTAGTAGTTGCCAAAGAATATAAGGAAGGATATCTTAGGGTTTCTCAGAGAAACAGGACCAATAGGAGATATATACTTATATAAGTACATATAAATACTTATATAAGTATATATAAATACGTATATGTGTATATAAATACGTATATATAAATACGTATATATGTATATAAATACATATATGTATATAAAATATATATGTTATAAATATATAAATATATATTATATAAAGTAATATATATTAGTTTATATAAGTATATTTATTTATATACTTATTTATATACCTATATACTTATATAAGTATATATTTTATATATTTATACATATGTATATATTCTGTAGTATATTAGATAGGTAGATAGACATAAGATAGATAGATATCTTGTAAAATACATAACATACACACAGGTTGAGCATTCCAAATATGAAAATGTAAAATATGCTCTGAAATAGAAAAATTCTTCAGTGCCACCAAGATGCTCAAAGGAAATGTTCATCAGAGCATTTTGGATTTCAGATTTGCGGATTTGAGATGCTCTGATTCCAAGCATTTTGGGGGATACTCAACCCGTATTGTGTGTGTACACATACATACAATATGTCTAACTGTATCTTATATAATGTATATATATGGGATCTATACATGTTTTTCTCCCTCTGTCTCTCTACATATATACATGGAGAGAGATTATGAGGAATTGGCCATGCAATTATGGAGGCTGAGAACTCCCACGATCTGCCATCTGTGAGCTGAGGACCCAGAAAAGTTGGTGGAGTAGTTCAATTCAAATCTGAAGACCTCGGAATTAGAAGAGACAATGGTGTGAATTTTAGACTGAGGCCTGGAGAAGGCCAATGTTCCAGCTCAAGCAGTCAAGCAGAAAGGGAAGAATTATTTCTTCCTCAGTGTTTTGTTCCATTAAGACCCTCAATAGATCAGCAGATACCTGCTCACATTAGGGAAGCTAATCTGATTTAGTGAGTGCCCTGATTCAAATGCTCATCTCATCCAGAAACACCTTAACAGACACAATCGAAAATAATGGTTAGCCAAATACATGGATGTCCATGGCCCAGTTAAGTTGACACATACAATTAACTATCACAAAGATAGAATGGAGGACAAACTGTTTAATCAATACAGAGTTTCTGTGGGGTAAAAGTGTTATGAAATTACTGGTGATGGTTGCATTTTGAGTACAATTAAAACTATCAATATGTACACTTGAAAATGGTTAAACTGATAAATCTTATGTTAATTTTATCTCAAATTGAAATACTATCAGCCTGTTGCAGTGGCTCACACCTGTAATTCCAGCACTTTGGGAAGCCGAGGTGAGCGGATCACTTGAGGTCAGGAGTTTGAGACCAGCCTGGCGAACGTGGCAAAACCCCGCCTCTACTAAAAATATAGAGATTGGGCTGGACACGGTGGTGCGTGCCTGTAATCCCAGCTCCTTGGGAGGCTGAGGGAGGAGAATTGCTTGAACCCGGGAGGTGGAGGCTGCAGTGAGCCAAGATTGCGCCACTGCACTCCACCCTGAGCAACAGAATGAGACTCTGTCTCAAAAAAAAAAAAAAATTATCTGGGCATGGTGGCACGCACCTGTAATCCCAGCTACTCAGGAGGCTTGAGGCAGGAGAATTCCTTGAACCTGAGAGATGGAGGTTGCAGTGAGCCGAGATCGTGCCACTGCACTCCAGGAAGAAATATATTTTGAAGTGTATTCATCGGTATCACCTTGGTGCTAAAGAATTTACAGTTAGCTCCCCTAGTGAAATTCATATTACTCTACATAATTAGCAACATAGAGAGTTCTGAGAAATAATTAAGCAAAGTCTTGAAGAAATTATGTAGAGTAATATAATTATAATAGTGGAAATGATGTTTTTCTATATAGAGGTAAAACTTACTATCTATGGTAGGATTTGTCGGGGGCGGGGGGTTCAGATTTAGAAAAATTTAGAATCCCATGGAAATAGAGAAAAGTCAAATACCCTGGCAATGTTTGTTCTTAATGCAACTTGAGTGGAATAAGAACGGGACCAAGACACCGGAACTTGGAGAATGCACTGCCAATTGCGTTGTTTTTTACACCAAAAATTACTGGTACCAGGTTGTCTGCCTGGCAAAGTTTTTTTGTGTCCTTGCCCTTCCTTTCTACCTTTCCCTATCATCTTTCCTCATTGATCAGGTGAAAAATTCTTTTTCAATTTACCAACAATAAAAACATCCTGAATTTCACTAGGGGAGCTAACTGTAAATTCTTTAGCACCAAGGTGATACCGATGAATACATTTCAAATATATTTCTACATGGAGGACTTTGCATTTTATCAGGTAGCAGAAGACCTGCAAAGGGTTGGATCTCTGTCAGGGGTATTTTAAACATTTTCTATATGTTTCTTTTAGACTTAGGAATATTTATAAGACCTCTAAGATTTTACCATGTGGGTGTACACCTGCTCTGACCACCTGCAAGGTTAACCCTGTGTCTATTTGGTGCTCAAATCTCCCCTTACCACCTGGAATCTTCCTTCCAACAAAGCTCTGTGATTGAAAATATTCCATCCTGTGCTTCTGTTCTGTTTCTCAATGTAATAGGAAGTTGAGAAGGGCACTGGTGGTGGTTGGGGTTGGTATGGAATCTATCCTGCTCTCCTGGATTTGTCTTTCCACTCCACAAGGACATATTGCTGCCTGGGTTCTTATAGCTCTGTGGCAGATGCCGCGGGCTCCGTCCACTTGGTGCCCAGAACTTGGCAGTGCTGACAGAAACACACAGCAAGGATAAGCTGATGGGCAAAAGTAGCATCTGCCCTTGTCACAGGTAGGAAGGGCTTGCTCTTCATATAGAGGAAAATAGGGCAAACAGGGTGGTGAGGTTATGTGTGAAAGCTAAAATCTGCTCTTTGAGCAACAACCTCCAGAGATAGTTTGTCCTTCCTACAGGGGCTAACATGGACACGTTTCTATGATCTCTAGCATAACACTCAAAAGAGAACGTTTTCTTAGCCAGCATTAGCTAGGGTTGCTCTAGGTGGATCACCATAAAGGAAAGACAGAAATAATTATGTACTTGAGAATAGAATTATTAAGTGAGGGGGGAGGCATGTCTCATTTTTACATTGGCAGTAATAGGAACAAAGTAGATAAAAGTGTAGAAAGAATGAAAGGCAACAGGAGTGGTTCAGTGGAGGGCAGTAGAGAAACTGGTAGCATTAGCATCAAAGGAGAAAACATAGTTCGAGGGGTCAACTATTTGGGAAGCTGAAGACAGGGAGGACACTTACCTTAAAATTAGAAAACCAAAAGGAGCTCAGAGGAAAGGATATTCCAAAACCAAACCAGATATAGCTGCTTGGAATTTTTATTTAATTTAAATAGTGAATTCAGTGAAAAGGTTTTCAAAGTACAAATGAAAAGCCAGAGAATTTAGAAGGCCAGGTGGAGATAAAAGCAGAGAGGCAGCAGGACTTGAAAGGAAAGTTGAATTTTACATCTTCTCCTAAGTTATTTGTGATTTCATTATTTCTAGTTGGGAAATGACTAGAGAATTGTTCTTGCTTATAGTTGTAACCAAGTAGTAATTTATTTCATTTTTAGTACCTCCACTTTCAAAATGACAGGTCCACCCAGACAGGACTTTCCATCAGTATTTGAAGAGGGTGCATTTCTTCTTGTGCAAGAAAATAGAGCTTATCTAATTTTCTTCTGTCCTAGGGGTATGATCTAACATCTAATATTTACTCTGTAGGAAACAAAGTTTCCTTTTTTTTTTTTTAGGTTCACTACTCCCAGGGTAGTGGAAAGATAGTCATTCAGGCAAGTTGGCGCTGGCTAAATAATACCTGATATTTATCTGCATATCAGCAAATCAACCAGTTATTTCTGTTCTGAATAATTTAGAAAAACAAAGCTGGCCTATTGCTTTGAATAGCAGCATTTCTTTCAAAAACAGTCTCTCTAGATAAGCCCATATCTCAGTGCTGTGTTAAAGACTGTCTATACTATAAAGAATCAAATTAGTATCTAATCTTGCACTTGAACCTGCACAAAAAGGTTTTTGTAGAAAAGAAAAACAATGCTGGAGAAAACTATACTTCCTGAGCTTTTCAAAGTCTTTTAATCATAACACAGCTGAGATGCTGCTTCCTGAGTAATGATCCTTTGTTTCAAACAATTACTAAAGTTGTTTTAGTATAAGTTTGATAATAAAATAAATAGGAACCAAAACCAATGTTGAAGCAGATTGCTTGCTAATTCTTCTCTTGGCTGCTCCAATTCTTTAAACCTTGCCTTTGTAAACATACAGAACAGCAAAATAGATTAGACACTGAGAATTGCTAAAGAGCCTTGAGGTCACGGACTCCCACCCTCTCTTTTTACCTATGAGTAAATTGAAGCTTAAAGTGTTAGGTGAATAGCTGTGGGTGGAGAGCTGCTGTGACTAGGTCTCAAGATTATTTTTCTCTGGCTCTCATGTCCTTTTACTCCTGTTTTTGATATCCTTTCAGTGTACATTTCCCCAATCAAAGCACTTGGTGCATGGTTTTATGAGTTCATGTTTAATTGTCATTCACTCTTACTGGGCTAAAATCTCCATGAAGGTAGGAAATAAGATCGCAGGTTCTGCAATACACTATATAGTTAATTTTATAAAGGTTTTCTCTCTCCTCCTTAACTGCAAGCTCTCTGGAGGTAGTCTATCACTTTTATTCCTCTTATATATCCATGCTTACATCCCCCAACTCCTAGTATAACATCTTATACGTGGCAGACATGAAGACTTGTAAATGAAGAAAAATCATGCTCTACAGCTCTTAGGGAATGCATATTTGTGTCCACCTAAAATTCATACATTGCAACCCTAATCCCCAGTGAAATGATATTTGGAAATAGGGCTTTTGGAAGGTGAGGGTGGAGGCCTTGAGGGTAGAGGCCTCATGATGGGATTAGTGCCCTTATTGAGTGGACTCTGGGCTGCCTCATGCTTATGGAATTTTGGGGGAGCAGTTTCTCAAGAAGTGTTTGGTTAAACACTAGTTTCTTGGGATGTTCCCACAAATAAAAGGATTCTGAGATCAAACCATTATGAATATCCTGCTTTTTTAGGCCTTCATTTGGAGATCTCCAAATGTAAAATAGCATTTATTAAAGTCTCCAAATTCACAAGAAACCTATTTATAACAATTCAGTATTTCAAGACCTTCTTAAACAAGAAGACTTTTAAAAACATAACACTTCTTAATATCCTGCAATACCACTTTTGGATAGGCAATACAGAAACACAAACATGAGCCATGAACTGTTCTAGTTAAAGTTCTGAAAAAGAAAGATAGAACATTAGAGAGTAGAACTTAAGGATCCCATTACAATGAACAAATATATATTTTTAAATAATAATTTTGAAAACTCTCATTTCAAAAATTCAAGATTGTTGCCCTCAGACTTGAGTTTAATAAATACATCTACAAAACAATGTTGTAATATACCTCCATTTAACAAGAAGGTCTTATAACTCTTTTAATTTATCTGGATTTTAAAAGCATTTGCTTGACAGATTTTAGATGAGCAGCTAATCTGTCATTTACAGAAGGGATAGTGATGAGTGGGGGCACTGCTTAATTCATTCATATGCTCTTTTATCTGTTGATTTAATTTATTTAGCTCATTCTTTACTAAAAGTATTGACAGCTGGGTAAAATATTCAATCACAATCTTGCAGGTTAAAAAAAAGAGATGTTGATATCAGGCTCAGGACAGCGGGAGAAAGCTGGGATGTTTCTGATCCCAGGAGGAAAGGAAAATGTGATTGACTGATGGTTATCTGACCTATTTTATTCTGAATTGTCATGGATGCCACAATAGTGGTGAAGAGCTTCATGCATGTGACAGGTATTCACCAAAGGTTTTTTCCGCATTGTGTGTAATCATGAACACAATTTCTCATCCACATTGTTTCTGGGTTGAATTTTTGTGAAGGTTGAGATTATTTTAGAATCCTTTGTTAGGGTTGTGATTAAAGCAAATCAGAAGCGAGAACCGTGTTGATATTTTGTATATGGAGAGAAGGCCATTTCATGTTCCCTGGACTTTAAAGGTTTTTTTTAATGTGTTTATTCTATTTTCAATTTTAATTTTAATTTTTTTAAATTTAGTTCTCAGAATTCTTGCTCATTGGCCATGAAGCTATCCAGAGAGTTAACAAGACACTATTTAAACTGTAAAAACTGCTTTTGTTTTTTATTTTGTTGCTTTCGATGGTCATAAAGCTAGGGGTGAAAATATTTGGAATAGCAGTAAGAGGATTCAATTTGTATTCTTATAAAACAATAGTTTGCTTTTTAGTAAAATTGAGAAAAATCACCCATACTAATAATTTTTTTTGGTGTGTGGTCTGATTAATCTTTGCTCTAATGGACACTGTAGAAGAAGAAATGTAGGCTTGCATGGAAATAATATAAAAATAGAGAGATCAATCTAGAGATTTCATAAGTTGAGGTAATCCAAGATTCTATAGCTTTTGTGAAGACTGGTCTTGGATTTTGACTTTTTTCTGAATGAAATTCTTGAAATGTTATCCTCCAGTGGGGATTCCTCCCTCTGAGATATCTATTTGCATGATCTCATGGTCACAAGGTCCCAGGTTAGAACAGCTTTTGCACAAGTGCCAAGTGTCTCAGAGAAGTTGACCCAAAGATCAAATTTAACAGGTGTATATTCATTTAATAAGTACATAATGAGCACCTACTATTAAATTCTGGGTGTTGAGCAGTGAACAAGTGAGACTTGATTTCTGCTCTCATGGAGCTTGTAGAGTAGGGATAGAGATAAGATATAAGCCAATTCAACAAAAAGTACATATGTAATGTCTAATTGTGATAATACCAATAAGTGAAAAGGACAGTATTTTTTGAAGACTAACATAAGAAATCCAAATCAGATGGAGATGAAGTCAGAGATATTGCTTGAGGAAGTGGTATTTAAGCTGAAATCAAAAAGATGAATAGAAGATCATTAAGACAGAAGGTGGTTTAGGGGGTGAGGGTAGAGCCAGAGGAGGGATAAATGTATTTTACACAAAAGAAACAGCACCTGTAAAAGGCCTTGCAGAAAGTGTGTGGAATTTCTGAGGAACTAAGAGAAAGCCAGTGTGACTCAATTTAATGTACAAGGGAGAGGGTAAGTCAAAATGAAGTTGGAGAGAAGAGCAGTGTCAAAATCATCAGGTCTTATGCACCAAGTTATTATGTTGGATTTTAGCCCTAATTGAGTGTTCTTAAATAAGGTGGGGGTTAAAGTTGCATCATTTATGTTTAAAAAAAATAGTGTGGCTATTATATGAAGAATAGATGGTAGAGTGTTAGCAATAGATATGGCAAGATTGGAAGCAAAGAGAATACTGAAAAATTATTGTACTACCCTATGTGAAAAATAGCTGTCACTTGGATTAGAGTGGTGTTAGTGGGGACAAAAATAATTTGCATTTGCCATAATTGTAGAAAAATAATTGAAAGAACTTGATGATTCATTGGTTTGAGAACATAAGGAGCAGAGATTTGCCTAGAATAATTCTGTATTTGTGGCTTATGCAAAGAATGGATAGAGCTGCCATTTACTAAGATGAGGATGATCAAGGGTCAACTTGGGGAGGTAGTAAGTTTGAGATGTCCACGACACTTGAGCAGATATCCAAATGGCTATTTGCAACATAGAAAAGAAATCCGTGCTGAAGATAAAAATTTCAGAGGTAGCATACAAATGCTACTTAAAACCATGGGGAAGATGAGATTACTAAGAAAAAAAGCATAATATATAAGAAAAGAAGGTCCAGGACTTGGACAAGGGGCATCCAACGTTTGGAGGTTAACGAAAGGAGACACCAGTTCTCTGGGTACTATTGCTGTGTAACAAACTACCCCCAAATTAGTGGCATAAAATAATAACAGTCGTTCACTAGTATTATGGCACATTGTTCTGGGAGTTGACTGGACTCAGTGGATGTTTGTTGCTCAGGGTCTCTTTTGTGAATGCCATCAGTCACTGATGAGGCTGGAATAATCTCAGAATCTCATTTTTGCAGATGGTGCTCAAATAGCTGGGGGCTTGACTTGGTGAGGCTCCTCTGGCTTGTCTTCATCTCGAGGTGCTTATTCTTGTTCAGCAATTTCAACATAGGCAGACTTCTCACTCGGCAGCTCAGGGCTCCAAAAATATATTTCTCAAAAAAAGAGAGAGCCAAACTTTAATGACAGAACTTGGAAGCTCTATAGGTGGTTTCACTTATGATCCTATTTGTTAGAAATGAGTTACTAAGGCCAGTCCATATTTAAAGGGTGGGGGTTTAAGTTTCATGTGTTGAAGAGAGGACTGTCAAAGAAGTTATAAACAATGTATAAAATCCTACAATAACCTCAAAAGCACAAGCAACCCAAGGAAAAATGGACAAATGGGACCACATCAAGCTAAAAAGCTTCTGCACAGAAAAGAAAATAATCAACAAGGTGAAGGGACAGCCTACAGAATGGGAGAAAATATTTGCAAATGACCCATCTGACAAGAGATTAGTAACCAGAATATATAAGGAGCTCAAACAACTTAATAGTGAAAAGCCAAGTAATCTGATTTAAAAATAGTCAAAGGATTTGAATAAACATGTCTCAAAAGAAATCATACAATGGCCAACAGGTATATGAAAAAATGCTTATATCACTAATCATCACAGAAATGCAAATCAAAACCACAATGAGATATTATCTCATTCTAGTTAAAATTTCTTTTATCAAAAAGGCAAAAAGTAACAAATTCTGGGGAGAATGTGGAAAAAAGGGAACTCTTGTATACTGTTGATGGGAATGTAAGTTAGTACAGCTACTAAGGAAAATAGTATGAAGGTTCCTAAAAAAAACTAAAAATAGAACTACCATATGATCCAGCAATCCCACTACTGGATACATATCCAAAAAACTAGGCAATCAGTGTATCAAAGAGATATCGGCACTCCTATGTTTATTGTAGAGCTATTCACAGCAGTCAGTAGTCAAGGTATGGAACCAAACTGTGTCCATCAACAGATGAATAGACAAAGCAAATATGGCACATAGACACAATAAAATATTATTCAGTCATAAGAAATAATAAAATCTTGTCACTTGCAACAACATGGATGAAACTGGAGGAAATTATGATATGTGAAATAAGCTGGACACAGAAAGACAAATATCACATGTTCTCACTCATATATGCGGGCTAAAAAAATTGATCTCATGGAGATAGAGAGTAGAATCATGGTTACCAGAGGCTTGGAAGGGTACTGGGGAAGGGGAGATAAAAATGGGTTGGTTAATGAGTACAAAAATACAGTTAGATAGTAAGATAGGATGTGGCATTTTATAGCACAATGGGGTGACTATAGTTAATAATTTATTATATATTTCAAAATAGCTAGAGGAATGAATTTAGAATGTTACCAACATGAAAAAATGATAAATGTTTGAGATGACAATGATAAATGTTTGTAATGATCCTGATTTGATCATTACATACTTTATGCTTGTATCAAAATATCACATGTACCCCATATATTATGTACAACTATTATGTATGCATCAAATTTAAAAATAAAAAAGTTAAAATGAAAATAAACAACCCCTCCACCACAATAACTTAGAAAGAGAAGAGAATATGATTTCCTGGGAGCCAAAGGAATAAGTAGTTTAAGATTTTCTTTACAAAGCTTTTATTTTAGCAATCTACAGTCTTCACCCTCTTCTTTCTGATCTTCCCTTTTGTAGTTTTATAGAGAAATTGACCTGTAGCAAACAATCTGTGTTACCTACTTTAATTCATGATTGAGTATGTAAAAAGAAAGAGAAGAATATGTGCTTTCAAGAAAAGTCAGTCTGAAGCAGAAGTAATTTAATTTATGAAGTTAATATTGTAAACTATTGAGCTAGATCAGGAAGAGATAACTCTGCTTTGAAGATTGTTTGTCCACAACTGAATCAACTTGGTGGTGTCAGTCATTTTTTTTCAAAATGTGTTGATGAAAAGATAATGGAACTGCAGTAAAACATTTGATTACATGTCAGTGTGTGAGTGAGTGAGCACCGCAGAGTCAATCTTCAAGAGGTACTTCACGCACTTGCTAAACCGAACAAACCAGAAAGAATGTTAGCTTCCAGTGGTTGAGAGTTGGAGGCAGCCAACAAACACTTATGGGGCCCCCCGCGTGCAGCCTTTGGACAAAGGTGATAGGGAAATCATCAACCACTGTCCTAGCCTAATCCCTGACTTGGTCCCTTCTCTAAGTTTTGCTTCGTCTAACACTCTACCATGCCCTCTTCTCTTCACCTTCCTCTCCTCCCACAACCAATTTTTTTATTTCTCTAGTTTAAAAAACATGCTGGAACATTATGTGGAGGTTATTGATATTAAATAATTAGTCGAGAGTCAAGAAAATGTCCATTATTGAGCCTTCTTTCTTCTGTTCGTCCATCAGGTTCACTCTTCACCATTTTCCACCCTGCCCTGGGTCCTGGGAGGCTCACTGTCTAGGTTTACATCAGTGGTGGGTTTTGCTTTGCTTTGTCTTCCTCTATGGCTTCAGGAACAGTGCAGGAGCTCTGAGGTGGGGAGGAGAGTGACTGTGGGGTATTGTTTTCTCCTGCACCCCCACGCTGTGCTGAGGGCTGGCCACCTTCATTGACAAAGAAACACAGATCCTCCCAAATCTTCACACAGCCTTCCCTGCCTGTATCAGGGTCCATCAACCACTCCCTCCTGCTGCCCCTTCAGGCCTAGGATTGGGCTCCGGATTCTCACTGTCATTATTTCAGAAGTACTGCAATATTACTTGGTGGTTTCTTTGAATGCCACCCTCACCTTTGTAAATAGTTCTTTGTTAAATTCTCTGTATATTACATAACCTGAGTATGTCTGAAATGACTTCTGAGTTTATGGCTTAAAAAACTAGAAAGACAAAGATTCCATTTACTATGATGAGGAAGATGAAAGGTTGGCTTTGGAATAGACAATGTTGAGTTTAAGATGTCCATGACACCTGAGTAGATATGCAACTCCCGGTTTCAACTTCTCTTCCGTTTCAACTTCTAAATGGGAAGTTGAAACCAGAAAAGAAATCTGTGCTGAAGATAAACATTTCAGAGACATCACACAGATGCACTATGCCAGAATCCTGACTCATACAGGAGGAGGCCAGTGGCTCACCTAGGTGGCAGGCACAGATGGAAGGACAGCTGATGAGGTGCTGAATGTAGTCAAGGCAAACTCTTTGCCAGGCAGCAGAAGGGCCACATTTTTTGTCACTAAACACAGGAGAGGAGAGATGCCAGCTCCAGTGAAGGCTTGAGTGAGGGGTGGCTGCGAGCTGTGATTCAACTCTGGTGTCTTCTAACATTACTAGGTCCAGTTTTTCGGCTGTGTCTGAGCTTTTCCGCAGTTAGATCTCTGCCCTCCCACCTGCGCCTTATCTCCCAAACTCCCCTTCTGTAAACCAGATCATTCCCTGGTCCATTTTTCTAGATCCCCCCTGAAGTCTCATTGTGGTTTATCCCCTTCTACTTTCCTTTGGAATCTTCTTTTTCTCTTGCTATTGCTTAATAGACTTTGATGGACCATTAAACTCAAAGCACAAATCATTAGCCACTGAAAACTCACTCTCTTCCCAAAGCCTCCCTGGGGAGAAAATATTTACATTTCATCCTTTTAGTGCAGCAAAGAAAGAGAAAAAAACGAGGGACCCTACTCCACTAAACACCCTAGACGAAAATGGAGGATATGATCAGGACCCTTGAGGTTTTACAATCTGATGAAGCTGGAAGAGATTTGTTGGTGACATAAAAATATAAAGCTCCCAGTGAAATTGTAGCATGAGTAAGTTCATGTATAAAAATCTACCTGAGAAAGAAAATTATAGATATTGAATCAGTTAAACTAGGAAGCTTTTAAGGAGCAAGAAAATTCTGGATGACAATTGAAGAACAAGAAAAATGTGAATCATAAGAAAAGAGGTTATCCCTGGTAGTGGAGAAAATAAGGAGTGTTTGAATGCACAAATAGAAACAAGAAAGCTGTGTTTTGAATACCCAAGCAGATTTTTTTTGCATAAATGGTGATGAGGAGCAGCAGAACCAAGAAATGAAGAAAATTTAAAGCTAAGAATTTATATCTCAGGCCCAGGATTTCTTGGTAATTATCATCAGTAACTCCTGTAAAAATTTAACAGGGCTTTCAACTTTCCTGTCATGACCTGTAGATGTAGATAACTTTGACTCATCTGACTCCTCATCTTGAATCTGCAGGAAATCCTATGTTGATAAAAGAGCAAAGATGAGAAAACACGGCAGCCCCTGGTCAAATCTTCTGGCCTAAGACATTCAATCAGCTTCACAGCTAGACCATGAAGAAAGAGTTCATTCTCATCAGAAAAGTACCAAGCCAAGAATAGCTTATGGAGCATTGGAGAATACCTACAGAGGACACACTTATTACAAAAAGATAAAGATTTGGCTTGGTGAGATTTAATCAATGGTGCTCCGGACAAGAGAGGTACCCCTCTAGATTGGGAGGATTCTTGGATTGGGAACTGAATAAAAAGGATTCTTTTTTACATGAAGCCATCAATATCACATCACAATACTTATTATTTTATAAATTATCATAACCAAATTTTAATCTTGGAATTCTGTCATGTCTTCATAAAACATAAGTATCTGACAAGTCAACAAGAAATTAAGTAAGAAAGTGCAATTGGACCATCTCTCTGGTTGAGTGAATTAATCTGTGTGTGAATGATGTGCATAAAGACTGCAGTCCAAGAGAGGGATGACATGTGGCCTTGTGCTGACCTAGGCTCCGATGATAGCAGAAAAGCACCATCATCATTTTAAACTTGGAACCCTGTTTATTTTTTCCCCTGTAAAACAGGCACTCATTATGTAATAGCATTGTGTTTTCTTTTAGCTCAGAAACAAAATGCAGCTTGAAGAAAACATTTTCCCTTGCAAATGTGATACAAGCTAATTTCTGATTTTTCTGATTATTGAATTGCAGATATTAACAATGAAAACACATAAAGGGGAAGTAAGCCCATCTGTTGGTCAGAGAAGAATGGGAAAATAAGTAGAGGGTTTAATAAAAATATAAAGGGAAAATTATAAATAAATTAAATTTAAACTGCACTGCACTGCAAACACACTGAGCAAAGAGGGCACTGATACTTCACTATCAAATTCAAATGTCTAAGGGTTACATGGACTAGAGTGTCTTCCCAGTTGTTCTAGCTATAAATGAAAAACACATTAATAACTACTACACAAAGAAAAATTAGTAATAAAAATTGACTACAACCTCCATAACACCCAAATGAATTGCAATTAATTACTTCATTAAAAAGTAAATAAATAAATAAAAAGCTTGCAGGAAGGTATGCCAAGTCTCAAGAAAATGAGTTGTAATATTCTTGGTTAATTACTGCACTTTCCAGTATCTTTCCAGCATCATATATTTCCTTGGTGCCACTTGTGTAAAAAGTATTCTTTAAGAATTTTGAGGATCAATTAAAATGATGTCCCATGTCATTGGAAGTTAGAGGACAAATTGAGAAAAAAGAACCTAAAAAAAAAACCCTCAATAAAACAAGGACCTATTCATCAGATGATTAGGTGATTGTCTTCTATGTATATTCTGGCAGTTGCCAGCCTGTTTCAGTTGTGGCTTTGGTGAAGAAATGATGTGAACTAAAGACCGCAAGTGCCATGAGACCCAGCATCTGAGAATCCATGGTCAAAGAATTTAAGTCAAATCTAGATTAAACATGCAATGTCAACAATTTTGCTTGTTTGTTGTACTACAGATCTTCATGGATCTGATCTTCTCCTATGCAACAGTACGTTGTGATGTCTAAGAAGGGACAATGTCATAGAGCATTTTCTGATCATATTTAAAGATAGGACCCTTTTTTAAAAATGAACCTATCACTAGTCTTGTCAGATACTATTTTTGTTTCACAAGATATCTCATAATCTTTCATGGGAAATACTTTGGGAAGTTAATAATGTGAAAACACTATGATCATGAGCAAAAAAATCATTAAATACATCTTGGACTAACCATGCAGACCTGGAGTTTACTCTGCTATACACTAGTCAAGGATCTGGCTCAAATATTAAAAAAATGAAGACAAAATTTCTTTCTGCCTGTGTGTGCAGTAACCTTATCACTTTTAGTGAGCAAGTAGAGAAGTAAGGACCCAGAAATAAAGGTGTGGTTAGAGAAACTGTGGTCAGGGGTCATTCTAGCTTCAACTCCTAGCCCAGCAAATAGTATATATTTTTAAATGACTGATAATCTCCTATGGAAGATGGAATTTCTGCCCCAAGGAGCTAATAATAAACTTGGGGAGACCTATAAGAAATTCAGCAAATACATCCACTGGGATAATGTGGCTAAACACAAGGTTCTGAGAAAGGGATTGAGAGAAGATATAAACTTGTTTTGGAACAGGTGGGGACTGAAAGTTTGCTCAAGGAAGCTTTCCAAATAAGTAGTCATAGAGAAAGCTGAATCCTGAGGGGTGAGTGTGAAACAACCAAAACCATTTTGGGAAGAAGGATACTTTATACAGAAGGATTTAAATACTCATGAAAGTATGGGCAATTGAAGAAGACCCCAAACCTACTGAGAACCTAGTACTCAGATAGGTTGAAAATCATTAATTATCAACCTATGCTGAGTAAATGAAAAAGATCTTATCTAAGAATGAGGTGATATATTTCAGTTCTAATGGACCTATTGACTGACTGAATCTAAGTTCATGAAAATACTTGAAACTAGTTTCCTTGTCTCTCTACTGATGGTTAATTATAAGACTAGATGACCTTGGAAGCTGACTTCAGCTATAACAATAATATAAAATAAAGCAATATTAGTTTGTGTAACTAACTTTGTTAGTTACATAAACTAACAGAGGAAACTGAGACCCACTGAATTTAAATGACTTTCTCAAAGCCTCACAATAGTAAAGACAGAAGTGGGACTCAAAAACAGGCAGCCTGGCTTCAGAGTTTGCACTCTTAACCACAGCATAAACTGTCTCCCAATATAGAAAATAAAGATAATAAAAATTATCAGATTTCTATTATTTTCTTTAAATCATAAGAGAGGGAAACAATAACAAGAAAGAGAAACAACATAAGTAAACTCCTTAAAATATAGCATATTTAGTTCAAAACTTTTTTTAATAGTGAAGAATTATGAGGCTACACAGTACTAAATAAATAGGTAAATATATTCTATTTACACTGAAATATACTCTAATCACTTAAGAAAATGATACTGTGTGGTAATCCACGTCTATTATTTCTAGAGATTCAAGTTAACATTCCAGCTAAGTTCCACATAGAAGTTGTAGAATTGGGCCATGCGCGGTGGCTCAAGCCTGTTATCCCAGCACTTTGGGAGGCAAAGGCTGGTGGATCAGCTGAGGTCAGGAGTTTGAGACCAGCCTGGCCAACATGGTAAAACCCCGTCTCTACTAATAATACAAAAATTAGCTGGGCGTGGTGGTACATGCCTGTAATCCCAGCTACTCTGGAGGCTGAGGCAGGAGAATCGCTTGAATCCATGAGGATGAGGTTGCAGTGAGCGGAGATCGCGCCATTGCACTCCAGCCTGGGCGACAAGAGCAAAACGCCATCTAAAAAAAAAAAAAAAAAAAAAAAAAAAAAATGAGGTTGCAGAATTAGTCACAGTTGACAGAAACAGTGGAACAAAGACAGAAAGATAAGCTAATTCCAAATTAACTTTGTGATGCAAATGTTAAATTAACCTACCCTGCAGCCTTATTGCTATGCTGTCTTTGAGGTTTGTAACAAAAGATGTCTTTGAGAATCCAGTTATCATAATCTTTTTTGTTCTTTAGTAACCAAGTCTTCATGCCTGAGTTTCAAGATATATGCGTCTGTTTATCAAGAGTGTTATAGTCAAATTTCATTATTCTTAAGCCAATTCTTCAAATATTCCTTTAAATTAACTTTATTCTTGATATGAGGTGTTTTTATATATTTTAATGGCTAAATATATAATCAAAAGCATCACAAAACAACACAATGAATAATGAGCCTTGGATTACCCAGTCATCTATGAGAAGCATCTATCTGTAAGAAATAGTATTTTAAAATTTTTAAAATAGAAATATTTCTTTCTTTGCAAAGAAAGGGCATTTCTGGGGAGACCATATAGAGTGGAAAAAACCTGGGTCTTAAAAGAAACTGCATATCTCTCACTTGCATAGGACAAATTATTTAGCTCTGCTGTGCCTCCATTTTCTCATCTGTAAAATGGAAACAAGAGTACTTACTTTGTGGGTAGGGATTGGGAGGAAGGAGAGAATCAGAAAGAATAGCTAGAAGATGCTGGTCTTAATACCTGGGTGACGGGTTGATCTGTGCAGCAAACCACCATGGCACACATTCACCTATGTAACAAACCTGCACATCCCGCATACGTAGCTCTGAACTTAAAATAAAAGTTGGAAAAATCTAAACAAAACTATGGGGTTGGAAGGAAGGGAACAGAACATAAAACATACATTAAAAGTCTAATAAATATATGCAGCTTTATAAAGGAAGCAAATTCTGACACATGCTACCACATGAATGAACCTTGAGGACACTATGCTAAGTAAAAACCAAAAAAGAAAAAAAAAAGTACTAACTTTGCAATATTGAAAGACTAAATGTAAACAGTAATGTGGTAAGGACATATAAATCCTATAACATACTTTCTGGCACATAAACATGGTTCAATTAAAGTTATTATATTACCATTGATATTATTAAAAGGATTATTAGAATTTATGACCAAATCTCAATCTCCTATAAAATGTATATTTTGACTTTTAGTGATTTATCTCATCATTTGAAAAATATATTTTTTACATGAAAATTAGAGATATTTGATGCCAATCCAAGTTATCTAATTCTGTTATCCATTTGTTTAGAGGGACATACTGATTCAATTCACAAAATTAATGTTGAGTTCCACTGTTGGTTAAAAAAAGAGACCTACTTAAAAAACAAAATGAGAAAAAATGAATAAAGATGTTGATGAGAACCATTTGAGAATTTTCAGTTCACCGTTGACAGTAAATATGCTGTAGCTTCTTTGTTGTAGATGAAATAAAATAGTCCCTATTGAGTAATGGAACTTAGTTTCTGTCTTGAAGGAATAATTACAGAATAATAATGGGACCACTGAGAAATTTATGAGAACAAAATACGTGTCTTTACTGTAATACCAAGATATGATGAAGTAAAGAAAGCCAATGGACCCATCTCAAAGCCACTTGAAAGTGTTAATGTCTCCCAAATGTCAAAACAACACAATTTAGTTAAAAAATAGTCAAATTCCTTGACTGTGTGTTAACAAAACACATAAAATATATGCTTAAAAGACCAAAGTGTTTATTTTTAACCAGTTTCTTTGAAGTCTTACAAAGAATTCCAAGGTATTACCTTATTGTGTCCCTAGTGCCAGGGCCAGCAATATGGCATGAAAACAGCACAGTCACATAAGGCCCTGTCCTAAGAAGGGTCCCATGGTTGAGGTTTAATGCTTTGTGACTGTCATCTTAAAATTTCTTAACAATTTTATCTTTGAAATCATTTGTGTTTGTAATTAAGTCTTATGGGACAATGAAGCATGTGTCACAGGGTTGGAGCCTAGCTCACACATAATTTTGCCTCCTTCCTGCCTCCCTGATGTGCATTCTAGACTGCCCACTCCACCATCCCTGGCACTCTGGGAACTATCTAACCTCCTCCTTGATGCCCCTGCCCATGGTAGGTGCCTGTGTGCAGGAAGAGTTGGAATTAGATGTATGGGCTCCTGTGTCTTAGAGAAGCATGGTGGCAGCTATCTCAGTTTAAGGCTGGGAGCACCGTAGCACACTCGCAGATGACTACCAAACCCCTCATCCACACTTGAAGCAGGTACCAAGCATACCCTGAAACAGAAGCTATAGTTTATTGGGGTGAACTGTCCACTGTGAGCTGTAGCAGTTGTCCTGTGGGAAGGGGAGATGACTACGAAGTGGAGTATCCCATTGCCTGAGGGAGCATGACACTAAATAGCAAATGAAATAAACGAGGACTGGCCAAGTAAGTAAAAGAAAAGGATTGTATGTGTCAGTACCTTGAATGAGATTTCCCCCTGCTTTTTGAATAAGCAGTTTGACATTTTCATTTTTCACTGTGATTTACACATCGTATAACCAGCCCTTCCTACTGCCCACTATGCCGTGCATGCAGTAGGTACTTAGTACATATTTACTTAAAGGATGAGAAATATACTCTTCACTAAAGAGACTGCCATTGTTAATCTTGACAATTTTCACTTATCAAGTAATAAAAAATTACCTTATATTTCATGACGAAGGAGGATGCATCCTGTTAGTAACAAAGGAGAGGAGAGTGATAGTGGCTACTGTCATATTTTTGGCTCATTAGAGAACCTCAACAGAGTTATTGTTCTTCTCTTTGCATAAGTCATAGAAAAAAAGTCAAAATTCAGGATTATGTAATGTCCAAATTCAGCACCTTTGACTCTTGCTTCATTGCAAGAGCATTAAGGAGCCCAAGGTATGGAGCTCAAAACATCTTTTTTTTCAAATAATTTAGCTTTATCCCCATTTTAAGACTGATTTTTGTACGAGATTTCCTTTGAAAAAAAAGTTTAAAAATTACTACCAGAAGAGGAAGCCTGGAGACTTCTAATTATGGGAAGATGAAGTGGACATGATTTAATTCATTTCTTCTTAGTAAGTCTAAAAATCCCTGAACATTATATATATATATATATTATATATTTTATACATATAATATATATAATATATAATATATATAATATATAATATATATAATATATAATATATATAATATATAATATATATACTATATTATATTATATTTATAATATATAATATATATACTATATTATATTATATTTATAATATATAATATATATAAAATATATAATATATATATACACACACATATATTTAAAAAATAATGAGGACCTTGAAAGGTGGAGACAAGAAGGGACCACCCAGTGACCATGAGACCTAGAAATGACACTATAGCAAGTTCTCTGCATTTTCCTTTGGCCTCATATGTTCCAGACTTGATGCTGAAAAAGTTGTCAACTCAGAAATGCTAACACTTATACACCAAAAATAAAAGAAAACAAAATAAGAAAGCCCCAAGAAAAGCATGTTATATATAGCCAAACACCAGGAAAGGGGCAACCTACCAAAACAGGACCCTATTAAACAGTAATCATTCTGCTGTAGCCAAACACAACAGAAAAAAACTGTGGTCCCACCCCCAACTATACCACCTAGATCTGAGTGGGAAGCCTAAAATTCCACACTCATGAGGCTGTAACAACGTGCCCCAGTTGCTACCAGGCTGGTATCAGAAAAAGCCAAGAAGGTAGCTAGGACTTTCATCCATCTGCTAATAACCAGTCCCCCCGACCAATCCCTTACCCAATGCCATACAAAACAAAATGAGGATCTTGAACTTCCATCTCCAGTCAGAAATAATGAGATACCCATCCTCTTCATTGCTGGGGTGCTGTCAGAGGAAGCTCAGTGAGGGGTCAGGACCTTCAATATCAGCAAGCAGTAATGAGGCTACCCCATTGTGGTGTCTGTGGAAGCCATGTGGGGAGCTGGAAATCTCACCCTTGCCCAGCAGCAATAACCCCCTCTATATTTTTTGTTTATTTTCTCAAACGTTGTCCAGATTAGGAAATTTGTATCATTCCATCTTCTGTTTCATTAATTTCTTCTTTCTTCTGTTGATTTCATAAGTCAACAGAAGCTGAGTGCCACTAATGAGATAGCCCTTCCCTTCCCCTAACAAAGCAAGATCGTGGAAGACCAGTTAAACAAAGTTTTAAATAGGATCCAAAGTCTCATATAATACAAAAATGTATAATAAAAAATCAATAGAAAATCACTTCCATACTTAGATATAAGAAGATCTCAAACTGTTTAAAAAAAGGCAATCAATAGATGTCAACACTGAGATGGTAGACGTTAGAATGATTTGACAAAGAATTTTAAGGCAGCCATGATACAAATGTTTTAATCAGCAATTACAAACATGCTTCAAACACATGAAAAAAATAAGAAGCCTCAGCAAAGTTATAGAAAGCCTCAGCAAAGACATAGAAAATATAAAGCAGAACCAAATGGAAATTTGAGAACTGAAAAATACAATAACTGGCATAAAATGCTCAATAAATGTGCCAATAGCAGAATGTGGGAGACAGAAAAGAATCAATGAAATCAACGAAACAGAAGATGGAGTGATACAAATTACCTAATCTGGACAATAGTTGAGAAAATAAACAAAAGAATAAATAAATAAACAGAACCTCAGTAACTTGTGGAGTATAACAAAATATATAACATTCCTATCATCAGAGTCACATAAGAAGTGAAGAACAAAATAGGGTAAAACCCTAAATATTTATTCCAAGACACTGAGTATTTACATTTCTGAAAACTAAAAACAAGGAAAAATTTGAAAACAGCTGGAGAAAAAAATACCATATAAATATAGGTGGAAAACAATTTGAATGACACAGAGGATAACTCATCAGAAAGCATTGAGGCCAGAATAAAATGCGTAATATATTTTAAGTGTTGACAAAGCAGAACTATCAAGCTAGAATTACATACCCAGTAAAAATATTCTTCAGCAATAAATGAAAAATTAACACATTCTTGGATGACGGAAAACTAAGAGAATCTATTATCTGTAGATCTACCTTAAAAGAATGACTAAAAGAAGTTCTATGAACATAAGGAAAATGATTTTTTAACAAAGTAACCTTAGAATATCTGAGGAAAGAAAGAACATGATAAACAAAAATATGGGTAAACTGAATGTGTTTTCTTCTCTGGAGGTTTCAAAATAATGTTTTAAAGTTGAAGCAAAAATTATAACGTTGTCTAGTGTGTTTCTAAGGACACATACAGAAAATATTTAAGACAATAATATTGTATACGGGTCAAGGTAAAGGGATGTAAAGGGAGTTAAGGTTTCTATCCTCTATTCAAATCTCTATAATGATAACAATAACCTGTGTATTTAGTGGTTGCTATAAAAAAAAGACATTCAAAAACATTATCAGTAAATCAAAATGGAATTTTAATAAATGTACGAGCAACTCACAGGAATGAATAAAAGAAAAATAATAAAATAAATAGAACAAGAAAAGCAAAAGAAAAAGAAAATTGTTGGCTTTAAACCTTAACTTAAATATTAAATGTGAATGACCTAAATAAACCAATTAAAAGACAGAGATTGGAAGAATGGCTAAGAAAACATTACCAAATACATGCTATTTATCATAATCTCACCTCAAATATGATTATATAGGCAGGTCAGATGGAAAAAATATCATGCAAATATTAATCCAAGAAAAGCAGGGGTGGCTTTATTACTATCAGATGAAGTAGAGTTCAGAAAAAGAAAATTACCAGAGACAGAGAGAGGTGCAATGTAGTAATAAAATGGTGAATTTACCAAGACAACATAGCAATTCTAAACATGTATATACCAACAATAGAGTAGCAAAATATGCAAAGCAAAAGTTGATAGAATTGAAAGGGGAAATAGACAAATCCACAACTATGTAGAAAGATTTTAATACCTCTCTGTCAACAATTAAGAGAACAGCTAGACAGGAAATCAGCAAGGATATAGAAGAACTCATCAGCACTACCATCCTGTAGGATCTATTCAATATTTATAGTACACTCCACCCAACAGAAACAGAATGCACATTCTTTTCAAGTTTTCTCAGAACTTATATGAAAATAAACTATATCCCGGGCCATCAAGTGAATCTTTACAAATTTCCACCCCAAGGGCATCAAATTAGAAATCAATAAGAAAAATAACAGGAAAATCTCCAAGCACATGCAAACTAAACTATACATTTTAAATAATGTATTGGTCAAAGAGGAACTCTCAAGGAAAACAAAATACATAGAACTGAATAAAAATAACAATACAATATATCAAAATTTGTAAAACACAACCAAAACAGTGCTGACAGAGAAATTTATCACACATAATGAATACATTAGAAAATAGGAAAGCTCTCAAAGCAATAATCTTAACATTCAGATCAAGAACCTGGGAAATGAAGAGTGAAATAAACCCAAAGCAAGTAGAAGAAATGCAATAATAAATTATAGAAATCAATACAATTTAAAACTGATAATATAGATTAAATAAATGAAACTGAAATCTAGTTCTTTTAAAAATCAATAAAACGACTCTTGGAAAACTGACAAGGAAAAGAAATAAGACACAAATTACCAATAACATAAATAAAATAGAAGGTATTGCTATAAGCGCTGTAGAGCTTAAAAGAAAAATATGAGATTACAAAGAACGTCTCCACACACATAAATTTAACAACTTAGATGAAATAGACCAATTTCACAATAAACACAATCTATCACAACTGACTCCATATGAAATCAATAATTTGAATAGCACTGGAACTTTTTAAAAAAGAAAACTATAGACTAATATAAGTGTAAAAATTCTTAACAAATATTATAAAATAGTATACAGCAATATATTAAGAAATTATACAACACGACTAAGTGCAGTTTTTAATTTTTCCTACCCTAGGGGTGTAAAGTTAGTTGGAAGTTCAAAACCTATCAATGTAATCCCACCATATCTACAGGCTAAAGTTGAAAAATTAAATGACCATATTAATTAATGGAGAAAAACATTTGAAAAGTTCAACATTCACTTATGATTAAAGATTCTGAGAAAAATTGGAATAGAAAGGAATTTCCTCAAATTAATAAAGCTTATCTACAAACTTACAGATAACTTTACATATAATGGAGAAAAATAATGTTTTCTCAAAAATGGGGGGAAAGCAAGGATATCTGCTCTTACCATTTTTATTCCACAGAGTGTTGGAAATTTTAGCCTGTGCAATAAGGTAAGAAAAGCAAAGAAAATGCATGCAGACAAGAAGGGAAGAAATAAAGCTGTTCTTATTTTTAGATGACATAATTGTCTATATGAAAAATCCTCAGGAATTTTCAAAAAAAATTCCTAGAACTCAGAAGCAAGCTCAGCAAGGTGGCAGGACCCAAGATAAGCAAAAATTAATTTTATTTTTAAATGCTAGCAATAAACACAAATAAAATTTTAAAATATAGTACAAGTTAAAACTGCTCAAAGTAAATGCAATACTTAGGTATAAATCTGGCAAAGCTCATATGGACTTATATCTAGAACACCTGGACCAGGTGATTAAAGAAATCGAAACTTAAATGGAGAGATATACTGTGTTTATGGCTTGGAAGACTTAGCATATAAAGATGTCAATTTTCCCTTAAATTAACATACAGTTTTAACACTAACATTACCAAAATCCCAGAACGATTTTTTTGTAGATATAGATGGGCAAAGAAACTAAATAGCTAAACAGTTTCATGAAGAAGGAGGAGGAGAGAATAAGTCTCTTTGATTTCTTTACAATAATCAAGATTGTGTGGTTTGGTAAAGGGAAAGACACATAGATTAATGAAAAAGAAGAGATAAAGCAAAAATACACCATCCAGATTTGACCAACTGAGTGTTTTTGTTTTTGTTTTTGTTTGAGACAGAGTCTTGCTCTGTCACTCAGGCTGGAGTGCAGTGGTGCGATCACGGTTCACTGCAAGCTCTGCCTCCTGAGTTCATGCCATTCTCCTGCCTCAGCCTCCTCATTAGCCGGGACTATGGGGGCCCACGACCACGCCTGGCTAATTTTTTTTTATTTTTTTTATTTTTAGTAGAGATGGGGTTTCACCGTGTTAGCCAGGATGGTCTCGATCTCCTGACCTCATGATCCGCCTGCTTCGGCCTCCCAAAGTGCTGGGATTACAGGCATGAGCCACCGCGCCCGGCCCCAAATGAGTTTTGACAAAGGAACTAAAAGTTCACCATTTTGACAAGGTGCAAGTTTTGAGTTTGACAAAGGTTCAAAAGCAATTTAATGCAGGAAGGATATCCTTTTTAGCAAATGGTGCTGAAGCAATTGCCCATTCATCAAAATAAGAGAAAAAAAGAAAGAGAAAAACAAAAAGAGAAATTAAAAGAAAAAGAATCTCAACCAAATTCTCTCAGCTTATACGAAAATGTCACTCAAAAATAACTTAATGTAAGTGCCCACCAACAGATGAATGGATAAAGAAAGATGTGGTACATATATACAATGGAGTACTACTCAGCCATAAGAAGAATGAGATTCAGTCATTTGCAAAAACATGAATGGAACTGGAGATCATTAAGTTAAGTGAAATAAGCCAGGCACAGAAAGACAAACATTGTATGTTCTCGCTTATTTGTGGGATCTAAAAATCAAAACAATTAAACTCATGGAAATAGAGAGTAGAAGGATGACTACCAAAGGCTGGGAAGTGTAGTCAGGGGTTGCAGGGAGTGGTGAAGGGGATGCGGGGATGGTTAATGGGTACAAAAAAATAGCACAAATGAATAGGGCCTAGTATTTGATAGCACAACAGGGTAACTACAGTCAATAATAATTTATACATTAAAAGTAGCTAAAAGAGTATAACTGTTTGCAATACAAAGGATAAATGCTTCAGGAGAAGGACACCCCATATGCCATTATATGATTGTTATGTACTTCATACCTATATCAAAACATCTCATGTACCCCATAAATATATATACCTACTATGTACCCAAAATAACTAAAAATTAAAAATAAAAAACTCAATGTGCATCACAAATTTACATGTAAAATATATAACTGTAAAACTTTTAGAAAAAAAAAAGGAAAAGTGTTGGGATCTAGGCCTAGACAAAAAAATTGTCAGATTTGACACACATGGCACACAATACATAAAAGGAAAAAAATGATAAAGTAGACTTAATCAAAATTCAAAACTTTTGCTCTGCAAAATACCCTGTTAAAACGATGAAGAAATAAGCTACATGATGGGAGAAAAATATCTGTGACCCATATATCTGACAAAGGATAATATATAGAATATATAAAGAATGCTCAATTTCTTCAATAAGAAAGCAAACAATCCATTGAAAACATGGACAAAAGATATAAAAAGACATTTCACTGAAGAAAGTATACAGATACAAAATACATAATTAGTAGGTATTATTAGAAATTATGGAGATGCAAATTAAAACTACAAATAGATACCATTACACTATCAGAATGACTAAAATAAAAAAATAGTCACAGCACCAAATGATGGTCAGGATGCAGAGGAACTGGATTACTCATATTTTATTGGTGGGTACTGATGGGAATATAAAACAGTAGAGTCACATCGGAAAATAGTTTGGCAGTTTCTTAAAAAAGTAAACATGCACATAACATATGACCAAACAATTACACTCTTGAACTTTTATACCCAATAAATGAAGACTTGTGTGCACACAAACAGCTGTTCACAAATGTTTATTTTGTAATGTTTATTCATAATAGCCCTAAACTGGAAACAACCCAGTTGTCCTTCTGTGGGCAAGTAGTAAACAAACTGTGCTACATCTACACCAAGAAATACTATTTACCTATAAAAAGGACTGAACTATTGAAGTAGGCATCTGCTTAGAGGAATCTTTACAGAGTGTGCTTAATGAAAAAGAAATGCAGTCCCCAGTGGTAAAATAGCCTATGATTCGAGTTATCTAACATTCATGAAAGGCAAAGTGACACAAACGGAGGAGACGTTTCCAGGGGCTAAGGAGGGGTAAGAGGGAAGGGACTGTGGCTGTAAAAGGGCAACAAGAGGGATCCCTGTAGTGAGGAAATGTTCTGTATCTGTATTGTGTCAGTGTCAATCTTCTGGGTATAATATGCTATAGCTTTGCAGAATGTAGTCATTGGGGGAAATGGGATAATGCGTATATGGGATGTGTCTGTATAATTTCTTACAACTGCATGTGAATCTACAATTCTCTACATAAATTCTTTAATTAAAAAAGCTTTTAAAAATCATAAATTTGTGAACATTTAAGAAGGACTCATAGCAACTGCATAAAATAGATTACGCTTTTTAAATAATTAGGTTCATGAATAGCTCAAGAACTTAGCAAAGGTAAAAGCTTACCACCTATATTTTTTAGAAGTCCTTTCTGTCTTGAATAGCATCTAGCAGACTAAAGTGAAAAATGGAGTAACATAATTAGAAAAACTTTAATAGAAAATTGTAAAGGATTTATATTTAGTATTTCCCAACAAAACAATGAAACTGGGAAGCTTTGTTTCAGTTGAAATCATTACAAAATTGCCACAAATAGGAATGTACCAAAAATTGGAGTGATGGAAAACCTGAAGAGGAATTCATTGAGCAATCTGCTATAGTCATGAAAGTGTTAATGCACATTTCTAAAAATCCCAGTCCACATGCTTATGTACTTCCCAGGAACCTTTGCATTCTAGCTTTTTAATATATGCCTTGGGTGTTTATTAATAGGCACTTTGGAAAATCATTTAGGCCACTGGCTTCCTTCCTCTTAGTGTGGGGAAATAGTAATTTACTAAATAGCAACTCATTAATGTGAAAGAGTTAATGGAAAGACTATGTTATGCATTTTGATAATCTACTTCAGTAAATATAACTACATAATGATGATTATTTAGAAATATAAGTAGTAAAAGTAAATCTAAATAAAGGCATTATTTATAAAGTTAGGGCCAGTCATATTTTCCCCTGTATTGGTAGGATAAAAGTGATTTTTTTAGTTGTTTTAATTCTAAACTGTTGGTAATTTCGAATGAAGAAGAAAAATAAATCATTTCTGGGGAAGTCCAGAGAAAGAAGCTTGGAATAAGGATGATTATGGCAAGTTCTTTATCCTTGAAATTTTTCTGTGTTATCTAAACTGTTGGTAATTTCGAATGAAGAAGAAAAATAAATCATTTCTGGGGAAGTCCAGAGAAAGAAGCTTGGAATAAGGATGATTATGGCAAGTTCTTTATCCTTGAAATTTTTCTGTGTTATCAAGTGATCTACTTTCCCTCTCCTTTTACTTTTTTCACAAGGCAAAGCCTTCCAGCCAGTTCAATGGTGGGAGTCTCCCCCTGCTCTTCCTGCACAATCATTTCCCATTGAGGAAGAATGTGAAAATGACGCACAGGTGAGGGAGGCATACTATAAGACCGCTTCTTACCTTTCGTTTCCTGGAGCCAATATGAATGAAGACCCAGAGAGAGGAGAAGGGAAAGAGAAGCTGCCAAAAACAGACAATGGGAGAAAAGAAGTGAGCACCAAGAGCATCCTGGGATGAAAATGAGGAAGGCTGGAGATTTGTCATTGTCAGTGTTGTCATTTTCTGTCGTATTTTAAATCTGAGAGCTTTTATGGTAGGAGTATATGTGCTGTTTTATAATAGCTTAGAGAAAATTTTTCATTGGATGTTTTAGTCCATTCATTCCTTAGCACTTACAAAAGTCACAGGCAAAAATCAAACGTGCAAGCAAATCCCAAACTCTCTACATGTAAAGTGGTGAATTCTAATTATTTTTCAAATTTGTTCAGTTGTTATAGTTATGCCATTGCTGTGTATTTGTATTTATCTTTTTTATTAAATACATATTCACTAATCTGCCTGATTTGTGATTGTTTTATTTAGTTTTCTTTACTCCTTGTTTGTACTTTGGGCCTGAGGTTTTAGAAGATGATCTGACAAAAGTGTATTTCAATCTGGGAGAAGTGATCATTGCTCAATAACCATGATTGATCATTGATCATTAACCATGGATTAGCCATGGGATGATTTGTCCTAGAGGATGAGGTTTTAGCCCCTGTCATTGTCACTCTATCTTATGTGGGGCTTAGAATCTCATCAAATTTTTCTTTGATGCTTCTTGGCTACCATTATCCATTTGCTCAGAATGTGTCAGTCCCAGCCCAGTGATGCCTAACCAGGAGCATTATTGGGTCACTGCACATAGTTTTGTGATTAATTCATTTAAAAATAAACTGTCCTTGAATTATGCTGAGTCGTGTCATCCGTTTCCTGAAGAAATCCTGGTTGATACACCTAGTCAATAATTAGGTGTGAGACCAGCCTCTAAAAAGGCATTCTAGTTGGATACTTTACAGATACTGGATTTCCAGTGCCTGTGCTCCACTGGTCCCTTGGATTAAGGAAAACTGGTAGAGATACTTTTCAAAGAAAACAAAAGGAACATATTTGCTTCCCTGAAGGGTCCCTGGGGAAGGCAGATAGGTCTGGTGGGGATTTGCAACATTCTGCATAATGCTGTCTGCCTCTGTCTCTAAGAGGGCCTAGCACGTAGTCCATGCCAGATGTATTCTGTATTCTCCAGATCCATTTTTCTTCCTTTTGCACCTTGCTTTCTGCCTGTGAAGGCTGAATTTCGTGGACTGCATCAACTGGCTCTGCACAGGCTAATAGTTAGGTTCAGCCAATGGGGAGGCTTGGCAAGAGAAAAAGGAAAAACAAATGAGGTCAGGGCAAATATTGCCCTGGTTTCCTACATAAGGGGTCATCTCAGGCTGACCGTGTCCCTTCACGGAAAGTCACTTCTCTCCGGATTCCTTTTCTATGTAACTATTCTGTATTTCAGTAATTTCTCCCATCTGTCATCCCTCAAGACTACGGGCAATAACAGCCCACCTACTGTTAGCCCTCGGTTCCTCAACCATACGTTGAGGAATTCCGTGTACCCTGCACACACCTTTGTGATTAATTCAGATGAAAATAAACTCTCCTTGAATTATGCTAATGTGTGAGTGTCATCTGTTTCTTGTTGAAATCCTCATTGATATAGCTAGTCAATAATTAATAGTTAATATTTATTGAATGTTTACTATTCTAAAAGATGCATGGGAACTGACACATTAAATCATCTCAATAGGAAATATCAAGAGATACTATTATTATCCCTATTTCACAGCTTAGAAGAGATTAAGCCATATCCCTGGGGTGCACAAAATAAAGTGGTGGGATGTGATTTGCACCAGAGCATTCTTCTGTCTCCAGAGTCTGGGCTCTGCACAAATGCCCATTCAATGAATGAATGCAGACAGAAATACCTGAGAGTTTCAGTTTTACTGTTCTTTCAAAAGTACTGGGTATGATCATTTATATTTTTAGCTGCTTAAATCTATAAAAGTTGCCTCATTTTAATTTGCATTTTGTTCATTAAAGATGAATATTTATTTCCGTATGTTATCCCTATTTATTTGTCCTCAAAAGGGATTGTGTTTGTGGTATTTGACTGTTTATCTGTTGAGATCTTTGAATGCTTTTTATATTTAATGAGCTCTTTATGTAATAAAACTTTCCTAGTTTTATGCATTTTAATTTTTATATTTTTAGAATGACAAAAATTTATATTTTTTATAATTTTATTCATTTAGAGAAAGGTTGTTTTAAATATGCAGTCATTGAAGTATGTTTATTAAACACATGGAAAGAAATAAAAAAATAAAATTCCTTTAGAATCATGCCAGTCAGAGATAACCATTGTCCCTAATTTGAGCTACTTTCATATAAGCTTTGCTTGATATCTGTGAATGATGTTTTGCAGTATAAACTGTTTTGAAACTTTTGAATTTAAAGTATTGTGAATATCTTTGCATTTCTTTACATTTTTGTGTATGTTATCTGATTTTATTTTCATTTATAAAATTTGTAATTAAAAAGTGCATGTTCATTGTAAAATATTCATCTAATAAAGAAATGCCCTGCTGTTGTGACAGCCCACACTATACATGGGAAGATGTTCCTAATGGCTTGTTGTATGGGCACTGGATCTCTTTCTTTGTACGTACAAACATGTTTACATGTATGTATGCTACGGGCATATTATTGGCTTAACCAGCCCTCTATTTTTTATATTTATGCTGTTTCCAGTGTTTCACTATGATAGTAAAGCCCAAGGCTCTTGGTAGCTCATACTTAAGGCCAGTGTCTTTGAGAAAAAAAAATCGAACAAAATGCTCAAATTACAACTTTTTGTGGGCTACTAAAGTAAGAATATATTTTCTTCTAGGAGTGCTCAAAGAGAAAATAGTGAAATAATGAGCCACATCTTTCACAACATGCTAATAATAAAGTAAGAAAATAAAGTAAACTAATAAAGTAAATAAACTAAGAAAACCAATGAGTAAGAAGAGTGAAGTCCTAATAAGAAGTCTCCCATCAAAGAAAGGCTCAGGGCCTGATGGTTTCACTGCTGAATTCTACAAAATATTTTAAGAAGAAGTAATATCAATTCTAATAATAAACTTGGGAATTTGCTTCATAGGAAAATTTTCTTTTATAATTTATATTTCATTATATAAATGATGTTTATAATAGAAAGCTTAAACATTAAATATAAGAAATCTAAAGAAAATAAAATTTCTCCATAATTCTTATTAACCAGAGATAGTCACAAGTCTCATTTTAAAGTAAATTCATTTGTAATTTTCTCTCCTTGTGAAAAGATCATGCCTTACTTATTACTATGGAATATTCAAGGTCAGGAATAAACGGTTGGAGTGATTGGGTGTTGTGCTCAGTGAACTTGTGTTTCTCTGCCTCCTACTGCATGGCAGAGTTTCTCAGAAGGCCCTGACCCCTTCCCATTCACTTATTGCTATCATTGCTTCCTATTGATTATGATCACCAATATCCTTCCATTAAACCACAGAGTGGTTTCCATTACTTGATGCCAAGAATGGCAAATGACCCACTGTGAAGTGTCAGTTTCAATACTGTTTTTCCAAATTACTTTGTAGTTCTCTCAACACCATTTATCGAATAGTCCTTACCTTTGTACTTTCTCACTCCTAGCATTCTGTCAAACAACTGGACTCTTTCTAGACCACATTCTTCCTTTAATCAATCTGAATAATTTTCAATTTTGGCATTTTTTTTAGCAGCACCTTCATTTATTCAACAAATATTTATTGAGCAGCTACTATGTGTCAGTCATGATAGTGATTAAAACTGATAAGGATATAAAGACAGAGAGTGTGGTGGGATATGCTATTTTATTTAGAGTGGTCAGAGATTTCTCTGATAAAGTGAGAGTTGAGCCAAAAACTGAATAAAAGGAGGGAAGGAGCTATGTGACTATTTCAGGGAAGATCACTTCAATCGGAAGAAAAGACAAATACAAAAAACATGAGGTTTCAACAGGTCTGGTGCATCTATGAAAGGGTTTTAAGCAAGAGAATGAAAATCACTGACTTTTCTGCTATTATTTTGAAAATAGACTGTGGGGGGCATGGCGCAGTGGAAACTGGGATGGTAATTAGGAGGTCTTTGCAATAATCAGGTGAGAGCTTTATAATATGTGTCAAACATGGAGGGTACTAACTCTTGGATGGGGATGAGTATTAGTTGTGAACCTCTAAAGGACTAGCATCACAGCTTATTAGTCATTATTTTCTTGGAATCCTCAAGTATGGACTTGGTACTATGTTCAGTAAGTGCTCCTTGGATGAAGTCCATTATTGGAATTTGGAGAATAATATGGCCAAGATTCCATCCTGCTCGACTTTCAGGCCACAGGTCTCAACTCTCTGCTAGTATCTCTCTAAATTTGGACTCTTCCCCTGGGAGAAAATGCCCCACAGAGTTGTCTTATTTTCTGTTCTCCCGGGCTTTTCTTATACATTTCTTCTGGTATGCCTTTTCTATGGACAACATTCTACCCTTTTAAAACATGGAGAATACAGTTCTGGGTACCATCTACTTGTTATTCAGCAGATATTTACTGAGCACTTCATATGTACTGGGCATTCTTTCAGGCTCTTGTAATGTATCAGCAAGTAAAATAGACAAAGATGTCTCCTCTAATAGAGATTACATTCTAGTAGGCGAAAGGAGAAGGTAAACAATAAAACATAAAAAATAAGTAAATGTTATGGTATGCTAGAAGTCAAGAAGTAAATTTTCACCCCCAATTTTTGTTTAATCCTTATAACCAGTCTTGTGTGTTTCTTCTCACTGTTTCTTTTCAACTTATTTTGCTAAGGTTATGTCTGATACTAACTTTTTAGCACAATGGGGATTTTTACTAATTTGGGGAATTATAATAGTATTTTTTATAGTATTTCAGATATTTATATAGTATTTTATAGTTTACAAATTGCATTCATTCTTTAAAAAGATACTCGTTTGACTTCATATTATTGCTGTGGGTTAGATATAATTTTCCCATTCTAAAAATAGAGATACTGAGAGAAATTTATAAGATTTTATACAGAAATGTAAATGACAGATGCAGAAATATAGTTTGACTTCCTGAGGAAAAAAATATTCTTGAAAATTATATCTTATGGTGATTTTTAATATAATTTTTTTAGCTTTGGGTCATCATCCCATAGATGCAATCAGCATACACATGATGTCAGCAAATTGTGTCGTTAAGTACATATTAACATGAATTAAAATCAAGGAAAGCAATGCTCACAAGGAGTGTACGATTTGTCACCAACTATAAATATAGGATCAGAAATCTCAGAGTTCACAAGGTCCAATCTGTGAACTGAGAATTGCTATTTTGTAGTACATGTGCATATAATTTTTCATAATAAGACTTCCTATTTATTTATTGATTCTATGGGTGTTTTTTTAAGACACAGGTCTCAAGATGTTGCTCAGGCTGGCCTCAAACTCCTGGGCTCAAGCCATCCTCCCACTTCAGCCTCCCGAGTAGCTGGGATCACACATGTTTGTGCTACCATACCTGGCTGGGGTCATTTTAATCTCATAATAATGAGAAAAAAATGTGAAAAAAAAAGCAAGAGGGAGTAATATCGCACAGATGGAGGATGGGAAGAAAATAGACTCCATTCTCATGATTTTTCAAACAATTGCTGGAGTAGATCTTGAGAGTGCCCTCCTTACTGCAGGTCACCTGCACAGCTGCAACTTAGACACCCCTAGAAAGTCAGATGGGTTCATCCTAGGGTAGAAGTCATCACTCCAAGCTCTTGAATCAATCACTGTTAGGAAATTCAATGTTAATCTAAAGGCTACCTTCCCTTTGCAACATTCTTCCTATTTTAAATCTGGTTCTTGGTAAGTCATTTTTGTCTCTAATACAAAACCGTGTGTCCTAAGCATGCTCAATGTGATGGTGTAAGTGGGCTTTTACTTATAAATTAATATGATGGGGGGTGATTTTTCACTGGTTTGAACAGCAAAGACTAAATCCATAACCTCTCATTTCCATTTTTCACAGAAAGATTCTATAATGCTTTTGGGAGAAAATGCTAAATTATTGTAGTCTTATCACACAGTGGGTGACACAGGGCCCTTCCAGTAGGGCATCAAGAACTGACAGTCACAGTGAGACCAATCCAAGAGAAAACAAAGACGGGGCTCCTTCTGACACCTCTATGGTCTCCTGCGCATTCCATGGCAGTTTTAATGCCAGTAACTCTCTTTCTTCACATTGCGATACTGTCCTAATGGGTCATTTATTGGAGTAATTACCCCATCTCCTTCTACTGTGATACTATAGGGAAATACTTAGCTTTCCAACAGTTACATTTTCTATGCTTTATCATATCATAATATAAGTTAATACTCCTTTTGGTTACTGATTTTATTTAAAAAGCAACATTACTACTTTACAAAGCATTATAGAGAATTGTTTTTTTAAAAAAAATCTAAACATTCTGTACCAATGCCATTACAAACAGTGTAAAATAGCCGAAATTCTCTGATTCATATATGACTGTTAGCTCTGCTGATTATCCAAAAAAAATGTACATATCTGATGTTTTCTATTGAATTGTGTTACATGGTTTCACACGACAGCAGAGAGAGACAACTTGGAAATTACCGAAAGTATAAAACTTTAGAACAACAGCTTAAAATGTTTAATGTACTATAAACAGCTTCTACTGTTTAAATGTCTATGAGCAGTGCAATGACAAAGAACAGCAAGGAATAGAAAACTGTGTAGTTTATAATTAGAGCTATTAGGGGTGCTAAAGTGAATATAGAAAGCAGCTACTAAAAGCGAGCTGCTCACCAAACCTTATACAAAGCCTATACTGGAGGATGCGTCTACACTAGCCCTTTCAAAGGAAACACATTAAAGCACATTTATATCTGCTTGGTGTCAGCATGTAGGCAACAAAAGTGCATCACACTCAAAGAATGCTTTCTATTATGTGCAATAACGTCTGTATTATACATCACAATGATGGGCATTATTGTGGTGTCACTGCCACAGCTTTCAACATTAGCACGAGGGGGAAAATGGACTCTTTCTGTATACCTTAAGCTAAAGAATGCTCCATGAAAAAATAATGTTCATTGGTGAATTCATGTCACTCCCAAATAAATTTTGTTTGTCAATAATGCATAAACATGCCTAATGTATGTCCAAGATTTATCCCTTTTACTTTTATATTTAAAAGATGTTGAACAACTTCATTTATTCCAAGTGCGTTTTTTTCATGTTTATAGTGAGTGACTTGGTGTTGTTAATTATACCGTGCCTTGGAATCTAAGGAGATCCATGTGTGAAAAGGGAGAGAGATGCTTTGCCAGAAACCTGTCACACTCTTCATAGTGTCCATAATTCATAGTGTCCATAATCAAGCAAAACAAAACAAAACAAACAAACAGAAACCACTGCTCTACAAGGATTGGTGCAGTCTTTGTTCATACCACAGTTATCTCAACTGCTTTGAAATTACTTCTTCATTCTACTGTATTATAGCATAGAGTGTCTGCAAATGGCAGTGGCAAAATTTATCAATATGGACAAGTCCAAGGGAAGTATGGTGACAATTCATTTTGATATTACAGATCCTTAATGGAATACAGCTGAGTTTCCTAAGTAAGGCCTTTGTATTTGAAAGGGACGGGCTTGAGAGTCTATGAATCTTGGCTTAAATCTTATTTCATTACTAAGAAGCTGGATATCTTTGAATGTTGACTCAATATCTCTGAATCTTGATTCCTCTTTTGCATCCTACTGCAGATCATGCTACTAAACTCAAGGTTTTTATTGTATTAAGTAGTAGAATGTACATACACATATACACACATTAGTATTTGGGTCAATAGATTATAGTTCATCTCCTCAGCCATGTGTTCTAAGGGATAATGTTAGTTATTGTCTTTATATTAACCTAAGTCACAAAATCGGAAATTTTCCTCTCTCTTCTCAGGAAAAGAAATAAAATTCCATTAACAGAGCTTGAGGAAGTGGACTTGACTAAGCTGGAGTAAGGAGTGCAGAGAGTGAGGAGACAGGATGCGAAACAAGAGTATGTATTTTGTTATTGGGTTTACTTTTCTGCTTTGATTTTTCTTCCACTGGTTGGGTTCTTCCACTGCGTGAAAGAACCTGTAGTCCTGTTATTGTAGTTTATTGTAAAGTTATCCACAGACTCTCTAACTACTCTGGAACTGATGGCTAAGAGCAGAACTTGGATCTTATAATCCTGTAGGCTTCAGAAGAAGCTTAATGCCACCTTGACCAAGTCCCCTTCGACTACCAGGCCTTTCTCTTGTTAACACTACTCTCCCCCAGCCTCTACTGTCCTAGCATCTACCTCCTCTCTTGTAGGTAAATTTCCTTAGGTGTTGTAAATAACCAGTTCCCTTGGGTATTTACCTACAAGACAGGAGGTAGAAGCTAGGACAGTGGAGGCTGGGGAAGATTAATATTACAAATTCTTATCCAAGCTGGGACAATTTTGAAAGTGAAAAAGTGCTATTAATAATTACATTAATACTAGACACATAAACCAGAACTATCCCTAGCAAACAGACATGTGGACAGTCTACATCGGGCACTGATACATTAACTAAATCATTGCTTCAGCACTATTTGTGAGCCACTAGAGGAATAAAAATGGGTATAAGACAAGATTCTAATCTTTGGAACAAATTAACAAATATGAAAGAAATAAAACTTGTAAACTGAAATATGATATACAGTCTAATGTGTAGACATGCATAGTTTGGAAGCAGAGAATCTAGTTCTATAAGAGAAGGCAATAAGAGAGAAGCAGTTCTTGAGTCAGATCTTGAATTGAGATGAATTGACAGAGAGATGGTTTATAGATGAGAAAACTTCAACAAAGGCGAAGAGAAATTGACTTAGTCTTTGCTTGGCTTCCTTCGTGACAATTCTAAATCTTTATCCCTTTTCTCAAGGGTATTGTTACTGCTCCCAATCACTGCTCCCATCCCAACATAAGCATTTGTTTGTACTTTAGAAAGAGAAAAGTGGGCTCTAAGGAGGCAAGTGCCTTTCTTTTCCTCTCCTTGCTTACATAGATATAATCTGTACCCAGTCTTATTTCCTCTTCATTTCCATAGAAAAGTGTGTCCCTCTAATTGATATAACTCCTCTCTGGGCTTTTAAATCCATTTTCTTCTCATATCTCTCCAGATCTATCATATCATTTATTTCACTTCTCCCCTCTGTATTTATCTTCTCTCTCTTTACTGGATCCTCCTGGGTCCTTCTCTGCTGTGTACAAACATTCTCAAATATCTCCCCTCTTACATACATATATATATAACATCCCTCCACTGCCATGCATTTTCTTTAATTAATGTCCTATTTATCTTCATGATTATGCCCCTTAAACAATATTCTGTAGATCTTCATATTTCCTTCCACAAATTACCTCCATGCAACCTGGCCCCATTGCCTACCACACCATAAAAACTGCTCTAGAAAATATCTCTAGTATCACTCTAATGTACACCTAATGGCTAAATCCAAGCCACTCTTCATTTGTTCTTAATTTCTGTGCAGTACTCAACACCACCAACCAACCCCTCTTCTCTTGACATCCATCTCAATTATTTCTCCATGACTCTCAGTCTCTCTTGCTTACTTCTTTTCCATCTTCATTACACACTCCTATGCCTGCTCAAGTCTTAATGCTCTCTAGAGTTTTGTCTTTACTCTCTATCTTGTATTATACATTTTCTCAGAACAATTTTATTTTATCCCTAAGCTTCATCTACCACCTATACTCTGGTAAGTCAAAGACAAGCATCACATCTGGTAAGTCCCAAACAACACCAACAACATCTACAAAACATGCTAGATCTTTACTGAGTGCAAAACCTTTATCTCCAGTTGTCTGTCACTCTCTCCACCTGGATGTCCAGGGGCAATTCAGAGGCAGGATGCTGATTCCTCCTGAGCCCCTCTCCCAGTGAATGGCATAAACTTCCAGTGAGGCAGGTTAGCTAGATGTAGGTAATCATTTTTTAACATTTTTTTCTTTATTTTCCCAAGTGATTTAATACATCCAATAGCTTCTATACCTCAGGCATCTCAAGTGTCTGCCAGCCCCTACCCCGGCACCCTCAGGTCCATAGCAAAGGTTACTCTGTTTAATATCCCATAATTTATAGTCTGGAGTCATTAAATAAATGCTCTTCCAGACCTGTTACTCTTGGATCCATTTCTCACATATCTTCAGAGATCTCCTTAGAATTTCCCTGCTTACAGATCCAGTTGACAGAAAAGGGTCCTCAATTTCTGCTGTATGTGTTTCCTGAGACAGTGCGACAAATTAGCACAAACTTGGTGGCTTAAAAGAACAGTAATGTATTCCCTCAGTATTCTGGAGGTCAGCAGGCTAAAGCCAAGGTGACATCAGGACCAAGGTCCCTGCAGTCTTTAGAGGAAGACCTGTTTGGCCTCCTCCAGTGGTTGGTGGCTGCAGATGTTCGTTGCATCACTCCAGTCTCTGTTTCCGTGCCCACATAGCCTTCTCCTCTTCTGCCTGTCAAATCTCTTATGTCTGTCTTTTATAAGGACCCTTGTTATTGGATTTAGGGCCCACCTGGATAATCCAGGATGATCTCTTCATATAAATATCCTTGATTTAATTACATCTGCAATGATCCTTTTCTCAAATAATCACGTGTCCTTGGAGTTAGGACATGGTCAAACCACTTTGGGGGCTGCGATTCACCCTCTATACCTGCTTAAGAGAAGAAATTTAAACCTACTTTATATAGCGTTGAAAGCCCTTCATCTAAATCTGGACTTTACTGTTCCACAAAATCCCTTGGATATTATGCTCAGCCATGCCAAACTGCTTGTCGTTTCCTAGATGTCACTTCCTATTTACTCCTAGGAGACTTTGCTTACTGATTTATCTGCCCCACACTCTCTTCACTATTTTCTGCCTGCTAAATGCAATGCATCCTTTAGGGTTCATTCAAGGATTATTTCCTTAATGAAATGTGTGCTGAGCCCATCGTAACCCCCGTTATCACTGGACTTTCCCTGCATTGTGACATTATTGTAATAATATGTCCTCATAGTACATTAACATTTTGAGCTCACATGTAATTATGTTTGCATCCTCTCACTTTCTATCTCCTCCCCTTACTAACCTACCTTTTTTTCTTTTTTAATTTTACATCTCATGGAGTTCATATCTCCAGAGTCTAGTATGACACCTGTCATAAAGTGGCTTTTAATAAAAGATTGATGAATAACATTGGCGACCAAGTACCTAATATATGGTAGTCATCATACAGGGAATTTATGTGAGATATTTGTTGTAATCCTCAAAATAAGACTGAAAGACAAGTATTCCCGGCCCTACTTTAAAAAGGAAAAACTAAGATTTAGAGGAGTAAATAGCTTGTCCAAGGCCACAGAGAAAATAATTGCCAAACTTATTCTTTCAGCTGAGATCTATCCAACTTTAACTGACGCTATTTTCAGTTAAAAACATTGATTACCTAAAAATTACTATTAGAAATGTGTGTGAGTTATTGAAGTTGGTCAGCTACTGATACTGTAGAAACCTGAATTGCAGACAGAAATTTTTTTTATTCAAAAATATTTTGTGGGTTACTTACAATGTGCTAGGTATTATTCTAACACCAGGGACATAACTGTGAACAAATAAGTCTGAGTCCCTGATCTTGAAGAGTTTACATTTTAGTGGGGAGATGAGAGCAAATATATAAATCTTAGGTAGTGATAAGTACTGAAGAGAAGAAAATGAACCACATTAAGGAAACATAAAGTGATGCAGTGGTCCTTTGTTAGAGATCATCAGCAAAAGCCTCTCTGATCAGTTGCCATTTGAGCCAAGATCTGAATAAAACAGTGGAAAAGAACATCCATGGGGCAAGCTGAGGAAAGACTATTCTGGGCCAGGAACAGCATGTGCAAAGGTCCTGCATTGGGGGGGTTCTGGACAAATTCAAGGAAATCAATGAAGCGAGAGTGAATAGAGTGGAATGGTCAGTGCAAAGGGTGGATGGAGATCCATCTCAAAGGGAGTGAGTGAGTCTTGTCAGCTACAGTAAAAACAGTGGCTTTTATTCTAAGGGAGATAGGAAGCTGATGAAGATTTATTATTATTATTTAAATTTATAAACAACAGAAATTTATTTCTCACAGTTCTGGAGGCTGGGAAGTCCAAGATCACGTCATTGGCACATTTGGTGTCTGGTAAGGGCCTGCTTCCTGGTTCATAGATGGTGCCTTCTAGTGCAGCCTCACATGGTGGAAGAAGCTAGATAGCTCTCTATGATCTCTTTATTAGGACACTAATTCTATGCATGAGGGCAGAGGCCTCATGACCTAATCACCTCCTGTATTAGGCAGGGTTCTCCAGAGAGACAGAACCAATAGAATCGAGATTTTTGAACAGAGGTGTGATTATGATCTGACTTAAGTTTTAAAAGATCATTTAGACTGCTGTGTTTTAGGGTGTGAGAGGATGTAGGAGGCATTCAGATAGTTGGGACCAATGGTGATGGCAGCTTACAGCAGTGGGAGGTAGAGGAAGTGGGAGTAGTTAATGAGATTCTGGATATACACCAAAGCTAGAGCCAAGAGAATATCCTGTGGACTTGGGATATTGAAGAATCACCCTAAAGTTTGGGAGTGTTTAATCTATACATGTAATCTAAAGCCATGAGAATGAGTGAGGCTGTCTGTTGTCAACACCCAGTCCTGTGAAACTTCTTGATGTCTTACAGCACTATCCAATAGAAATACAATAAGAGCCAATGTGAACCACAAATATATTCATGAATTTTCTAGTGGCTACATTAAATATAGTCAACAGAAAAAGAAGAAATTTATTTTGAAATATATTTTGCTTATCTTAGCACACCCAAAATACTATCATTTCCATTTGCAATCAATATACAACTTTGTAATGAGGTATTTAACTCTATATCTCCAATATATTATCATTTCAACATGTAATCAAAGTAAATTACAGCCAATCTTTCTTGCTTATAGATTTCATATTTGTGAATTCACCTACTAGCTAACATTTGTTTGTAACCCCCAAATCAATACTTACAGTGTTTTGTAGTCATTCTCAGACATGCACAGAACAGCAAAAATTTAAGCCACTTGATGTGCGTATTCCCAGCTGACATCAAACAAAAAGGTGTTCTGCCTTCCTGTTTCAGTTCTCCTATGGTAAACAAATATCCTTTTCATGGTCTGTTTAGTGTCATATTTTTTGCATTTTTGGTGCTTTTTCTTGATAATTTTATGGTTTTAAATGTCCCCCAAGCGTAGTGCTTGAAATTCTGACTATGGTTCCTAAAAGTAAGATGCTATGATGTATCTTCCAAAGAAAATGTGTGTAAGATAAGCTTCATTTAAGCCTGAGTTACAGTAGAGTGGGCTGTGAGTTCAATATTAAGGAATCAATAATTTGCATTTAAACAGAAACCTACATGACAAAGTTATTTATTGATCCATTGATGACCAGAGGCTTGCAGGAACATAGCCCTTTATTTCCCTTGAGAACAATAGTTCAGTATTTGCTAATTCAGTGTTTCCGATACTTTATAGAACTTTTATACTCTGAGTAATGAAAATCAACTGCATATTATTAAGATAGCTTACATTATTTTTCATACTAAGTGTTAAAAATCTGGTGTATAGTTTACACTTACAACACATATTAATTCAAACTAGCCATGTTTCAAGTGCTCAATTGTCACAAGACTAGTGAGTTTCAGAACTCAGGTAGAGGAGAAAAAAAAATGGCAAAGAAGATTCAAATGGCATAGCCAGAGAGTAAGAAAAATAAAGCCAGAAAAGTCAGATGGTGTAGAAGAAGGCATGAAATGAGAAGTTGCACAAAGAGAAAATTTCATTCATGTGAAAAGGTACAAAGACATCAAGTAAGGTGTGTGCTTTATTACTGGCTGCATGGACTTCATTGTTTATCTTAGCAAATGATGTGTGGTTCAAAACTGGTGCCTGGGACCGTGTGGAGTCATGATTGGGAGTGAGATAGGGAGAAAGTGAGTAGAAAACCTTTTTGAGAAGCTTGGCTGTTAAAAAAATGTTTAGGTGCTGGTTGTATACTTGAAAGGATAATGCCTACACCTCAAAGTGTAGGCAGTTATTGTTGTATTTGAGAAACCAACTAAGGTGAACCTGCTAGAGCTTTTTTTTTTTTTCTTACAACAAAAAAGTACCAAATGCCCATTTTCTTCCCCTGGGGATGAATGCAGTCATAATGCAAAGCAACCCAAACTTGATAGTTGTGCAACTTGCAACATGGAAAATGAAATTCAGATAAAGTCAGCTGTGCTGTGGCAGGGCTTCATTGGTAAGAAAAGAACTCCCTTTTCTCCTCACTGGGATTACAAAGTAACTCCTCTATGTAATAGAATTGAACTGATTCGCAACTTGCCAACTTAGAATTCTGTGCAGAGTGATGGGGAGCAAGCAGTTTCTTGAAAATGCTGCCTTTTGGTATTGCTGATTTTTCAGTTTGTGTCATGTTTCATGTTAATGCTTATTATGCTCACTTTATGGCATTGTGGACCCAAGCAGGAAAAATATAAGAGTGCACATGGAACATCTTATAAACTCCATGTTGGTCAATGTTGGTGTCTCTTGGTGACTGATGCTTAGCTTTGATAGCATGAGGCCTGCCAAAGCTACTGGCTGCTGGAGGATCCCTGGAGCCTAGGAGGGCCCAGGTACACAATTTCCTTACCTTATAAACTACTCTGTAAAGTTCTTTCCCCAATTTGTTTCCAAATGGGAAAACAAAGTGTTGTAGTTATCATACGATCAACTCAAATAGCTACTTTCTCCATTTTGAGTGTGGATAGAAAGGCATTCCAGGAAAGGACCTACTTTCTGCTTGATAAATAAGACTGCTACACGTTCATTATCTGAAGAAAGAATATAAACAGAAGTTTTCATTATGTCTCAGAAGTGGTCACTGCAAAATAAGCCATGAGAAATAGTATAATTTCCTTAATAGATAATAGTACCCCAAGCGTTCTCCTAAAATATCTACGTTGGTGTGTTTATTTGTTTAGCAATAACAACACTCTTCTTTTATGGTGGTTAGGAGAATCCTTCTGTGAGAGGTCTCACCCCTGTCCCCAGTCTTTTTTGGGAGAAGTTTTAAGAAATCTACTCTGAGGCAGAAGACAAGGCTCCTGTGCCTGTGTGAACAGGTGTTTGTCGCCTAACAAAATGGAAATGATTTTGAACCTGTGAGAAGGAGGAAAGGGGGAGAGAGAATGACTTTTCTGGGTACAATGTAATACCCTCCTGGAGGAACCCCAAATCACTAGTGAAAAATATGAAATTGTTAATTGTTATTAAATGCTATGTATGAACTTGAAAATGACCTATCTAGCTTGGAATACTGGTTCACAGGGGGCCTATGTGGAGTCAACCTACAGTGGACAGGGTAACGGCTGACACCAGGTTCACCCAAATACATTCATTCACTTATACTGCACACCTCTTTTTATGAAAAAATTGGAGATACCTTATATTAAGGGTCACAAGTAAAATAAAGTGTAAAATAAACAAGGAAGTTCAGCTATAAAAGGAGAAAATTCAGTGATTTTATTATGCTCACAATGAGAAGTTTTTAAAATTTCATTCATGCTTCAAGAAAGACAAATGTATTCCTAGTTCGAAGAACAGTACTAGAGGATGCATATCTTTGTCTCTTACCTACTTCCAGGTCTTCTCAATGTTTTGGTTTTGTTTTTCCTTATTTTATTGCATTTAATATACTCAGTAATTGTCTTGGAGTCTTCTATTCCAAAGAAAACACAATGAGAAGATTGCATAATACAGTAGAAAGAACCAGATTCTAGGTGTCATTTTAGGTCCAAATTTAGCACTTAATGAATGCATGGTCTTGCCAGAGCATTTAGCCCCTCCAAGCTTAAGTTATACTGATTTTCAGTTAGGAACAATACAAGTGCCTGGTTTACTTCCTTATTCCATAAATGTTCAATACGTAACTGTTAAGAAATAAACATAAGTTAAAAGGTTCCCCTTTCTATCGACTTCACTTTGTATGGTTAAAGACACTATCAGGATGAGTTTGAGTACATAAGGGGCTAAAGTGAGATTCATAAATGTCTTAAAGAAAAACCGAATTTGATGAATATCCTGGAAATTCCATTGTGGAATTAAGAATCCCATAGACTCTACATTAAACCAGTCTGAGGAGAAGAAGGAGATAAAGAGAAAGAGAATAAACTTTAGACATTAATACCTTAGGAGAAAAAAAGTGGGAGAGATGAAGAGAAGTTAAATGGTAGTTGTGGTGGGAAAATAAGAATTCCTGTATATAGAGGAATATTTGAGTTTGCTGCCCATTTGTTCATTCTTTCAAACAACACATATTCATTGGGCTTCTGTGTTACAGATTAGTCTTGGATGTGTCATATCCATACAGGTAATGATTGAGGTCAGAAAATGTTGTTATGACAATTCATATACATCACTTAGATGTCTCTAAATGTACACACAGCATATAGCATGGTGTCGTATTCAAATAAACATAAAGGGATCAGTTCATTCCCCTTGGAGAATCACTGACACAAGTATTGACCTCTCCTCACCCCAAATTCTTCTGTGATTATTTCCTTTTGTCATATTCGTGACATTGAAATTAGACCATAACAAGAATTTTTAGCCTTATATAAACTAGTGCATTACCTTAATCTTTTTTTATGCCCGAGTTCTCTCTTTATTCTGAGTTTATCCAAAATGGTAGTTTATAGTGCCAGCACTAGTTTTTCAGCAAACTTACTTTTTCAACTATAGAAAAACTATCTGTGACTTCTGATGGACACGATTCCCTAAGCTTGAAATATTTGCCAATGACACCTTTCTGCATATGCAGTGTGCCTACACAAAGCAGATGGAATCAAATGCAATTCTGCTTTACTTCTTTTGTGACAGACAAAAAAGTAGGATAGGACACCAAGAAGTTCCACAAAACTGGCTATATCATTTTAGAATAAAAATCTGAAGCAATTATTGAAGCATTCAGTAGAGCAAGCCCATTTTAGTGCATGCCAGAGCAAAGCCTACCAGTATTTTGAGGCTGAAAGAAAATAAATAAATTGAAAATCCATAATGGGTTATTCATAGCAGATGGGATGAGGAAGTCAAAGGATGAGAGCATTAGCAACATTTGAAGGCTAATGCGACGTAGCTGGAAGTTGATTGCATCATACCATATACCTATTCAAATATATGTAGTTTATACAATTTCATCCAGATTCTTAGTATATATTTGAATTTGTGACAGTGTATTTTCCCTTTTCATAAGTTCTTAAACTCTTTCAGATCATTGAAGTATAATTTTGTGCACAGAAGACAAATTTATTAAACTGCTAAATGTTTTCAACATCACCTGCATACTTAAAAACAGTTTACATTCTTTCTCAGTGTTTAATGGATCTAAAATAGCTCTATACCGAATGCCATATACGTTTATTTTATTTGGTTGCATTAATTTTTGATAAAAACTAGGCTTTCAATTTCAGGTGCAGCCATACGTGAATTAAATGAGTATTATGTATGTCACACCACTTTGAAATTTAATGTTCATGCTTTAGTCACAAGTTTACTATCTCCCTTTGACTCAGAATCAGGTCTTTGTGTGTTCCACATGAGCAGCTAACAGTGCATTGATGCATTTCAGCAGCAACAAGAAAAACAACAGAATCAAGAAAAAAAAATACACCAGTTGATTTTTACCCACGGTAGTTATAAGATCTTTCTTACTTTGTGCAATTTCTGTGCAAAGTTTATCATCTTTCAACAATAGCTAAAATATTAATCTTAACACATTAATGATGTTTGGGCCATATTCTAAGAAAGTTAATAAAGTGTTATGAAACTGGTTCAGCATTTCTTTAGAAGCCTACAGTTTCCTCTTTAATGCTTCTTCATTTTGGAGGGGCTTCCTGTCTCATCATTGAATTTCCACCTTTTTTGCCTTTGCTGGAATTAGTCAGTACCAGTCAGACCTCTAATGATATTTTAATGTTGGGGGGAGTGTTGGCTTAATTCAAATATATTTTCATTTTAAAGTTATAATGACTAAGTACACCTGCTCACTTAAAAATTAGCACCTAGTTAGGCAGTTTTCAATAGCCTAATCATCTTTTGATTGTCTCTACTTGTATCATAGGCAGTTCACCTGCTCTTCATCTAAACTTAAATGTTTCCTGTTTACACATCTGAAAACACTGAAAGATGATAATATTTAGAAAACAAAGAAAACTGAAACCTACATTTAAATACATTATTTATATAATTATCCTGTAATTAAAGTAATTATAGTTTGTAAAAAAACCCATTTCTTTAGAATTTTCATTTAGAGATTTCTCATGGGATAATCTGTGAACATGTAGAAAGCACACACACACACGCACACACAAGTTATCAATGTTATCTGCACAATAAACAAATGTCACCTCCAGATTTAGGAATTTGAAATCTGTTTTATCTTTTCTGAAACAAATATACCCAGAAAGCCATACAGTGAGATAATCCTATAGAAGGGATTACCTAGATTGAACTTTGGGAAATCTTTAATCCTCTATAGTTTCAACAGCAACAATAAGAAAAATTCATAGTTATACCTTGCTGAGCTATACGCTGGTGCTACGGATAGGTGGTCATGTCATATAAATAGTGAGTCTCCAGCATTTCCTATAAGACTAAGACAGTGTCAGATAAGGCCATGAGACATGACTGTGCTTGAGGGTGTGCAGAGGCAATGCAGAATTTTCAAAGAGGTCCTGACAAGCACTCACAGTTGGATTTTCATTATCTTCAATGAGAAGGCATATCAGTCAGCTTTTTGCTATATAGTGCTATCCACATTACTGCTTTTTATATGATTTCAAAGTGGACAGCACAGTTTGTGTCCAGTTTTTCATTCTAAATATCCTATTCAATAGTTATTCTTCTTTTCTATACCTTTAAACAGATTTTTTTTAACCACAGTGAGATCACATCACACTTTGGGAGCATTAGCTTGAAAGTGAGTTAATAGATCTGGCTTGTAGACCATCTTCAGAGGCTCTTTTAAAGAAATACTTGGAATTGAACCACAAAAGTTTTATTTTCTCTATGTTTTTGATCAAGTTTTGTGGGAAGAAGTGAAAAGTACTCAGAATATCTTCATGCAGTTTTCACAGAGAGATTCTATATTCTTGTCTGCACCTCCATAACGCTCTTTAAATACCTGACTTCAGCTCTGCATGTAAGGACTCAGGTTGTCACATTTGTTGGTTTTAAGACTAGGCCATCGGCATAGAAATTAAAGGAAATATAGATGATGAAGGAAGCGCCACATAAATAATGATGAAGAAGGCTCTTTGAATCTTTCAGGAAGCACTAGTGAAAGATCCCAGTGACCCCCAGCTCCTAGAAAAGAATGTCCATGGGTCGTCCAGAACCTGAAGCCACACCTGCTGCTGTCATCCGTTCTTTGATGTATCAACTTCAACAGCTTAGAAATACCAAGAACAGGAGAAAAGGAGAGGGGATGTAATTAGCAATGCTGTATCCCCAAACTTCAACATTTTCTCAGGTCATGACCCTAAGACCTGAAATCTCTCCCCAGGGATGAACATTCTTTGGCAGAGTGTCAAACAAGTGATTAATAAAAAAGCTGGAGCTTGAAGCATCATGGTCTTTCCCGCTCACACCAGTCTCTGTCTTGGACCTCTGGAATCCTGCACCCTGGAAGTTATCCCCTACATAGACCCTTCAAACCACTCAGACTTCTTTGACTTCTTTTCAGGTTAAAGTGCTGAACTCACATTATCCGACAGTGGCCTTCAATAAAATTAGAAATACAAAGAGTTCCACTGATTGGATGGTGTTCATGACAATAAAGTCTTAGAACTAACAAATGTGGAGTTATATTTAGTCAATCCAGTGCTGACCCAAGACTAATACTGAAAGGAGAAAAGGCCATAAATTTGGGCAAATATGTGGCAGCTTCTGTAACTTTGTAGAGGGGAAGACATGTACTTCCATCTTAGAGTAGCAATGGTTCCATTTTGGTGAGCCTTGTAAGACTGGAGAGATCCTAGAAGGAATAAGTTCAGGGAGAAGGCTGAATTAAAAAGAAAGGCAACACTGCTTGTCAAATTTAATGTGTGAATCAGTTCCAGATCTTGTGGATACGCTCTGCAGTGGACCAGAAGGGAAGAGTAAATATTGGGCATTCATCTGGGCTTAGCTTCCTCTTGATACTTCTCTCACCCAAGAGTATTCTTTTCACTTAACCTTCCCTAAGGTCTTCTTTGCATGAAATGTGTTTATCTCAGTCTCTGATAGTTGTGGGCTGTTGGTTTCTCTGAAGATTGGGAACAAGCAACTATCAAAAAGGCTTTTTTTTATTTTCAAATTGCCGTTTTTTGGGCACTTAATATATATCACACACTATGTTGAGTGCTTTTTTAAACTTTACCTCCCTTATTCATTACAATGAGATTATCATCTGATAGTTGTGGGCTGTTGGTTTCTCTGAAGATTGGGAGCAAGCAACCATCAAAAAGGCTTTTTTTATTTTCAAATTGCCATTTTTGGGGCACTTAATATGTATCACACAGTATGTTGAGTGCTTTTTTAAACTTTACCTCCCTTATTCATTACAGTGAGATTATCGTTAGGGATTATTCCCATTTAACAGGTGAAAAAACTGAGTCTCAGCGAAGTTAGCTAAATTGCTGAAAGTCACACAACTAGAAAATACAAAAAAACAAGGTTCAACCCCAATTCCACCTAACTCTATAGCCTGGTAAGGCTATAGTTCATCCACATGTCTCATCTCCTGTCTTCTATGGTAAACTCAGTTTTGCCTTCTAGTTGTTCCAGCAGGGCACACAGGTACCCACTGATTCTACTCTAAAGAGTTTTCTCCAGATGTATGATGGGATCAATGTTCAGCAAGAAGCAAAAATAAAATACTGGCAAATGACAGAGCAATTTATTCCCTTAAAAATTTCAGATTTAGCTTTTAACAAGGGCCAGAGGAGAAAAGGGAGATTTTTTTTTTTTTTCTTCCCTAGGCTATCAGAAACTCCATCTTCCCTGGCCACAATGAGTCTGGAACACTCTCTCTTTCCATGCTTTATTCAATTGAAAAGACTCGATTTTATATTAGACTGAGCCTGGCAGCCCCACATGACAAAAAGAAAAAAAAAAAAAAAGAACACCTAAATAAATGTCTAAATTTAAAAGTCTGCTTACTCATCCCTGATTGCTTCTGCCTAACAGAAGACACTGCTGGTAAATTCCTCTTGCTACCTGAAAGTGATATCTTCATCTCAAGTCACACATATGTGTGCATATTAATTTACCCATTTTTAGCATTTTGGGATTGCATCTAGCACACAGAGTCTTGAATCTTTCCTCCTTAGGGGTTTGGATGTGATGACAATCCTAGGTGTGAGCCCATTCATCACAGAGCACACAGCAGTATCATATCCATGCAGTGTGTAGGTATTTTTTAATTAGCTTTTCTAGCTCAGAAAGAACTAATTAGAGGTGTGCACTAGAACAATGTTGATCTTGAAGACAATAAATATTTCACCATTTTCTTGCAGGGCATCTTTGGGTAGAAAATTTGCACTTGGTTTTCTTTCTTGATTTTAGACAGCCCAGAATCCCAATTCTACTTCTCCATTCACATGTCCACCAAATGCATGTATATACCCAGGCTCTTCTTTGTCTATTTGTTCTTTGTCTATGACAGCTAAATGCTTCTTATTTCTCCATATTTGGCTGAGCCACTTAAAAGTCTGTCCCACAGTCTATTTAATCAATCTGACAACAATTCGTCACCAAGTATTCATCAAACACATACTAAACTGTCAATAGCACTAGGCTCAGCTGTGGGGAAAATAAATAGAACCAAAATAAAAGTAAAACACAAAGCTTCTGTCCAAGTTATTGTCAGTAATTTGTGTGCTTGTGTGTTCCAATTACAAAAAATTATGTATGTAATTGGCAATATTTCTCTGCTTTTTATCTAACAAATGGCAATTTTACGTGGTTCAAATTAATATGTCCACATATATAATAATTGTAAGTTTTTTTCAATTTACATAATATGAGGATACAATAAAATGAAGCATTAATTTTAGGTACAAAAAATAAGTTTAAAATAGGAACTAAAGATTACTTTTGAAATTAGAAATCATATATTTTAAATAAGTCAACTTCTATGGTGGGCAAATATTTTGAGTGTCAAGTTTTCAGCTGTTACACTATTTTATTCCATGCCATCAAATGACTCAAACAGAAAAACAATGAGCTACAAGTCCTGTGCTTCAGAAATGGAACAATAGGGACAAACTGATGAGTCCCTATATCACCACATATCCATGAATATTAAAACACAGTTTTCTTCATCTAAGTTCATGTTAAGCTCAGTAAATGGAAATTTTAATTTGACTGAATTCCACCAAACATTTATCTAAATGTCCAAATGGTTGATTTTTACTATAAATTAGGTAATACTAAATATTCGAGGATAATGAAGAGGCCCAGAATATGCTACTGTGGCATAAAAAATATTTTTTAATAGAAGACATTTGAGTTCCTGAAATCTCTTTTCTGCTTATAAGCAGTGTCCCAAAAGAACTCCATCATCCTAAGCACTCTCCCTGAAAGCTATTCAACTATCTTCACTGAAGAGGAGAAGTCTCCACACCACACCTAAACAGACATTGTCAAGAAACGATCATATCTCCCATCTACTCCCCTAAGGGCTCATTCATATTTTCTAAAAGTCATTTGTTTTTGATAAATGTCCTTCACTCCCAACGCTTTCCCTATTAAAATGGTATATAAACCCCAATTTCTAATCACCTCTTTAAGCCACATTTTTTTTTCTGTGATCTCTTGTATGCGCCTGTGTGAATAAAAATCCATCTCTTCTCTTGCTAGTCTGCCTTTTGTCAGTTTAATTTACAGGCCTCCAAGTACTGAACATAAGAGGGTAGAATAAGTAACAGTAACATCTATTTCAGTTTATGGAAAACCTTCATGACATTATACTAATAAACAACTTCCTAAATATTTCTCCCTGTTATTTTCTGTTGCCATTGGGTCACAGTTGCCTGGCCTAAGGCAAACAGATGATTCTACTGGGCTTCCACATTTAAAAATTGATGGCCCCTGTTTTCCTGTCCTCTGGAACTATTTGTCTGATTAAACTCATTGTTAAACAAAACAACTCAGTATGGCACCTCAGAATGGCAGTTGTGTCAGATTGCAATTTACACCTTTAGAAAAGGGTTTAGGAGAACAATATTGTTTTGACACATTCCTTTCACTTTCGAGCCTTCATTCTGATTTATGACTCTGCTCCTTTGTTTTAATCTTGACAATCTGGAGGAGTTTTAAACTGAAAATAAATTTACTGTTCATTTTGTTGTTACAAAACATATAATTTCAAGAGTTGGAGAGGCCTTGAGACACTGCCATTTTATAGTAACTGAGGGACTGAGTTGTCAGGGCCTTGTCCAAAATTACATAGCCAGAGGGTGGCAAAGCCAAGCCTAGAACTAAGATCCACAATCCTTGGGCCCAAAATCTTCCTATCCATGACTCCATACTGAAGACCTTATCCTAGTATGAGCTAACATTTTAAGAAACAAATTACAAGGCTCACAGAATCTGCTACTTTACATTTATAAACTCTTATTTGATCAAAGCATTTTATTATTGGCATGTGGATGTCCCACAAAAGAATGCAACACTTTATGGTTTTCTCAGCAAATGCTAGTAAAATATTTAAAATTATGACAAAATTAATTCTATAGATTGTGTCTTTAATTGTTCCATGCTGAATTACAAGAATATTTGAATGGCATATGTGGAAAGACTTTCCACCACTTTTGTTCCAGCAAAATATGTTAAAGTTTTTCTCCACAAGAAAGTTGTGGAAAGTTCTTCCTCCATATGTCATTTAAACAGAGCAAACCTTAGGTACTTTCTGGCCCAAGGGCAGGAAGCTGGAATGGTTGATTTCTGGAAGAGCTAAACACCTTTTATTTATACCACTGTACTTGTCTCAGTATAAATCTTGTATTGATAACTATTTCTTGGCTCATGGATGATGAATTTCAACTCACTTCGATTTAGTCTGATAAGCAGCTACTCTAAGAACAGAGCAGTGTTCAGTGCCAAAAAAACAGGCTCTTCATTAACTTCAAATGTCTGCAGTTCTTTAATGTGCCTATGCTTTTTCAGTTCTGCACCATTGCTCCCTAAACTCGTTCTACCAGGGAGCCTTCCTCCAGGCAGCTGTATGCCTACATTGTACCCAGTTTTCAAGGTAGATCTTGAAAGTAACTATTTTCATTGTTTAGCCTAATCTTGTCTCTTCCTGAAGTAAACTCATCTTTGTCTAAATTCACATTTTTATTGTGCTTCCATTATAACATATTACATATTCTTCCATACTAAAATTATTCGTGTACATAAATCTCCACAACTAGATTTGAAGGGCCTTGAGGACAAAATATATATATATATATATATCTTTTGGTTTTGGTTTCCTACAATACCTAATACAATACATGCTGGTTACATAAAAAAAATGTTTATAATTACTCAGTTGAGTGGCTGAGCTCAGAAAATTCTAATGTTTTCTACTGAAAATATCCCCCCAGATATTATTTGTTCTCTGTGTAGATATTGACACGAGATTTTCTTCTTGGTCACTTTGCAAACCGGGGACCTCCAGCCAGTGACACCCCACCTGGCCCTCCCTTGGCAATGCTGCCTGCTGCAGGAAATGGCCCACCTACTCATCCTACCAGGGCCAAGTCTGGCTTGCACACCAATTCCTGAGTTCTTGTCCCACACCCAAGAAGAATGAGGAGGTGCTGACAATTGAAGAATGAATAAGGCAGGGAGTTTTATTGAGTGATAAAATAGCTTTCAGCAGAGAGGGGACATGGGGGTGGTCCCCCTACCCAAAGGCAGAAAAGTCCCTCTAATATGGTTGAGTCTGGGGCTTTTATGGGCTCAGAATCGGGGAGGGGCAGGCCATAGGTAGTATTGGAAAAGGCAACAATTGATTGGTTAAAAGGCATTATTCAGAAAGAATCAGTCAGATAAAGGAGGGGAAACAGGAACAGAAGTTCTTACTCTGGGTCACAGGTTTCACTGGGACCAGCAGTCGGGTTTTTCAGCCTTCAGGCTGTTTTTGGCTTGAAGGTGGGGTTTCACAGGTACCTGTCCCTATCTGCCTAGGCATTTGGCTGCCTGCTATCATTGTCAATGTCTGTAGAGATAGATAAAAATCCTTGCCATTTTTAATATTTATTTATGCCACAATATCTTCATTAAAATCAGTACATATTACACTATTAAAGTACAAAAATAATCAAACATCAGAAGAAAACAATTTATTCTGGAATAAATCCATTGATCCTCTATAAGTAAGAAATAAATATATATGTTTGAACACTCCAGAAAAAATGAAGTCCCTAGTTAAAAGATATTATTCTGTGAGTGCCTTCAGCTTCAGCAGATGCCATGTCTTAAAAGTGGAAATATTTGATTCACCAATACTCGCTGAATTGATTGCAGTTGTCAAGTATCACCTTTATACAGCAGGGTTACAGCCATTGTAAAATGATCCAGGGAGTAAATTGAAACTCAGAAATTACTTTCCAGAAAAAGTCACAAAATTCTTTTGCAGCATTACAACATCTTTTTTTCTTCCTATATTTAGCCTTTAATGTTAAATCTCACCTTAATAGTTCAAAGCTACCTTCCATAAATTCACACGTATCTGCCAACTGTATGTATTTATAAACACTTTAACTTTGTAATGAACACTGAAAAAAATTCTTTTATTTTCTCATTTAAAAAAGAACAATGGGAAATGCAGTTTCAATTCTCAAATTTAGACATATTCATAAAACAAAATACTCAATAATTTTAATTGGCTTTGGAATTTGCAATGTATTTAACCTGCCACCTTTATGAGCTCTGGTGATGTTCCCAATCTATTAGGTGCTTATTTTGAATCAGGCTACTCATTTCATAAATGTTACTCATGAACCAATATAATACTGATTCTTTTACCTTGAAAATGCTTACCTTTTGCAGGTTGTGCTGAGAACTGCATGCTTTCTGTTTTGAGATTATCAAAGCTTTTAAAATCTTTACTACCTTGGTATTACTAGCAGATAGGGTATGTTGGTTTCTCAGATGTATTTAGATGTCCTGCAGTAGCGTGAGTCCTGTTCGACTTTCTGGATTAACCTAAATCAAAGTTACATTGAAGTCTTTCCGTCTTCTCAAAGGAAAGTTTCTTCATCTGTCTTATTCTCGATGTGTTTGCTGGGCCTAGCAGACACCAAAATATATTTGAGAGAGGAATGATGGAATGCCTTCTAGAAGCATGCATTCAGCAGGATGCCACCAGACTGTGATGACATTTTTTTAAAAAGTTATAAAGGAGCACATGATTTACCTTCTCACTAAATAGCTTTCATCCTCTGTGAATTTTTTTTTTGGTATCCCTTGAAGGTTACTAAAACCTGAAGAGTATATATTTGCCCCTAGAATTGAACAAATGAAGAGACATCCCGTGGATAACCCTCCTATGGGGTAGCACAGAGAAAACTTTACAACCTATTGAATCTAAAATTACTTTTTGCACAGCCTGATAAAAAGAGATATTTTAGTCTTTATCATTACTGCTTGGGACAGGCATATTACATGGAAATTAAATAATAATATTAACACATTTGTTGAATTCCTCTTATATGTTCCATTCACTGTTAATAAATGAAGTATTCTGCACAATAATTCTATAAGTTAGATACTATTATTAGCCACATTTAACAGATGAGGAAACTGTAACATAAGTTATATTGTAGAGAAAAACATTGTAAAAATCAAATATATATATACACACATATATATACACACAGAAACTATATAAATGTATATACAGAAATAATATACATTTATATTAAAATTGTGATAAGTACTATCAAGGACAGTATAGAATATAGTGAAAAGGTATAGCAAGGATCTGAAGATTAAAAAAATTCTTCAAGGAATGCCAATTAAGAGTTAATTAGGAAAACAATGGGTATGAAAAGGCAAAGGCAAATATGATACTGTCTCTGCATTCAAGGATCATACAGGTTAGTCAGGGAGATTAAAAAGTACATAATTAATGTATATGACTTAAGTATTCTGTTAGAGTACGCAGACAGCCAGACATGAGCAAGAGAGGTGAGCCCCTGAGAAAAGGGAGGTCTGGAAAATATCATACCCCAGGGACCACCCAAAACATGCATGCTGGATATGAGCAAAGAGGAGGGAAAATACCTATGCCGGAAGGAATTCCCACTAGGATGCCCAGTAATCATTCACTCTGCAGCTAACCTGTCAGAATGTAGCTAGATGCATGCTGGTAAGGAGAAGAGGGGACTTAAGGCAGAATTGGGAAAACTAGGCAAAGAAAAAAGGCAGAGGCTTGAGACAGAGGCATGAACTTCAAGAAAGTCCAACACCATAAAAACCCAATGCAGAACTCTCAGGGTACAGCTGGCTTACTCCCTTCAGCAGTCTGCCAGGCTTTATCTTTTCAGAGTGGTACTGCCTCTCTACATAAACCCTATGCTCTGTATTTTCCTTCCACAAATTCTCTTTTTTGCCTAAATCAGTTACTTGTCAGAATTCTTACTCCAAGTAAGACTAAGAACCGAGGATTCCCGCACTTCTCGGTGACAATTCTAGGAGAAGCATTAAGAGCAAGCTGTATATATGGAGAGAAAAGGAAACAGTTATTACTTAACGCCTCTGGGCTTCAGTTATCTTACTGGCAAAATAAATGATCTTAGGATGATCATTAAGATTCCTTCCATTTGTAACATTTTTTTCTGTTATCTCTTGTGATTATTTCAACCCTCCTACAAAGTAGATAGCATATGAAAATTCCTGTTTTTCGTAGGAAGGCAGAGGTATAATGAACACCAATGACTTGCTGCAGACACACAGCAAAGTTCATGGTGGAATTATGTCAAAAACCGAACCTGTATGCCTTCTCATTCTTTTCTCTTTCTAAACATTAAAAAATTGCCTATTTTAATTAACAATTGATTATTTGAAAATTAGATGAGTCAATGTTGGCTTACACACATTAACATTCTTACAATAAAAGTCAGATTGTTAAAATAATCTAATAAAACAAGATTTACTTTATTCAGACACCTCAAAATATTTACCAGTAATAGGAATTAGGCACATTTTCAGTTTTAGATACATTTATTTTCCCAGGATCAGAAATTTGCAAAAAGCATACTTGCAAGAGGGGAATAAGGTAATCCTCTTAAAATAGTGACAAAACCCATAGGTTGGTAGATTGTGCCCTCTTCATGGCAAACCCAAACGTTTTCTTTTCTTTTCTTGCTAGGTCTAGTGAGTACATGAGCTGTAGTTGCTACCCACGTGCAGCTCTTGCTCCAAGCAGGGGTGTCCAGGGAAGAGAATACAGTCATGGGTTCTTAGTTTCTGTTTCTGGTTGGGCCAGTTAAGCCCCTTCTTCATCTCCCTTTTCTGCTTATCACTAAAGACAGAAACTAAAAACCATGGCATCAGGCTGCTTTTAAAAGCCTAAAACAGAACAACAACAACAAAATAAGGCAGGTTGGACAAGCTTGAATGGCATCCCCTCTCCTTCATTGTATGTTTGATGACGTTTCCCACAGCAACCCAAAACATCTGTGGATTACCTGAAAAAGAAAACTTAATTCTACTCCTCTCAAAAACAAACAAACAAACAAAGCAAGGAAAGATGATGTCACCAACTAGAATGAAACAGAAGACCAACAATCTGATAACAAGTATCCAGAAGTATTCATAAAACCAAGTTGAATTTACATGCGATCCATTTAATAGAGATCCTAAAAAAAAAGAATCCATTTTTAAAATTACTGTATAATATATCATTCTTCAAGAATGCTTCCTAGTGTAATCCTTGGTAAAACACTGGAATAGTCTATTTAAAAAAAAAAAACTTTAGAAGTTAACAGGTTTGTATACACTACATACCACAGTAATATGTACCATTGAATTAGTTAAGCACAAGACTACATGAGACTTGCAGGAATAAAACTTCAAACACTAGCAAATAGCTGAAAATATGTTAACAAGGGAAAGATATTATAAGCAGGAAATATGGACAATAATAAAAAAGCTAAAGCCTGCAAATATCATAAAATATTTCCCATTGAAGATTGTATCTTTTTAAATAGAAAACATAATCATTGCTACTATATAATGTTTTATTTGATAAAATGGGTTTGCTAAACAAATTATGTTGCTTCTTTATATATGCAATGGCTTGTTTGGAAGGTCTTTTAAAAATTCTCTCAGCAATTTTATTTTTAAAACATGTATAGTTTATTTTTATGTTATTCTTTGCCAAACATACACTTTTAGCTATTACTTTATTTTCTTCTTTATTTCCATAAAAATTACAAGTTTTAATTCAGAGAGAATAATAATCTGAATATTAAAAATTTAGGATTACAAAAAGCTTTAACAGTCACATAGAACCTTCATCATCTAAGTGTCTTGTAAAAACTAACTACATCATAAGCATTTTCACCTTGAGAGTCATTTTTTTCTACTTTACATAAATAGTATGGTGGAAAACAGATGATTATAATTTATCCTAGTCAAAGAGAAACAGACCAATTTCAAATTAGTTCCAGAAAATGGTGACAATATATGTTTGTGTGTATGGGTGTTGGAGTGACAGGGGTGAGAGATGGGAAGAGGCTGTCAAAGACTCAGAGTCTGCACAGCCACCATGAATGGTAAATGCAGCACAAGTAAATGCACATGGGAAAGGTGTCAGAAACCCAGGCCATACTCTCTTTTACTTAATGGCTATGTGATCCCTTGGTTTTGCTTCTATGCTATGTTATTCATGATTTTTCTCTGTATTTCTCTATTTTCCAATCCTGCCACCAAACACCTTCCTCTACTTCTTCATTAGTTTACACATGGTCCCAAATCATGCACTCCGTTTTCCAAGACCAGCTGGCCTTCTGTTTCTAGAATACACCACCAACTGACTTGAAGTAAAATTTTGTTTCAATTTCAAAATCCCAAGGAAGACCTTCAAGTGCCTTTATTTCTTTGTTTAAGCTAAGTCTTAGATTTGAATGACATGCCTACCTCTGGTCCAATTAGACATGCTAAAGAAATCATTTCATAGGGCTCTGGCGGGAATGGCTATGTCTGTACTCTTCGACCCAACTCCTATAAATAAAGCCATTAAAAATGAAACTTGGGACCCATATAAGGGCTTCAGGAAAACACAGTGTTTATTTAACAAGTCGTAAGAAATCTGTGAACCCTCTTAGAGAAAGCTCATAGCACTCATCAGATTATCTAAGTGTCCTATTTCTCTGCCTCCCCGCCCCCTCCACTGACAAATTAAGATTCATTTCTTCAAATAAATCTTCAGGTTTTTCCCCACAGTCTTTCCCCCCAGTTGCACGTTAAGTTATTGGTATCAATTATCAAGGGTCACACAACAAATTACCAAAACAGATAATTATCAAGGAACACACAGAAATTGTAGAGTTATTTTTGTTGTTTTGTTTCTATTTTCTTTTTATCTATTAAATTTCTGAATAGCTGCTTGATGTATCCACATCTACACTAACAATATTGTTGGTAGTAATGATATGAAATGAAAATCCGCCCAAAAGGACTTCAGTAAACGAATCAATGAACATTTATTGAATATCTATAATATACTTAGAACTGTGCTAGGAGCTATAGGGTACAACAGAAAAAATAGTCCCAGTGAATGCTCCTGGAAACCTTATCATCTAATTAGAGATACAGAGCATCCATACGTGAAATTGCTGCTGAGACAGACAACATTATGAAAATGTTAAGCTATTTGTACAGAAGGGATTGTACAAGGTTCAGAGCTTGAAGGTCCCCTCAAGTTCCTCCTCATTTTACATATCAGGGACCTGAGGCCCAGAGATATTAAGAGGTTTATGTTAGTAACGTTAGTAACTGACAAATAAAAAAGTCTAAACAAGGGCTCTTTCTACTATACCAAGATAGGTATTAATCATTACACAAGGAGTTAAAGAATCAGGGTATTAATATGGGCAGAAAATGAAGAAATAAAGGAAATAGACCTTTAGAAAAAGACACCCCATACAGATGAGCAAAGAGGTGGGAAAAGGAAGTCCAAGGGCAATCATTTTTAGCAATGGCTGGAAATAAGAGTGAGGACGGGATGCAATGACAAGATACATTGCAGAAGAAAGAAGAGAGGGAAGACTCAGCACAGAAGCCTGCTCAAATGGACATGAGATTCAGGTTGGGGAAGAGGCAGGGTATAAAATAATTTATGAATCAAATATCTGCTTGGAGATTTATGGCCAAAAGCTGTCCACTATCATCATGCATGTTTTTTTGTTTGGCTCTGGTTTTAGTCTGTCTGTGCTCACACATGTGTACATGCACTGACATGGATGTAGTGATATTGTTCAATGTTGTGAAGGGAAAGAAGTGTAACTTCCCCCTATTTCAACATGTCCGTGTGTGAATTTTGTACAACTAATTCAAATGATGCCACCTCATATTAAATTACTAAGTCCCCTTACTCCATTCAGTTGTATTGTTTTCCAATTTTATTTCATGCTAACACTGAAATTTTCTATCACACATTTGGATTTAATTTACTTCTTTGTTTTTAAGCACTAAATTAATATTTCATAAAAGAATAGTTAATTCAAAATCATTAAAGTTTTTTTAAAATGTCCTTCTCTTGGAACCGAAGCTATACATAAAATGTTTTCAACAAAGATTGTGACAGTCCCCTTGCCTAGGGGTAAATATTACAATAAAACCAACCAAAAATATTGTAGTTATAAAATCTCCATTAAAAATACCTATTTCAAATGTCATAGAAAAAAAGAAAATAAATTTTAAATCTTTTTAAAAATAGACATTTTGAATTATGTTTATATTCTTGTATAGATACTGCTCTTTTTTTTTCTTTCTTGAAAACTATTGGCCCACAGAAAATAAACACGATGGGGAATATATTGGGTGTTTAAAATAAGACCACTCTCCTATTCCACTGAAATTAGAGGCTGTGAATAATAAACTTACCTTCTATATTTTACTGACTACTTTGTGGAAAAGGAAGAAAGAGAGTTACAATATCTAAAATATTTGATTATCCCTTCACATGTACACTTTCTACTGTCTCAGAGGTAATTGGCTGAAATATAATTATTATTCATCATCTATGCTGAAAAATTTAAACAAAAGGGGCAAGAGGGTTTGCCCCCATCACCACCCAAAACCCTCCCAGCACAAATTACTGCCTGATTCTAATTACAGTTTTAACCACTGGCTGCTGATTCTTTCATGGGTGGTGAGGTAATCCAATCAGGTGGATTGGGAGCTCACGTTAAACACACCACACACAGAAATTAAAGTATGACTGATGGGTTTAAAAGCTGTTAATCAATATGTAGGGAGAGGTAATTCAATTCTCTTATGTTCCCACCCTTCTAAATCACTGCCAAAGCTTATTGGAAGTTCTCACTCTTGATTAGAAGGAAATATAGGTGTCAGACTCACTTTTACCTCTTTTCTAACTTTTCAGACTGCTAGTCAGTTGAATTAGGTCTACCTAACTTTTTTTTTTAATGAGAGGCTTTCAGGTAATAGTATATTCACTAGGCATATTCACAGGTCAAGGCATTCCAGGTTTCATTAATGTGCAGGTCTACATGACAGTTAATCTGCATCCATAATATATTCACTGGAAGATACAGTGGGTTTATTTCTTCAAGTACCTTTTTAACTGATACATTTAGAAGCATGCAAATAGCCAATTATCTTTACCTGAAGACCATTAAAAGTCTACCTGCATCAGGGACAGGCAGCAGTGGCTAAACCACAAGTATAAACTGGCAGCTTACCCAGAGTATAAGTGTGAAGGCTGGGATGAGGCACACGGTAATTAAAAACATTCTCAAAGTCTCCCTTTGAGAAATGTTCTTGGTTTTGGATGGTGCTGTATATGGGCTTTCAGCCACACATTCTCTTGTGGTGTGTGTGAGCAAGCCATAATTTGGAGACATCTTAAAAGAATTCCAGCAGAAACAAATGTGCTTTTATTTTTTGATCAGCATACTCTCATTTTTCTTAGAACCCAAAATTAATGAGGGTTGGGGGAGTGCCACTGGCTTTGTGATATATACTATGTAAGAATATTTTTGGTTTAGAAAGTTATTTACTTTGCAATGGATTGCTGATGTTTTTAGAGATTTGGAGTGAGAAGGAAAGCCTGGAATGAATGAAAAATTAGCCATTTTGAGCAATGTTTTTTCCTTTTAAGATAGGTTTAGAAACAAGTTTCAACCAAATAGGTTTTGGTTTTAGTAAAGAATCTGTTATATTACAACATTGTCTGATTTAAGAGAACTCTTGAGATTCCTTATTATCGCTTCCAAAAAATGAACATTTTTACAGATTGACTTATACAGAGCAAATACAAGTTTGCTCTAATTAGTGATTAGTAATTTGCAATAAAAATGTATGGTGTCATAGGGTGTTTTTTATGTAATCATTAGCTTACACTCTTAAGCCAAAATTTCAGTCTCCTGGTTTAGTCTCTATCTCTTAATTATTTCCAAATTCTTGGACTGAAGCACAAACTTTTATCATTGCCTGGATGCTTAGACTCTTCCTTGTTCCACTTTCCTGCCCTGCATGGACCTCCAGGCCCTACTCCTAACCTCATCCTTGACCTTGAATATTTCATGTGTTGATCTGTTTGGCTCTAACCTTCAGCTGTGACCTCAACTCCTTTATTGAATGTTATAAAAATCACATAACTTTGTGTTTGTGATTGAGTGCTACACCCACATTCTACCATAGACCAAGCTAGTCTGTGGTTCTCACAACCTGACATGGGCAAACTTGAAGAATTATTTTACTCCTTTCAAAACAATCAGAGAGGTTACGGTTGCTGTATCTATGTTCTTGTGAGATATTGAGAAATTATTGCTCATAGCTGTGATATAAGAGAAGATACATGGCAGAAGATTTTTAAATTGATAGCTAGTGATGACGGTAAAAGAAGCACCGGTCTAAGACCTAGGTTTGACATTGACTGCTACCAAGGTCCTCAAATTCTTATAAAATGAGGGTTTTCCAAGCTTATAATGGCTACTATTGTTCAATGCTTACTGTGAGCCATGTTTTTCTCATTTTTTATTCAAGACAATTCTGCAAGGTATATGTCATTTTACAGATAAGGAAACTGGAGCTTAGCAAGTAACAGAGCCTAGATCCAAACCTAGGCATCACCTGCATTCTTAGGCAATATATTAGACTCCCTCTTAATTACTTTCTATCAGAAGGGATTCTATGATAATCTACCTTCCAGTATATATTCTAGCAGAAAAAAAGAAAGCATTTAAGAAAAAGGAAGAAAAGAAGGCAAGAACTATCTGTATATGTGTTTTTCCTGTCCTCTTATTCTAAAGCAGGTACTTTTAGAAAGCAAGAACCACATTATATGTATAATTCTAATTTCTCCAAGGTATCTAAGGATCAGGCCTTGCACATTGTTGACACTATGATAGATCATTGTTGGCTGAGTAAGAATTAGGTTGAACAAATAATATCTAAGTTTAATTGAGGATGGGAGAATATTGTAGACACACACTAAACTATTAAATGGGCCTTTGATTACTTATAGAATAAAACCCTGGGAGGAAAGAAAGACTTTATATAAATACACAAATTTAGGAATATTTAAGAATAGCCATCAGTTACGATGTTCTGATGGTAAATAAGAGGAATTCTGACTCAAATTGAAGAAAACAATGTAGAAATTTGTTTTTATTTTGTTTTGTTTTTTGGCTCATGTACACAAAAGTCCAGAAATCAGGCTGACTTCAAGAATGGATTAATCAAAAAACTTTTCAAGGCCTAAGTTTCTTCCCATCTCTCCATTGTGCTTATTGTATGGGCTTCTTTCTATCTGGTTCTCTTCATCTCATTAGGATGCGTGCCTCTTTATTCATTTTCAGCAAGGACATGACTTTGTTTTAAGATACCCAACGAAGTGCTGAGGTTCTCTCAAATGCATGTGCCTGAAACCTCATGCCCACCACTAAAGCAATCACTTCCTCCAGAATATTCTGTTTGGTTTAGCATAGATCACATGCTCCACCTAAAGCAGGAATAGAGACAACTTTTCTAGAACCACATTGATTACCAAAAAATAAAAAATAAAAAAGAGAAGGGGTGGTTGTTGGGACTGGTAAATGGGGATGCAAACTGGTACTGAGAATGCAGCCAGACAATGTCAATTAAAAAATCTTCCTGACCAGCTGAAGGCCAAGTGTCATGTTCAGGAATTTGGGTGGTCTTTATTAACCAAATTCCCTAGGGGTGACATTTCACCTTGTCTGATTTGCTTCAAACATGAGTCTTGGGCTCCGTCTGATGCTCAAGCAGTGTTCTAGTAGTGCTCTTACAAGATGGTAGTGGAGCAGGCCAGTGCCATGGACCAGACACAGTTGGAGAGACAGATAACCAGCCGATTGGGAGCTCTCCATCCAGAGATCGTTTTCAGAATTTGAGGGATCCTTCCCCCTTTCTTACAACTGTATTCAGTCTGAGTCAGTTATAAGGTATTTCTTTTGTAAAGGGAGTTAAATGCTTTTGTAAAGGTATGCTTTATTTAAGGTTTATGAAAGTTGTTGCAACTGTGCTGAGGTGGCTTTGTCTCCTGGAACTCCCTGGACCAGAGTTGGAAATCCCCGGACCAGTTTGCATCATGTAGCTAAGTGACACAGTGTCACCTGGGTGAGACAGGAGTAGGCCTAATGGCTATCATTAATCTTATAACTGCAATATGTCTCTTAAAGCAGACTATACTGAAGGGTTGTTTGTGATGACTGTTCAGGACACCAAAGAACCTTGCACAGGTGTCATTGTTGCTATCATGGTAAGTTGATAATTGGCTTATATGAAAATGTGCTGGTTGGTTGTAGTCTTTCTCACATACCTGGAACCACTTCATTTACTAACCCCACATTTTTCTGTATGAAATACTCCAGGATTTGTAATTCCTCCAAAACACAAAATGTAACCATTGTGATTTAATTATTCCCAAGCATTAACTTTATTCTTTAAACACCTTTTCATAGCATACACAATTTCAAATTTAAATAACCTAAAGAGGAAGAAAATTTCTAATTTATTCTGAGAAAGATATTTTCCATAGGTCTTTATGTTTATATATATATTTCATATATATGTTTCTCATATATAGGTTTCATATATATGTTTCTCATATATAGGTTTCATATATATGTTTCACATATATAGGTTTCATATATATGTTTCTCATACATAGGTTTCATATATATGTTTCTCATATATAGGTTTCATATATATGTTTCTCATATATAGGTTTCATATATATTTCTATATATCACATATGTATTTCATATATATATGTTTCATATATATATACACACACATATATATAAAGAGACAAAACTAGCTTAAACGTCTCTAGGCACATTTCTAAACAATGTTTTGTATATTTCTTGTGTACTCAACTTTTGATGGTCCATTTTCTTTTGAGCCGTCTTGCTTAAAACAAATACACCTTTTTAATGATCTTAACCGACTCACTATATTTTCAAAGAACATATGTGAAATAAGAAGTCAAATATTTCCAGCTACTATTCATATAGTCAGTACTTTTTAGAAAAAAAAAATGTATCCTTTTTTTAGAAGATGTATAATCTTGAAGGTCCTGACCTTTAAGGGTGGATTTCATGAAGTCCATGAGCAACCAAAAATTGCTTGCAAATATTCTTTTCTATGTGTTTTGTATTACTCAGCTAGAGCTTCCATAACAAAATTCCACATACTGGGGGATGTAAACAACAGAAATTTATTTTCTCACAGTTCTGGGGGCTGGAAGTCTAAGATCAAATTCCTGTAGAGTTGGTGTCTTCTGAGGCTGCTCATCTTGGCTTGCAGATGGCCACCTTCTCACTGTGTTCACACATGGACTTTTCTCTGTGTATACCCCTAGTGTCTCTTCTTCTTCTTCTAAGGACCCCTGCCCTATTGGATTGGGAACCCACCTTTAGGAGCCCATTCATCCTTAATTACCTCTTTAAAAGCCCTATTTCCAAATACAGTAACATTGGGCTGAGGGCTTCAACATATACATTTTTGGTGGAACACTGTTTAGTCCATGATATGATTAGGCTTTGTGTCCCCACCCAAATCTCATCTTGAATTATAATCCCCATGTGTCAAGGGAGAGACCAGGTGGAGGTAAATGACTCATGAGGGTGGTTTTGCCCATGAGGTTCTCATGATAGTGGGTGAGTTCTCACGAGATCTGATGGTTTTATAAGGGGCTCTGAAACTGGCTTTGCAAAATTATAGCTGAGGAAATTATGACAGTGAATGTAACCAGACCTAATTGACTCCATCTTGCTTCTAACTTTTAAGCTATCCTTATTCATTCCTGGGCATAGGCCAAACTAACTTTAGGAAAGAATCCAGTTTATGGTTTGATTCTGAAACAAAATTGATAACAGCTCTTTCCCAAAACGACGCCCTTCTTGCCTGGGGACCAGTCTGGCTTTGCAGGACTAACAAACTAGCTACAAGATTAGAAATTACAGTTTAGGTGTCATGCAGCCTCTGGCTCCAAGAGTCTGAACCTTCGCAAATTGCTCCTGGGGATAACATCACTACTGTAAAACTGAAGATCAGCGCTTGAGATATTTTGCAGACCTTGCACTTGATGGATCAGCTGACACCACCCAGACTGGTAATCTGGCTCAACCAGTTTTGCCATCCCACCCAGGAACAGAAGACAGCAAGAAAAATTCACTTCGACCCTGTATAATTTCATCTCCAACCTGACCAATCAGCACTCCACACCTTCCAAGCCCCCACCCTACAAATTAGCTTTAAAAACTCTGATCCCCAAATGCTCGGGAAGACTGACTTTAGTAATAATAAAACTTTGGTCTCCTGCACAGGTGGATCTGCGTGAATTACTCTTTCCCCATTGCAATTCCTTTGGAGGGCAAGGCGAACCCATTGGGAGGTTACAGCTCTTCCCTCTTCACTCAGCACTTCTCCTTCCTGCCATCCTGTGAAGAAGGTGTCTTGCTTCACCTTTGCTTTCCTCTATGGTTGTAAGTTTTCTGAGACCTCCCCAGCCATGCTGAACTATCAGTCAATTAAACCTTCTTCCTTTTTAAATTACCCAGTCTCAGGCAGTTCTCTATAGCAGTGTGAAAACAGAGTAATACAGTAAATTGGTAGCACAGATAGTGGGGTGCTGCTGTAAAGATACCCAAAAATGTGGAAGTGACTTTGGAACTGGGTAACAGGCAGAGGTTTGGAGGGCTCAGATGAAGACAGAAAGATGTGGGAAAGTTTGGAACTTCCTAGAGACTTGTTGAATGGCTTAGACCAAAATGCTGATAGTGATATGGTCAATAAAGTCCAGACTGAAGTGGTTTCAGATGGAGATGAGGAACTTGTTGGGAACTGGAATAGAGGTTACTCTTGCTATACTTCAGCAAAGAGACTTGTGGCATTTTGTCCCTGCCCTAGAGGTCTGTGGAATTTGAACTTGAGAGAGATGATTTAGAGTATCTGGTGGAAGAAATTTCTAAGCAACAAAACATTCAAAACATGACTTGGGTGCTCTTAAAAGCTTTCAGCTTTATGCATTCACAAAGAGATGGTTTGGAATTGGAACCTATGTTTAAAAGGGAAGCAGAGCATTAAAGTTCGGGAAATTCACAGTATGATGATATGCTAGAAAAGAAAAACCCATTTTCTGAGAAGAAATTCAAGCCTGCTGCAGAAATTTACATAAGTAATGAGAAGCCAAATGTTCATCTCCAAGACAATGAAGAAAATGTCTCCAGGGTATGTCAGAGGATTTCACAGCAGCCTCTCCTATCACAGGTCCAGAGGCCTAGGAAGAAAAAATGGTTTCCTGGGCCAGGCCTAGGGCCTTGCTGCTTTGTCCAGTCTTGGGACTTGATATCCTGCATCCCAGCTGTGGCTAAAGGGGCCAACATACAGCTCAGGCCATTGCTTCAGAGGGTGCAAGCCCCAAGCCTTAGTGGCTTACATGTAGTGTTGGGCCTGTGGGTGCACAGAAGTCAATTGAGGTTTGGGAACCTCCACTTAAATCTCAGTGGAGGTACAGAAATGACTGGATGTCCAGGCAGAAGTTTGCTGCAGGGGTGGAGCCCTCATGGAGAACCTCTGCTGGGACAGTGCAGAAGGGGAAATATGGGGTTAGATCCCCCATACAGAGTCCACACTGGGTCACAGCCTACTGGAGCTGTGAGAAGAGAACCACCATCCTCCAGACACCATAATGGTCGATCCACCAACAGCTTGCACCATGTGCCGGGAAAAGCCACAGACACTCAATGCCAGCCCATGAAAGCAGCCAGGAGGGGGGATTCTTCCCTACAAAACCACAGGGGTGGAGCTGCTCAAGACCATGGGAACCCACCTCTTGCATCAGTATGACCTGAATATGAGACATGAAGTCAAAGAAGATAATTTCAGAGCTTTAAGATTTGATTTCCCCACTGGATTTCAGACTTGCATGGGGCCTATAGCCCCTTTGTTTTGGACAATTTCTCCCATTTGAATGGGTGTATTTATGCAATGCCTATATCCCCATTTTATCTAGGAAGTAATTAATTTGCTTTTGATTTTACTGGCTTATAGGCAGAAGAAACTAGCCTTGTCTCAGATAAGACATTGGACTTGGACTTTTGGGTGAATGCTGGAATAAATTAAGATTTTGGAAGACTGTTGGGAAGGCATGATTGGTTTTGAAATGTGAAAGGGACATGAGATTTGGGAGGGGCTAGGGGTGGAATGATGCGGTTAGACTTTGTGTTCCCACCCAAATCTCATCTTGAATTATAATTCCCATAATTCCCATAATGCCCATGTGTCAAGGAAAAGATCAGGTGGAGGTAATTGGCTCATAAGGGAGGTTTCCCCAGTGTTGTTCTCAAGATAGTGAATGAGTTCTTACAAGATCTGATGGTTTTATAAAGGGATCTTTCCCCTTCAGTTGGCCCTTCTCCTTCCTGCCACCCTGTGAAGAACGTGCCTTGATTCCGCTTCACCTTCTGCCATGATTGTAAGTTTCTTGAGGCCTCCCCAACCATGCTGAACTGTAAGTCAATTAAAACCCTTTATGAATTACTCAGTCTCAGACAGTTCCTCATAGAAGCATGAAAACGGACTAATACAGTTCATAGCATGTATATTTGGATTTTTCAGAATGAGATTCAGTATCATCATTGGATTCTGAAAATGATCTCTGATCACCAAATAGTTTAAAAACCATAGATTGAGACCAAATCTTTCATTTTATACATAAGGAAACTGAAGCCCAGAGAGATAAAATAGTCAGTCTTTGATCATACAGCAACTTTCTAATTAGGTGAAGTGAAAACCCGTATTCTCCTGATAACTTGTTCAGTGAATTTCCTGTGGGACTCTGCAGTTCGTATTCACAACACCTGAAAGCTAATTTAATGTGAATCCTCAAGGAATAGGTGTGAATGTAGTGAGGTAGCTAAGCTGAGCCTAAACCAAGATTGCCTGAGTTATAATAGGTGAGGGATAATCTGAAAGGAAACTGTTAGTACCTAATACCTGGGGCAGATTTAGGAAGATTTTAAAAAGTAGACACACTTTTATTTGGGAAAATGGTTTCCATCCAGCCAGTAAAATTATTTCTAAGTCACTATATAAAGCAAAAAGAGCTATCTGAAAACAGAAGATAAAAGAGCTGTTTGAATAAGGAATCTTGTGATTTAGGACACAACAAAGCAGTTTTAGAGCCCCAGTGATTAGTGAAGTCCTAGAAGTGGGAATGAGGATTCTCTCCATCTCTCCCTAGAATTCAATAGCATCAAGTGGAGAATCTACAAGGAGCCCTCCCAGGACAGCAGCAGGCTGGGGAGACCAGGGACCACAGAGCCAGCATGGTTGTACTTCCCAAATGACTTCCAGTCAGTGGACTTCACTAAGAACATCAAAATGAAAGGAGGCAATTCATGTAATGTATCCTGGCTACTCCCAGAAATAACTAGTGTGAATTTAATAGGAGTGTTGATGTTCTATAGTCACATAGACATGGGCCACAAGCAAGCCAGATTTGGTAATTAAGTTAATATGCACTTGCTGATACTCAAACTGGGAATGGGAAGTCCAGGGATATTCTCTCTCTCTCTCTCACTATAGATAGCTAGATAGATAGATAGATAGACAGACAGACAGACAGATAGATAGATAGATAGATAGATAGATAGATAGATAGATGTACACACATATACACACACACTTTTCTACTGATGATACTTTTCAGATATGGATGAAAATTCTAATGCAATGCAAATTCCAATTAAAATGAATCCCACTTCCATTTGCATATACTGAGAAATGTTGTAAACACTAACACTTTATTAATTTCTATTGAATGGTGATAATATATGCCTGTTAAGTGGCTCTTTTTTAGGATTAAATCATTTCCTTCAAGTGACCTGATTTTCTTCTCGTATCACAAATGAAGAATTCACAAGGAAAATTAAAGATGCTAAATAAGTTTTCTTATTTTGTCTAGTTCCTATGATAACATGAGCTTCTGTGATGATGTTAACATAACATGTGAAGGATTCAGTCCTCCTGGTGCCTCGAGTAACCACTTCTTGAATTATTAAGTGGTGAGAAATGTAGTTCAATTTCCCAAATAATCTGCTATGTTTGAGAAGTGGTGAATGCTAACACATCTGTATCAATGCAAGGGCCTCCTCATAATTCTATTCCCTCTATTTCTGCTCTTCCAAAATCAGAGTGGCCCTCTGGCCACCCTCTCTTCAAACTCCACCACTGACCTGTGGGAGGATCATGCAAAAGAGATGATCAAATCTGGCAAGAGATAAACAACCCCTGCCATAAGATCAGAGATCCCTTCCATATTACCTTTTGGTTTTCCTGAAGCCTCAAACCCCATAGTCCCCTGTACTTGAGTCTTGTTCGCCTCTGAGCTCAGCATGGGGCTCAAGGCTTGTTTGACTCTTAAGGGTGGAATAGCTATCAAATCGTCATTTTCTTATTTTTCCCCGTTGATGAATGAACAAGAGTTTTCCTTTGCCTGTTTTGTCTATGAAGATTTACCTGATTTCTCAACCCTAGGATCCCATCTCATCCTTGTTGAATGCCCTCTTTTTATTTCTGCCCAAACAAGTCACCCAGAAAGAAGCTGTCTATAAATAAATAGCTATTCATAATTTTAATATAAATTTAAAACTTAAAAATATCTGAACACTAAATAACAACCCTAAGGAAGAGTCAACTACACCTCCTGGTTCTAGCTGTCTTTTACTAACTAATAGGAGTTCCCCAAAACAGCTATTACATTTTGAGTATATACAATATACCAGCAGGGTCTGAAATTTTCCATACATAATCTCATGTAATACTGTCTTTCATCATGCTAGGTAGTTATATGTAATCTTATTTTATAGTTGGCAAAAGTTGTTCATATTTCTTTCCTCCTACAAACAATAAGGAAATCAATGTGATTCAATGAATTCACATAAAAGGTATGTCTTTTTAATTATTATTATAATTTCTATTTGTTAATTCAAATAAATCCTTAATACAGGAATTTCAGGTTTGGGGGAGAAAATGGGAGATGCAAGAACTTTCTCCTTAAGCTGCAACAGGTATTGCTGGTATGGTCAATTGCTAAGGTCAGCCAAAATACATAGAAAGAAACAAAGACATGCGTATGGGCCTTGTTCTTTATATTTTATCATAGTTAGAGGGAAGATGAAACCCTGAAAGATAACTGGATGGTTGTGACTATCCTAGACTAACACAAGCTCTGGCCTGTTTTGGAATATGTATTTGAAAGAGGTGGCAAAAGGAGAGTTGATATTGTTCAACCTCCTCCATTGCCTCAGAAAGTTTGGGTTCCTCTTTTTCTTGCACCTTATCACTTGAGGGCTTAGCAGATCCTCTTTGAGTTTCTTTTTGTCCTGCCATATGGCCAAAGAATCTTTCAAAGCATAGGAAAGGGATCACATTTTACCTTAAGCCCAGCCAGTCATGCGCTTGAGGTTGAATCACTTACAACATACAATATGCTCAGGTGGCTACTGTCAGTCTCAGCAGTTGGGTTCTGCCAAAGACAGGGTGTCTGGGAATTCAGAGAACTCCATATGGAATTCAGAAGACTCAGTACAGGCAGGCTTCTGCGAAACAAAACATCTTTCCAGCGTTCCCTTCTCCTCCTAGAAAACTAAAATAAATGGTTTAACTTGTTGGAATTACAGCAACTCGGTAATTTATACAAATCTTACACACCTTCAGTATAATAACTAACAAGTTTAAGAGCAAGCATTTGTCAGACTTTACTGCAAATGTATTAAATTACATCCTTTCAGGATATTTTGGCTTCAGAGCTTGTTGTTTACCTGGCATAGTCACCTTCTGAAAGGCTTTATTATTTATTTTAATGGAAAGAAATGATGGTGATAATGCCATGCTTAGAAATCAAGGGAAGGAAATCAGGCCAACATTCTGAGATTATTGCAGATGGAAAAGGATTTAAACTGCTGGCTCCAAGAAGAAAGCTCACAGCATTAGTTTACTCCAGAAATGACTATTAGATTTTTCCCTTCATAGAAAGCCCTAGAGGGCAAAACTTATCTAGACTTTCTTATTATTATCTTCCAGGTCTCTTTAGGCAACACAGTTTCCAATCAATGAGTCCTGAGACCTAAATCCCCATAGACAGATTTGGTAGAATGAGTGAGGAGGGTTGGTGCTCAATGCCTCCACTGTGAATCCACTTTCTACCCAGAATATGGCTTCCACCTACAGACATTGTGGACCCACAATCAGTGTTATCTCTGACTGCTCTAACCAGTGATGAAAAACCATATCAAATCATGATTACAAAGCAAAACCAGTCTTTGAGATTTTGGTTTATGGATGTCTTAATATGAATTCCCCTTGAAATGACCATTGTTTTCCATTCGAGTTGAAATGATTTCCAACCAACCTAAAAACCTACAACATAAAACACCCTCATTGCATATTTCCTTTCTGGAGTTTAGTTTTCTGATTTTGAGAAAGGTTTGAGGGGCTAAGAAATTGAGGTCATATTAGTTGAAACAGTAATGGATAACACTGTCAGCTTTTTTGAAAATCAAGAAACAGTACTTAACTGGCTCATGACTTTTAACTTGTGAAAGAAAACCATTCTATCACGTAAGACTGAATCCCTGAAGATGGGCTGTGCCATGTTATAAAATGGGAACAATTATGGGAGATGCACACGTCCAGATGACTAGCAATGACAATGATGAATTTGTAATTGGGCAGAAAAACAGCCACTGAATGGCTTTAAGCCAAATGTAATAAATATCATTACAGACATGACAATGCTACACACAGAAAGAAAAGTTATGGCTACAACCTCTAAGATTTACTACTGTGAAACTTTGCCCTCATCACAATAAACTTTAGAGAATGATAGCTACTAATCCAGTAACCAAAGTTTCAAAGATATAATGCTTCAAACTATTCTGGTAATGACTTTTTTTCAGTATAAGTACAGTCTTTGCCACAGAGGTACTCAATATTTATTGAATGAATAAACAAATATCTCCTTTATTATCCTTTAATAAGTTGGGAAATGTAATGCTTCAAAGGGTTGCTTAGAAAAGTTTCCTGAAAGTAGCCTTCACTCTGTATGAAATTTAAATGAAGAAAAGCAAAATGTAATGAATTTTTGAAAGTTATCTGTAGTAGAAAACTTCCAACATGGGCTAAAATCCTTTCAGGCCAGTGTAGAGGCCTTGTGACAAGATTATCCAGCATCCCAAGACCTTGTGACTCTGGTAGATCTATGAACATTTTTCAAAGTCAAATAAATCTGGATGGTGTTCAAGGGAGGCATTTAATAATTCTAAATACTTCATAAAATATTTGGCTTCTTTTTTATTTTACTCTCATTTTGATAACTTTTAATATAGAGTCTGATCTCATTTTTGCTTTCTGAGAGGTTACTTCTTTTAAAAAATTGAAATCGTAGAGATTTTCTTCATTTACACTTAAAGACTAGTGGAATAATTTATAAATAATTTAAAATTTGAAAGGAGGATGTTTATGTTTCTGAAGAGCCATATTCTTATCTATATACACAGTTATATAATTTGAACTCTCATAAAATATGTGACATCCATAACAATTACAAAGTTTACTGATTATCTGAACTGGAACATCAACTTCAAGATTTCAGTGGACAGCTGTGTATACATTCTGGTTAAGTCTCAAAGAATAGAATACTGATGCTCAAGCAGCCTAGTATGATGGTTAATTGTAAGTGTCAACTTGGCTGGGTTAACAGACACTGAGATAGCTGATAAAACATTATTTCTGAATGTGCCTATGAAGGTGTTTTCAGAAGAGATTAGCATTTGAATCGCTGGACTGAGTAAGGAAGATTTGACCTCACCGGTGTGGGCAGGCATCATCTAATCCATTGAGAGCTAGAATAGAACAAAAAAGCAGAGGAAGGATGAAGTCACTCTGTCTCCATCGTTTTTGGCACTGGGACATTCATCTCCTTCTGTCTTCAGGTGTCAGAACTCTAGGTTCTCTGGCCTTTGAACTGTAGCACTCATACCAACAGCCCACAGTTCCTCAGGCCGTTAGCTTCAGACTGAAAATTATACTATCAACTCCACTGCTTCTCAGGCCTTTAGACTCAGACTGAAATATACCACCAGCTTCCCTGTTCTTCACCTTGTTGACAGCATGTTGTATATTGTAGAACTTCTCTGCCTTCATAATTGCATGAGCCAATTCCCACTATAAATCTCCTCTTACATATCTATATCTAATATGGTTAGGCTTTGTGTCTCCACCAAAATCTCATCTTGAATTGTAATCACCATAATCCCCATAATCCTCATGTGTCAGGGGAGAGACCAGGTGGAGATAATTGAATCATGGGTGCAGTTTCCCCCATGCTGTTCTCATGATAGTGAATGAGTTCTCATGAGAGCTGATGGCTTTAAAAGGGGCCCTTTCCCCCTCACATGACACTTCTTTTTCTTGCTGCCTTGTGAAGAAGGTGCCTTGCTTCCAATTCACCTTCTGTCTTAATTGTAAGTTTCTTGAGGCCTCCCCAGCCATGCTGAACTGTAAGCCAATTAAACCTCTTTCCTTTATAAATTACAGAGTCTTGGGCAATTCTTTATAGTAGTATGAAAATGGACTAATATAATATCTATATCTATATCTCTCCAATATGTTGATTTTGTTTTTCTGGAGAGCCCTGACAAATATAGCCAATTTGTGGGTTGGAAGGCATGGCATTTAAGAAAAATCTTTTGTCTCTCTTTCAGTTTTTCAAATAATAAATTTTGAAAATACTTCAAGAACATAGAAGAAAACTAAGATTACCCATAATTTTGCTAGCAAGATATAAGCAATAATATTAAAGATTACTTGTCTTGGATGTCTTTCATTCTGTGTATAGGATTACTTGTTTTCCTGTAATGTTGCCAGCACCAGGTTTTATAATTTTCAAAGCTTCATTTATCTGCTAAAGGACAAATGTCATCTAATTTTAATGTATATTTATTGGAGTACCAGTGAGGAAGAACACCTTCCATGTCCACTATTCGTAAGTTTTTTTCCTTCCCTTGTATAACAGCCTGAATAATGGCCCCATAAATATGTTCATGACCTAATCTCTGGAACTTGCAAGTGTTACAGCAAAAGGGATTCTATGGATGTGACCAAATTAAAGGGTCTGAGATCTTGTTGGGACTAACATAATCACAGTGGTCTGAAAAGAGGGGCATAGATGGTGTGAGAGTTAGAGGAAGAGGTGATGTGATGATGGAAGCTGAGAGGAGAGGGATGCACTTCGAAGATGGAGAAGGGAGGTACAAACCAAGGAGACAGGTGGCCACAAGAAGCTGAAAAAGATAAGAAATCCCCTCAGAGCCTCAGAAAGAAACCAGCCCTGTCAGCACTTCTACTTTAGCTCACTGAGACTGATTTTGGACATTGACCTCCATTACTGTAAGAAATACATATGCATTGTCTTAAGCCACTATGCTTGTGTTAATTTGCAACAATCTTGTGAAATCTTTTGTTATTGAGATATTTTGCTTATTGACTTGCAAAATATCTGGGTATATGAGGCCAATAACTTTTTTTTGTAAACAACTTCAGTAAGGTATTATTGAAACACCATAAAGAGCACATACTTAAAGTGTACCATGTGACAAGTTTTGACATATGCATATATCCACGAAATCATCACTATAATCAAGACAGTGAAACTAACCATCACACCCAAAATGTCTGAGTACCACTTTATATTTCATCCCTACCCCACTTACCTGCCCACCCTCTTCAGGTAACCACTGGTCTTCCTGTCACTACAGATTAGTTTGCATGTTGAAGAGTTGTATGTAGGGAACCATACGTAACATAATTTATTTTTCACATTTCCAGTGCCTTCAAATAGTTGTTTTTAAAATATTTTGTCTAGAGTTTAATAATTGTTATCTCCTGGCAAATAGTTGATAATTTGTTATTATTGAAAGCTGAACTTTAGCAGAATTATTACAATAACAAATCCCTGCAGGGTAGGTTCTTCAGAGTGACAGTGTGTGATTTCATCCTGAAAACTATGCATAGAAATCGACAAATTTTAGATGTTATTTAAATTTGTGTTTTAGAACTGTATCATGTTAGCAGCATTATGAATAGGCAGATTTGAAGGCCTGTTATCAGTGCAGTCCTCAGGATAGATTTTCTTCTTAGCTGCATCTCTGTATATCTAAGAATTTACTGAACAACTCCGATGAGTATCCCAACAGCACTTTGAATTTATCATGTCCAAATTTGACTCATTAGCTTTTCCTCCAAATATTCTCTATCTCAGTTGGTTTCCATGACCATTTATTCAGTCACCCATGCTACAGACTAAGAGGTCATTCTTGCCTCAATCTCCTTCTTTATTACCGTATCAAATGCAGTTAGGGACGGGAGAAGCCTTATAATTGCAAGGAAAGCCTCTGAATGTGTTATAGGGCTCAGAAGGGGTTATGGAAATGAATGCTTTGTGGCTGGCTCCATACTCAGCCAAGGGAAGGAGCCAAGGAAGAAGACTGGATTTATCATATGGAATGAATTGTGTGATGCAAGTTTTAGAGAAGAAAAAAAAAAAGCCTGAATTCCCAGGACGAGGAATGATTGCAAGTAAAAATAGAGCATTTGGGAACATACCAGCACTGTAGTATGGCCATGGGCCTGAACAAGGGAAGTTCCCCAGGTGGGGAGGATATGACAGTTAGACAAACGAGTATATATAGAACATCAAGATGAAAATGTATAAGGGTAGGAGCATGGGAGAAATGTGACAAAAAAAAAGGAAAGAAAAACAGTGTTGCTGTATTGGAAGGAATTCAATACATTGTATGTATGATAAGGCAACAAGTTACCAACAGAGATTTAAATAAAAATATTAATTGGACCATATTTGTTGTTGTTTGGTTTTCATTGTTTTATTAATGAAAATTATCGTATCCTGTTGGCAGTTTGTAGGATTGGATGTGGTGGGTGGAGAAATTAAAGTGTTAAAAATACTGTCAGAGGACTCTTGTAATAGTCTATGAGAGAGGATGCTGCTCTCTAAATAGACTCAGTGGTTATGAAGTAGAATGAAGAATCCAAGCAAATTTTAGACATCCTTCTGAAGTAAAATTAAAAGGGGGATAAACTTAGGTATTGGTGAAGAGGGAAAGAGAAGGATAAAAATGACTTCAAGTTTTCTGGTTTACATAGTTATTTGATTTAGAGCATAGGGTTAAAGATTGCTTTAAACATATTGTAAAGCCTGGTGATCATTTTCAATTAGTAGCTGAATCTGAAGCCAAGATGAAAACATAGACTTTTATGTCCTCAGTAGCTGTCATCAATAAGAAACTAAATGCTCATCTTGTGTATTAATTCAAGCAAATTGGTAGTGCCTACCTGAAAGCCGTGCTGGGTTTGAATTTACTTCCAGGTTCAGTGAAAAACAATACATGTTTGGCAGCTTCCATAATGGGTAGAAAGTGGGTGGTAGCAGCATGTATCTCAATTCTAATCATCGTTACAGCATTAAGAGTACAAGAAGAAAAGGGCGTCTAGGACAGAATTGCTTTAATTAAATTTTTATTGACAAATTGTAATTGTACATATTTATGGGGTACAAAGTGATGTTATTATATAGAGAGATATATGTATAGTGTGCAAAGACTGAATCAAGTACCATATCCAGCACCTTAAATACTTATTTATTCCATATGTCTAACTGCAACTTTGTACTTTTTAGCCATCATTCCCTCATTTTCCCTCCCCCCAGCCTCTGCTAACCATCATTCTACTCTTCTTCTGTGAGTTTGCTTTTTAAAAATTTTATACATATAAGTGAGGTCATACAGTATTTGTCTTTCTGTGACTGGTTTGTTTCACTTAGAGTAATTTTCTCCTGGCTTATCCATGTTGACCCAAATGACAGAATTCCCTTCATTTTGAAGGCTGAATATTATTGTGTTGTGTAGACATACCACATTTTCTTTATCCATTCACCCATTAGTTGACACTTAAGTTGATCATATAACTTGGCTATTGTAAATAATGCTGCAATAAATATGGAAGCAGAGATATGTCTTCAACTTAGTGATTTCATGTCCTTTGAATATATACCCAGAAGTGAGATTGCTAGATCCTGGGGCAGAATTTTTTGTACAGCAATATTTAAAGTGATGGATAGAGAAGAAATGCAAAATAAAAGGGCAGTAGGAATTAAGGTAAAGAGAATAAGAGCAAAGTCAAGGGAAAAAATTTCTTTTCTAGAAAAGGGAATAGGAAAAATCTCAACAGTGAGTAGGATGAACTCTACACTGGATCTTATAGAGACCATAGGCCCTAATAATAGTTTCAGTTCCAACTCTAAAATCTATAACTATTCCATTCTTTCAAAGCTTAAGGAAATTTTTTCCTGTAGGATTTTCTATACAACCTGTCACTGGATCCCTCCAAGACTTCTAAAATCAGCACAGGAAGCTGTAGGAAAATAAATTCTAAGTGCTAAGTAACTGTATTTCAGTTAAACTTTGGTGATAAAATCTATTTCTCAGTTGATCTTATCAATTGAGAGCAGCCTGATATTATTAATATTGTATCTTCATATTGGGGGATAATTTTAATGATGCAAATATGGTGGTTGATATTTATAAATAGCAATAATCAATAGCTATTGTGCAATCAATATTGTGCTACAGTAATATGACACTAGAAGACATGGTAAAGCAGTCAGATGCTTGTAGCTAGAGGTAGAAGCACCTTGTAAAGACTGATATGGATTATTGCATTAGTGGTCAAATTTCACAAGTGGCACTCTTACAAGGGACACGATGTTCTGAAATGTCAAACAAGTCTTAGTAAAGCTCCATTTAAAACAAAGAAGTTTTTCCTTCTATTTATAGAATAGTCACATTCTAGAAATGTAATGGTTTTAAATGGTTCCAATACATTCTGTTTATATGTTAAATGGTTTAGGTTCTTGAATTAGATATATGTCTATATATTTATATAAGCATAATAGATAATATTAATGTAATAAATAATTATATAAATTTCTGTATTGGTTGGTCCTATTTGAATGTCCAGTGAGACTTCTGAAAATTATGAGGCTGAGAACAATTCTTTTTACAGGACTATCCTGGCTCCTTCCTACTAAACACCCACAGCACACTCCAATGCTATGAATAATAGTCCCCCATAAATTTAAAAAATACTCCCTAGTGAACCGTACTGTCCCCATTGAGAACCACTACTGGAGAGGATGGCTTACCTACATGCCAGCTGAGGTTTTTCTGCCTCTTAAGATAGAAACATCGGATTCACAGTTCATAGAGGTCCTTTGTACTCAAAGTGTTGATGAGAATTTCCAGGTGTAGGGTGGAGGGTTGGTGCTTACTTTCTCAGGTCACCCGTGTCTCTAAAGGACTGCTTCTGCTGAATTAGTCCACTTTGCAGGTGATCATTCCATCCTTTGGCACCATCTCTGTTCCATACCTTTTCAACCTGTAAATGAAATGTCACCATGTTCTTCAGTTTATAGAAGAGATTCTCACCCCACCCTTCCCAGAATGTATTTTTTTTAAGATAGATTTGACCGAAGTTTTGGTGAACAACATGGCCAAGACATAAACAACTTTTATTCAATATTCACATTAGAAATCTGTTTTAATGGCCTTCTTTGTCTCTTTTCATCTTTGTTGGTTTAAAGTCTGTTTTATCAGAGACTAGGATTGCAACCCCTGCCTTTTTTTGTTTTCCATTTGCTTGGTAGATCTTCCTCCATCCCTTTACTTTGAGCCTATGTGTGTCTCTGCACTTGAGATGAGTTTCCTGAATACAGCACACTGATGGGTAGAACACATGGACACAGGAAGGGGACTGTTGTGGGGTGGGGGGAGGGAGAGGGATAGCACTAGGAGATACACCTAATGCTAAATGACGAGTTAATGGGTGCAGCACACCAACATGGCACATGTATACATATGCAACAAACCTGCATGTTGTGCACATGTACCCTAAAACTTAAAGTATAATAATAATAAAATAAAATAAAATAAAGAAATACTGTTTTAAGAAATTCAACATCTACCCCTCAATGCTTTCTCTTCTCTCTGCTTTTACTAATCTCTAATTTACTAATAATTTCTAATAAAGAGCCATAAGATGAGTGTAATTGTGTGTGTGTGTGTGTATGTGTGTGTCTGCATACTCATAGCCTCACCTTCTATCACATTTATTCAGACTGGTATTTTCTGATGCTCACTAGTAGGAATATCTACCTTCCTGATATTCCCATTAACAGGAGGATTATGTTCAAATCTGCATTTTTATTTGACTCACTGAACAAAACTGCCAGTTTCTAGAAAGGTGTCCTTTGATTTGAATGCCTTAAGGTCAGGCAGGCCATGTAAGTGTGTTCAGCTGCGTGTCCATAACTCAATAGGGTACGACAGTTACTGTGGGGAACAAAAGGGGAGCTCTCTGCATTAACAACCAGAGGTACCAAAACAAAACTGATTTAAAAGTCTTCATTCATCACCAATTTATGTCCCCTGTGCTGTCACTTTTGTTTCTTACACATATAAATATAACACTGAATATAGTTGCCATTAATAGTAAAAGTTCATGACACTGGAGAGAACTCTGACCAGAAGATAAGGAGTCTAGGCCCAACTTAAAAGGGCCTTGAAGCCCAGGGTGCACCCAGGAACACCTTCTGGTACTTGTGCCTCCTGGAATCACTGGGTTAATGGAATAAGGGCAAAGTCCTTTCTGGCTTGCAGAGACTTAGGAGAATTTATGGAATGTAGGAGTAGTAGTCTGCGAGTAGGTCATGTTATTTTCCAATTCCACCCTGAGAAATAAGTTATAATAACAGTTTATATAGGCTACATCTGTCATCTTAAATGTATTATAGCATCTTTTCAGCTGAAATGTCTCCTGAAATAATAAGAAGTAATTTCAATGTGATACAGGAAAAATGAACCTGAAAAATTGACCTTCAATTTCTAATTTAGAGATGGCTCTCAAGAGCCTTCTTGAAGTGATCTTATCATCTGTAGGTGGACTCTAGGTAGCTATGGGCATTTATCATCCAACTATTGGGAAAAGAAAGGTCTTTAGTTGTATTTGGTACCATTCAGTATGGTGACACCATGGTTATCAGGCTTAGATCCACAGAGATCATGTATAGATCCCTCTACCAGCTAGCATCAGAATCAAGATAAATACCCACTTACGAGTATCCTTAGTGTCCTTACCTCTGTGTTTAGGTTTAAATCTTGCATAATAGAAGACCAGAAAACAAAAGAATAAAGCCTCTACAAGTCGTTTTTATCGTGTATCCAGGGTTAGGCAACCTGAAAGCACCGTGAGATCAAACAGGTCAGAGGAACACTTTTGCTCTTTGTGGAAACCAGTACCGAGGGACCCCAGAAATGCACTTTGTCTGGACGGTGGGAGGCCAGGAGGCAGTGCAGGAGTAGAACTGTGAGAACTGAGGCTGGAGAAATAGGTCAAGATCAGAAACTGGAGCACCAAGAATGCCAGGCTAAGTACATGGTGAGCCACTGGGAGTTTTTGAACTTGGAGTATTTATAACTAAAATTGTGCTTTAGAAAAAATTAATGGAGGGAGGAGCCAAGATGGCCGAATAGGAACAGCTCCAGTCTACAGTTCCCAGCATGAGCAACGCAGAAGACGGGTGATTTCTGCATTTCCATCTGAGGTACTGGGTTCATCTCACTAGGGAGTGCCAGACAGTGGGCGCAAGCCAGTGGGTGCACGCACCGTGTGCGAGCCGAAGCAGGGCGAGGCATTGCCTCACCTGGGAAGCGCAAGGGGTCAGGGAGTTCCCTTTCCGAGTCAAAGAAAGGGGTGACGGACGCACCTGGAAAATCGGGTCACTCCCACCCGAATACTGCGCTTTTCTGACTGACTTAAAAAACGGCGCACCACGAGATTATATCCCACACCTGGCTCGGAGGGTCCTACGCCCACGGAATCTCGCTGATTGCTAGCACAGCAGTCTGAGATCAAACTGCAAGGCGGCAGTGAGGCTGGGGGAGGGGCGCCCGCCATTGCCCAGGCTTGATTAGGTAAACAAAGCAGCCTGGAAGCTCGAACTGGGTGGAGCCCACCACAGCTCAAGGAGGCCTGCCTGCCTCTGTAGGCTCCACCTCTGGGGGCAGGGCACAGACAAACAAAAAGACAGCAGTAACCTCTGCAGACTTAAATGTCCCTGTCTGACAGCTTTGAAGAGAGCAGTGGCTCTCCCAGCACGCAGCTGGAGATCTGAGAACCGGCAGACTGCCTCCTCAAGTGGGTCCCTGACCCCTGACCCCTGAGCAGCCTAACTGGGAGGCACCCCCCAGCAGGGGCACACTGACACCTCACACGGCAGGGTATTCCAACAGACCTGCAGCTGAGGGTCCTGTCTGTTAGAAGGAAAACTAACAAACAGAAAGGACATCCACACCGAAAACCCATCTGTACATCACCATCATCAAAGACCAAAAGTAGATAAAACCACAAAGATGGGGAAAAAACAGAACAGAAAAACTGGAAACTCTAAAACGCAGAGCGTCTCTCCTCCTCCAAAGGAACGCAGTTCCTCACCAGCAACAGAACAAAGCTGGATGGAGAATGACTTTGACGAGCTGAGAGAAGAAGGCTTCAGACGATCAAATTACTCTGAGCTACGGGAGGACATTCAAACCAAAGGCAAAGAAGTTGAAAACTTTGAAAAAAATTTAGAAGAATGTATAACTAGAATAACCAATACAGAGAAGTGCTTAAAGGAGCTGATGGAGCTGAAAACCAAGGCTCGAGAACTACGTGAAGAATGCAGAAGCCTCAGGAGCTGATGCGATCAACTGGAAGAAAGGGTATCAGCAATGGAAGATGAAATGAATGAAATGAAGAGAGAAGGGAAGTTTAGAGAAAAACGAATAAAAAGAAATGAGCAAAGCCTCCAAGAAATATGGGACTATGTGAAAAGACCAAATCTACGTCTGATTGGTGTACCTGAAAGTGATGGGGAGAATGGAACCAAGTTGGAAAACACTCTGCAGGATATTATCCAGGAGAACTTCCCCAATCTAGCAAGGCAGGCCAACGTTCAGATTCAGGAAATACAGAGAACGCCACAAAGATACTCCTCGAGAAGAGCAACTCCAAGACACATAATGTCAGATTCACCAAAGTTGAAATGAAGGAAAAAATGTTAAAGGCAGCCAGAGAGAAAGGTCGGGTTACCCTCAAAGGGAAGCCCATCAGACTAACAGCGGATCTCTCATCAGAAACCCTACAAGCCAGAAGAGAGTGGGGGCCAATATTTAACATTCTTAAAGAAAAGAATTTTCAACCCAGAATTTCATATCCAGCCAAACTAAGCTTCATAAGTGAAGGAGAAATAAAATACTTTACAGACAAGCAAATGTTGAGAGATTTTGTCACCACCAGGCCTGCCCTAAAAGAGCTCCTGAAGGAAGCACTAAACATGGAAAGGAACAACCGGTACCAGCCGCTGCAAAATCATGCCAAAATGTAAAGACCATCGAGACTAGGAAGAAACTGCATCAACTAACGAGCAAAATCACCAGCTAACATCATAATGACAGGATCAAATTCACACATAACAATATTAACTTTAAATGTAAATGGACTAAATGCTCCAATGAAAAGACACAGACTGGCAAATTGGATAAAGAGTCAAGACCCATCAGTGTGCTGTATTCAGGAAACCCATCTCACGTGCAGAGACACACATAGGCTCAAAATAAAAGGATGGAGGAAGATCTACCAAGCAAATGGAAAACAAAAAAAGGCAGGGGTTGCAATCCTAGTCTCTGATAAAACAGACTTTAAACCCACAAAGATCAAAAGAGACAAAGAAGGCCATTACATAATGCTAAAGGGATCAATTCAACAAGAAGAGCTAACTATCCTAAATATATATGCACCCAATACAGGAGCACCCAGATTCATAAAGCAAGTCCTGAGTGACCTACAAAGAGACTTAGACTCCCACACATTAATAATGGGAGACTTTAACACCCCACTGTCAACATTAGACAGATCAACGAGACAGAAAGTCAACAAGGATACCCAGGAATTGAACTCAGCTCTGCACCAAGCGGACCTAATAGACATCTACAGAACTCTCCAACCCAAATCAACAGAATATACATTTTTTTCAGCACCACACCACAGCTATTCCAAAATTGACCACATAGTTGGAAATAAAGCTCTCCTCAGCAAATGTAAAAGAACAGAAATTATAACAAACTATCTCTCAGACCACAGTGCAATCAAACTAGAGCTCAGGATTAAGAATCTCACTCAAAGCCGCTCAACTACATGGAAACTGAACAACCTGCTCCTGAATGACTACTGGGTACATAATGAAATGAAGGCAGAAATAAAGATGTTCTTTGAAACCAACGAGAACAAAGACACAACATACCAGAATCTCTGGGACGCATTCAAAGCAGTGTGTAGAGGGAAATTTATAGCACTAAATGCCCACAAGAGAAAGCAGGAAAGATCCAAAATTGACACCCTAACATCACAATTAAAAGAACTAGAAAAGCAAGAGCAAACACATTCAAAAGCTAGCAGAAGGCAAGAAATAACTAAAATCAGAGCAGAACTGAAGGAAATAGAGACACAAAAAACCCTTCAAAAAATCAATGAATCCAGGAGCTGGTTTTTTGAAAGGATCAACAAAATTGATAGACCACTAGCAAGACTAATAAAGAAAAAAAGAGAGAAGAATCAAATAGACACAATAAAAAATGATAAAGGGGATATCACCACCGATCCCACAGAAATACAAACTACCATCAGAGAATACTACAAACACCTCTACGCAAATAAACTAGAAAATCTAGAAGAAATGCATAAATTCCTCAACACATACACTCTCCCAAGACTAAACCAGGAAGAAGTTGAATCTCTGAATAGACCAATAACAGGAGCTGAAATTGTGGCAATAATCGATAGTTTACCAACCAAAAAGAGTCCAGGACCAGATGGATTCACAGCTGAATTCTACCAGAGGTACAAGGAGGAACTGGTACCATTCCTTCTGAAACTATTCCAATCAATAGAAAAAGAGGGAATCCTCCCTAACTCATTTTATGAGGCCAGCATCATTCTGATACCAAAGCCGGGCAGAGACACAACCAAAAAAGAGAATTTTAGACCAATATCCTTGATGAACATTGATGCAAAAATCCTCAATAAAATACTGGCAAAACGAATCCAGCAGCACATCAAAAAGCTTATCCACCATGATCAAGTGGGCTTCATCCCTGGGATGCAAGGCTGGTTCAATATACGCAAATCAATAAATGTAATCCAGCATATAAACAGAGGCAAAGACAAAAACCACATGATTATCTCAATAGATGCAGAAAAAGCCTTTGACAAAATTCAACAACCCTTCATGCTAAAAACTCTCAAGAAATTAGGTATTGATGGGACGTATTTCAAAATAATAAGAGCTATCTATGACAAACCCACAGCCAATATCATACTGAATGGGCAAAAACTGGAAGCATTCCCTTTGAAAACTGGCACAAGACAGGGATGCCCTCTCTCACCACTCCTATTCAACATAGTGTTGGAAGTTCTGGCCAGGGCAATTAGGCAGGAGAAGCAAATAAAGGGTATTCAATTAGGAAAAGAGGAAGTCAAATTGTCCCTGTTTGCAGACGACATGATTGTATATCTGGAAAACCCCATTGTTTCAGCCCAAAATCTCCTTAAGCTGATAAGCAACTTCAGCAAAGTCTCAGGATACAAAATCAATGTACAAAAATCACAAGCATTCTTATACACCAACAACAGACAAACAGAGAGCCAAATCATGAGTGAACTCCCATTCACTATTGCTTCAAAGAGAATAAAATACCTAGGAATCCAACTTACAAGGGATGTGAAGGACCTCTTCAAGGAGAACTCCAAACCACTGCTCAAGGAAATAAAAGAGGATACAAACAAATGGAAGAACATTCCATGCTCATGGGTAGGAAGAATCAATATCGTGAAAATGGCCATACTGCCCAAGGTAATTTACAGATTCAATGCCATCCCCATCAAGCTACCAATGACTTTCTTCACAGAATTGGAAAAAACTACTTTCAAGTTCATATGGAACCAAAAAAGAGCCCGCATCACCAAGTCAATCCTAAGCCAAAAGAACAAAGCTGGAGGCATCACACTACCTGACTTCAAACTATACTACAAGGCTACAGTAACCAAAACAGCATGGTACTGGTACCAAAACAGAGATATAGATCAATGGAACAGAACAGAGCCCTCAGAAATAATGCCGCATACCTACAACTATCTGATCTTTGACAAACCTGAGAAAAACAAGCAATGGGGAAAGGATTCCCTATTTAATAAATGGTGCTGGGAAAACTGGCTAGCCATATGTAGGAAGCTGAAACTGGATCCCTTCCTTACACCTTATACAAAAATCAATTCAAGATGGATTAAAGATTTAAACGTTAGACCTAAAACCATAAAAACCCTAGAAGAAAACCTAGGCATGACCATTCAGGACATAGGCATGGGCAAGGACTTCATGTCCAAAACACCAAAAGCAATGGCAACAAAAGACAAAATTGACAAATGGGATCTAATTAAACTAAAGAGCTTCTGCACAGCAAAAGAAACTACCATCAGAGTGAACAGGCAACCTACAAAATGGGAGAAAATTTTCGCAACCTACTCATCTGACAAAGGGCTAATATCCAGAATCTACAATGAACTCCAACAAATTTACAAGAAAAAAACAAACAACCCCATCAAAAAGTGGGCGAAGGACATGAACAGACACTTCTCAAAAGAAGACATTTATGCAGCCAAAAAACACATGAAGAAATGCTCATCATCACTGGCCATCAGAGAAATGCAAATCAAAACCACAATGAGATACCATCTCACACCAGTTAGAATGGCAATCATTAAAAAGTCAGGAAACAACAGGTGCTGGAGAGGATGTGGAGAAATAGGAACACTTTTACACTGTTGGTGGGACTGTAAACTAGTTCATCCATTGTGGAAGTCAGTGTGGCGATTCCTCAGGGATCTAGAACTAGAAATACCATTTGACCCAGCCATCCCATTACTGGGTATATACCCAAATGACTATAAATCATGCTGCTATAAAGACACATGCACACGTATGTTTATTGCGGCATTATTCACAATAGCAAAGACTTGGAACCAACCCAAATGTCCAACAATGATAGACTGGATTAAGAAAATGTGGCACATATACACCATGGAATACTATGCAGCCATAAAAAATGATGAGTTCATGTCCTTTGTAGGGACATGGCTGAAATTGGAAATCATCATTCTCAGTAAACTATCGCAAGAACAAAAAACCAAACACCGCATATTCTCACTCATAGGTGGGAACTGAACAATGAGATCACATGGACACAGGAAGGGGAATATCACACTCTGGGGACTGTTGTGGGGTGGGGGCAGGGGGGAGGGATAGCATTGGGAGATATACCTAATGCTAGATGACAAGTTAGTGGGTGCAGTGCACCAGCATGGCACATGTATACATATGTAACTAACCTGCACAATGTGCACATGTACCCTAAAACTTAAAGTATAATAAAAAAAAAAAAGAAAAGAAAAAAAAAAAAGAAAAAATTAATCTGGAATGGATGTTAGAAATAGATGAGCATTTCACATTGATAATATTCTCAGAACAATTGGTTAACTCTGCATTTTGACCGTGTAGCTACTATTTAATTATGCTGAATGGTATAGGGTTATATTTTAACTTATAAAGTTATTCCATAAAGAACTGGAGGAAAAATGTGGTTGAAAGGCTACCATAGTAATCGAAACTCTATCATCAACATGCCACTAATGACTTTTTTTTTTAGCTTGTCTGCTAAAATCTGTAAAATTTTAAACTAACTACTTACCAGTTTAATTATACTCAAAATCTATTTTCAAAAAGGATGCAAGTTAGCTTAAATTGGAATATAGTTTTAGTAAAATAACAACAAAACTACGATTTTTTTTCTAAGCATTACTTACATGAAATCTCCCTGAACTACGGACTCAAGGGACATATCCACGATGTTCAAATACTAGAGCCACAGGGGGAAAAAAATCAATCTTTTATTTGCTAGATAAGAATTAGGTCAAAGAAAACATGCTTTATATTTTAGTTTCAGTTTAGATTTCTTTTTTAAAAAACTGGGAATCAAAACCATGTGTGACATATCGGGGACAAGCACACATACGCAAACAATGATTTTATTATCCTGCATCATTTCCCCAGGAATAGTCACAGAACATATTACATATCTTGAAAAGGATGAAGCTAATCAGAATTGATCTCTTTAGGCTAATATGAATTAGCACAGTATGTCAGCACAAATCCTATCATTTTGGGAAATCTCAAGATAATAAAATAAATTTTAACTATATGTTCTATAACATTTATAATGCCATTTCCCCAATCTTTGAGCATTGCCATGCTCCTTTTGAGCTTTTGTCTCCACATCTTTCCTTCTTCAGCTCTCACTTTCTCTTCCTTTCAATCCATCCCTTTCTCCTTCCCTCTTTGCAATCTTTTTAGTCTTTTCATCTTTGAAATGAGATTGGAGGAGCAGCCAGAAGAAAATACATGGTTCATTTTCTTCTAAATATACTCAAATTTCTATTTAAAATAATAGCTTCCTTCTATAATTGTTTTAGAAGCAGTAAGCTGACTCACAAACCACAGCTAATAACAAAAGCAACTCAATTTAGTTCTTTCTAGTAATTGCCTGAGGCACTGGCTAATGGTGAGAGAAAGCTACAAAGAATGTTCCAAAGAGGGGGAAACAGCTACCATTAAATAGCTTTTGTTAAACCAATGTTTTAAATGGCATATGCTACAATTATAAGTGTGTCAAAGTTGGCAAGACTTTATAAGAGAAGAAACGGGGAAGGAAGGTCATTCCTTGTTAGCATCTTCACATCCCACACCGGAAGGAGTGCTGATCTGAATTAACCAAAGCTAAGAACACTGGGCTCTAGTCACTGGGGCAGAGCTTTCTACTGAGTTAAGTCTTTCTCAATGTTTGTAATTTCATAGACTCTCTCTAGAACACATAAAATACTGGTAACACCAAGAAATGGAACCAGGATTCCTTGGTAGAACTGGGGCTCCTTCCATTCCAAGGTATTCAGGATGGCTGACATCTTTTCAATGGTGTAACATGTAAATGTATGACCAGTATTGTTCTAAAATATTTCTACAAACTCTTTGCTACTACTTTCCTTAAGAGATAATCCTTAATTCAGCTCTCCTTAATTGTGGACTGGCCTTAGTGATTCGCTTTTATCAATTAAGATATGACAGAAGAAGGGATGTCATTTCCAGTGTATGGTTGTGAACAGCCTATAGCTTCTGTCTTGGGCACTCTTTCTTTCTTGAATCATTTACTGTGGAGGAAGCCAGATGTTATATTGTGTAAGACAAATAGAGATGCCCACGTGGAGTCAATGGAAGCTGCCAGAAAGAGCGTGGAAGCAGCTTCTCCAATCCTTTCAAATAATTGTAGCCCTGGTCAATAACTGGACTGCAACCTAGTAAGGAACCCTGAGTGGACCAGATAATCCCTCCTGGTTTCCTGACCTTGAGAAACCTTGAGAAAATAAATGTTTGCTGTTTAAGCTGCTACATTTTGGAGCAATTTGTTATACAGCAATAGATGACTAACATAATCACCAGTTTGAAAATATAAATAAGCTAATTACTTAATAAGTTAAGTGGAGGTGAGAAATTGTAGTACTTGTGTCTATATGCACTCTTTTTGTTGTAACTTGCTTCTCCTGTGCTTGAGTGGTGGCACAGCTTAGAACTACTCCTAAAGGAAAGACGATCTGACCATTTCTTCTTTCTCAGTCCCCAGCATTTACTCTCTATATAACATCTACTCTCTCCCAGCATTTGAACAATACAGGAGGAATGCTCTGAGTCTGATCTCCCTGGCCCAGCCAAGTCATTTCTTGAGTGGGCTCCCCTTTGGCTAGGCTTATTTGCACAGGGGGTTACTTGGTAAAAGGATGTCTTTTCTGCATCTGAAAAAGACCTGATGGTATTTTACTTTCTTTTTTCGTTCTATGAATTTGAAAATAAGGTTGTTTTTACTACTGTTCTTTATCTCTCACTCTTCCCCATGCTCTTCCCACTAATATCTGATCTCAACTAGAGAAGGGAGTAGGTTAAACATGCTTTTAAGTCAAAGTAGAAGCTGTGGCCATCAACATGTGCCACTCAGATCTCCTGCTGCAGGGAGTGTGGGAACAGACAGCACCAGTTGCTGTGTTCTGCATCCATCACTAAACCCACCCTTCTTAAGGCTGCTGTCAGTGGGAGGCTGGGAGAGCAGGGTGATGATGCTAAGGAAGGCCTGTTTCTGTAAAATGGGGGATCTCTTCCACAGGGGACTCCTCTGACAGGTAACTATGTCGCAAGAACCTCCCATTGGCTTATCCAAAATATTCTTCCGACTATGCCTGAATCAGACACTCTGCCTTTCCAATTCTCCTTCCTGAAGAGATTCCTTCTTCACAGGGGTAACATACCTGCAGATCTCTGCAACTTATCCAGTTCCCTCCACCTTTTCCCCCTTACACAGGCTTTTCCCAGTAAATATCTTGCACATAATAATCTTGGAATCTGCTTCTAAGAAGACCCAACTAATGCATCCCCCTTTCATCCTGACACACTCAGGGGGCTGTTTAGGTAAAGGAGCTTTCCACCATGCCCAATGCTATGTCACTCAAATTAGATGTCATGATTTGGGGGCCAATAACCTACACCTGATCTCAGCCAAAATGCTGAGAAGTGATAGGGGGGCCAACAACCTAAATAGTTATTAAGTGTTAATTTGCCTTATTTTGTTCTCTGAGCATATATCTCGAGCACGATTTTCCCAGCAAAAAATATTTGACCAAGAACAGAATGCAGGTAAATGGCTGGATTCCTACTCGTTCTCCTTTTATTCTTAGTGACAGACTCCTTACACACTAGGGCAAGGACACACTCAGCCAAAAGTACAATTACATTTTTCTTGTCTGCCTTGTAAGTATATTAGCCAGTGTGGCTGTAGGGGAGGAGAAATACTTTTTCCTCTATCCTTTCTATATTCATGGCTGAGGCCCCTATAACAAAAGACAGAGTAATAAGAGAAAGGCACACAAATGTACTTAGTATAAGTTTGACATGACATGGAAGCCTTAATAAGGCAATGAAGACCTAAGAAATGGGAAAATTTGTGTATGTTTGTGCTAGGTTTGATGAAGAAGTGAATAGTTGTGGAAAAGTTGTAGATTTTAGAAAGTATGATCTAATGGTAATAAACTGGGGAGAACTCAGCAAGGCCCATTTATTCAGGTTCTTCCCTGGGACCCTGTGTCTTCCGGGATGAGGATGTTCCTTTACTCTGCCTATCAGGAAGTCACTTCTGGAATGAGGGTCTTTTGACCTGCTTCAGGGAAAGGTCGGAAAATCTTTCCTAGGTTTTATTACATGCTTCAGGGGAAAAGGCTAGAGGAAAGATGAGAGTGAGCTTCTTGCTTCTGCTGTTTTCTCAAATGTCACATTATGGGGTGGCTTGTCCTGAACCCTATCATTGTGCAAGGAGAAATCATGACTTCAAGGAAACTTTCACTGGGAGTGTTGAGGCAGCTGGGATACAAGGGATACTTTGGCCATTTATCCCTTCTCTTTCCCTCTGTCTCTAATGACAATATGATAGCTGGAGTTTGAGAGGCTTTCTTCCCAATGTGATTTGATTTTAAGAATAGAATTAACCCTTGAAATATGGTGAAGTCTTCCTTTGCGTGAAAATAAGTAAATTTCTATCTTGTTAAAGATACAATTATTTGAGGTCACTGTTACTATCAGTAAAATTTAATCCTGACTGGTAGACAGACCCATTCATTAATCTCTGATCAATGAACTTCTCTCCATGCTAACTTATTAATAGCACCCTATTGACCCCAGTGGTAGATATAGTTAAAGGCACCCCATTTCAAAATAACTTACAGTTTACAAGCAAAACCAATACGGAAAAATTTGACATTTTGAAAAGCTATATTAGAATGGTTAGTCATATAAAAGATTTTATGTCCCAAAGGCATTTGCTTTAGCACTTTATTAAGTAAATTCTACTGTATCTCAAAATTCATTCATATATCATTTAATTCATGATAGATACTGTTGTTGGGGAAAGAGGTAGAAAGCCTATTAGAAAAACTTAACACTAAATTGTGTAAAGTTTTTTGCACTGAAGAAGAATGAGAAAGGGAGACATAAGCTCTGCTAATAATAGGCCTAGTGCAAGGCTGTTATCTCCACAATGTGAGCTCTATTCATTTCTCATCTTAGTCTGTAGTAATTTAAGTTCTGCTGACTATATTATTTACATGCCTGTAATAGAGTCTGCTAGTTGCCTACCAAGATCTTTTCTCCCTTTTCCTATTTGTTCATGGTTAGAATTAAAACTTATTTATGGCAACCCAGATAAAGACAATACTTTCCACCATTCTTGCAGCTAGGTTTGGACCTGGAATTAATTTATTAGCTTCATTTGTTTAGAAGAAAACAGCTTTTGCTAAACTTCGCTCATTTTTTCTGGAAGTTGAAAGAGGAAGATGCCTACCACATCTGGCATCAACCATGAAGAAGAGGGCAAAGTGGAAGGGATTTGGAAGCCTCTTTAACAACTTCGCAGGCATGGTATATCTTCGCATTTAAGTTTTTATAATTTCCTTCAATAATGTTTTGTAGCTTTCAGTGGAGAGAATATTTTTCTTAGTTTTTTTCCTAAAAATCATGTTTAAATTTAACATTTTTATTGCTTATTGCTAGTATATAGAAATACTTTTGATTTTTATATGTTAAACTTGCATCTAGCAGCTTTGCTAAATTCACTTACTAATTTTAATAACTTATCTGTAGTGTCTTCAGATTTTTTAAATACATTATCAGTTTGCCCTGAGTCATGATATCTTATTTGCTTCTTTCCAGCCTTTGTACATGCTATTTTTCGATCTTGTCTTATCACAATTATTAAGACTTTTTGTATGATAATAAATAGAAGTGGTGTAAGGAAGTTTTTCTCATATGGCAATGTAAAACACTTCGAAGTTTTCTTAAAATCCAAATTCTGATTAAATAAGTCTATAGTGGGACCTGAAATTCTTCATTTCTTTCTTCTTAAAATTTGTATGTATTTTTATTTTATTATTTATTGATTATTATTATTATTTTTTGAGGTAGAGTCTCACTCTGTCACCCAAGCTGGAGTGCAGTGGTGAGATCTTGGCTCACTGCAACCTCCACCTCCTGGGTTCAAGCAATTCTCCTGCCTCAGCCTCCCAGGTAGCTGGATTAAGGTGTGTGCCACCACTCCCGGCTAATTTTTTTATATTTTTAGTAGAGATGGGGTTTTGCCCCATTGGCCAGACTAGCCTTGAACTCCTGGCCTCAAGTGATATACCCACTTCAGCCTCCCAAAGTGATGGGATTACTGGCGTGAGCCACCATGCCCAGTAAAAATTCTGTATTTCTAACAAGCTTCCAGGTTATGGCATTTTGTCAATCTACAAACCTTATTTTAAGTAGCAGAGATGTAGTGAATATCCTTGTCTGACTCTCAGTATCAGGGATGGAGCATTCAACTTTTTGGCCATAAGCATGGTGTGTGCTAGAGGTTTTTTGCTTGTTTGATTTTGTGGATATCATGTATCAGAATAAGACATTTCTTTTTTTGTAGTTGATTTGTCAAAATTATTGAATGTTGAATTTTATCAAGTTATTTGGCTACTTTTAATGAAATTCTTACATAATTTTTTGTAGTAATTTGTTAGTGTGGTGAATTACATTGATTGATTTTTCAAACTTGAATCAACCTTGTATTCCTGAGATCAGTTCAACTAGGGTATGATATAGTACTCTGTTTATGTGTTGTTAGCTTCCACTTGCTAATATGCTATTTAGGACTTTTATGTCTATGTTCATCAGTGAAATTGAAAGGTAATTTTCATTTCTTTTAATATCCCTTTCAGGTTATGGTATTATGATTACATTGACCTCATAATTTAATTTGGGAAATGGTCCCTTTATTTTTATGCACTGAAAGAATTTGTGTAATGGTTTATTTCTTCCTTAACTGTTTGAAAGAATTCACTGTTAAAGCATGTAGGCCTGGAATTTTATTTTTGTACATGTTTTTAGTGAGGAATTTAATTAGATAAAGTATTTTTAGTTTGTTTTATTACTTCTTGTGTCAATTTTGGTAAACTTTGTTTTCCTAGGAAATTTATCTTTTATTTAAATTTCCAAATTTGGCACAAAGTTGTTCATAACATTTTCTCATGTTCTGAAGAATCTGTGGTGACATCTCTTTTCATTTCTGTGATTGCGAATCTGTATTTTATCTTTTTCTTGGTAAGGCTTGCCAGATATTTATCAATTTCACTGTTTCTTAAAGTAACTGATTTGTTGTGTGGTTCATTTTCTCCATTTCTTTGTTTTCTACTGTATTAATTTATGGATTGTCTTTATTTTCTTTCTTTTATTTTCTTTGGGTTTCTTTTGCTGTACTTTTCTGACTTTTTGAGACAGTATGTAGATTATCAAATTTCAAGTCTTTCAGCTCTTCAGGTATAATGCATTTAAAGCTACAGTTTTCCTTCTACCAGTTTAGCTACATCGTATGAATTTTGATGTCTATTTTTATTATTATACTTAAAAATATTTTCTATTATCTACTGAGAATGCTTCTTTGACACTTTAGCCAATTGCTATTTCTAATTTTCCTAATCCTCAACATTTGGGGATTTTTAGATTAACTTTTTGCTATCACTTTCAAGATTAATTCTACTATGATCAGAAATATTCTGAATGGCTTTTTATTCTTTGAAAGATTTGGGGATTGGTTTTATGCCTAGCATACTGTCAGTTTTCATAAATGACTCATATGCATATTTACTTCCCTTCTATCCCCACATTTCATGTTATTGGCATCATGATTTTAAGTCTATATGTATTTTAAGTCTCATAAAAACACTATTGTGTTTTTGTTCAGTCAATATTTACTTATTTTTATCCATAATTTTTTCTTTTTCCTTATTAATTCCTGTAGTTTCGTGTTTTTGTCTAGAGTAACTTTTCATCTTCCTGAACCCCTATTTATTTATTTATTTATTTAAATTCAGGTCTTCTGGCAATGAATTTGTCAGTGTTTGTCTGAAGATATCTTTTTGTTTGTTTGTTTGTTTTGGTTTTGGTTTTGTTTTTCTTTTAGAAGGAGTCTCGCTCTGTCGCCCAGGCTGGTGTGCAGTGGCGCGATCTCGGCTCACTGCAAGCTCTGCCTCCTGGGTTCTGGCCATTCTCCTGCCTCAGCCTCCCTAGTAGCTGGGACTACAGGTGCCCGCCACCACGCCCTGCTAATTTTTTGTATTTTTAGTAGAGACGGGGTTTCACCGTGTTAGCCAGGATGATCTTGATCTCCTGACCTTGTGATCTGCCTGCCTCGGCCTCCCAAAGTGCTGGGATTACAGGCATGAGCCACCCCGCCCGGCCTATATGTCTATATTTAACTGGAACTGTTGAAAGATCATTTTCAAGGTATGATATTTTATATTGTCACCTGTTTTTGAACTCTTTAAAATTGTCATTCTATTGTGAACTGGCTTCCACCACTTTTATGAGAAATTAGCTGTATTTCTTGTTGCTGCTTTGAAGATAATACATTTTATTCTCCTGTGACTTCATTTAACGTTTTGCTTTATCTTTCTTTTTCAGAAATTATATGATAATGTATCCAGAGGTGGTTTGTTCATGTTTATCCTATTTGGTGTTCATGTTTTCTCTTGAATTTTTGAGTTAATATCTTTTGTCAGTTTTAGAACTAATTTTTGTCATTATCTTTTAAATATCATTTCTTCACATTTTCTCTTTCCTGCCCTCCTGAGACTTTAGTTGCACATATGTTAGATTATTTCACAGTACCAATATGTCTCATGCTTTTTATAAATTTTCCATCCTTTTTCATCTTTGTTTAAGCCTGAATATTTTCTACTATCACATTTTCAAATATACAAAACCATTCTTCTGCTATGTCCAGTCTGTGATCAAACCCATCTACTAGTTTTTAATCTTTATTATGCTATTTTGTGATTCTCTAATTTTCATTTGATTCTTTTATGGATTTCAGTTCTCCACTGGAATATTTCATTTTTTCATTTATTGTTTTTAACATGATAATCTGTTATGGTAAAGTGTATGTAAAATAACTCCTGGGAATTTTGGATAGGCTTTTTTTTCTCTTAACTCTGACATATCTGTAATTTTTTTCTGAATGACAGATATCATACAAAAAAATTGAGGTGGCTCTGGGCGATACATTTACCTTATATTCTGGTAGACTGCCTGAGTCGGAGAAGATCATCTTAATCTAATCAAGAAATGAACCAACTGAATCACAATTTTTTATAGATCTCTTCCACCTCTGATTCTACCCTGTTTTCAGGCCTGACCTGATTTCTAGGATTCTTCTTTGATAAGTCCTGAACTCTAGTTAACATATCCTCAGCACTGGAAGATTGGAACAAACTCAGCTCCTTCACTGACTTTTGCTTGATTTCGTTGCCTATCACCTTATGCAACATAAAATTTGTCAACTGCACATGTGGGAGCTAAAACCTTTATCTTATGGATATGGAGAATAAAATGATAGATACCAGAGATTGGGAGGGGTGGATGGAGATGACAGGAGGGCAGAGGAGCAGTTGGTTATGGATACAAACATACAGTTAGATAGAAGAAATAAGTACTAATGTTTGACAGCAGGCTAGGGTGACTGTGCTTAGCAACAATAGTGTGTACATTTCAGAGTAACTAGGAGAGAGGACTTGAAATGATACCAACACATAAAAATAATAAACATTCAAAGTGATGAATACCCCAATGACCCTGACTTGATCATTACATATCCTTTGCATGTAACACTCAAATATACCCCACAAACATGTAAATTATTATGTATCAATAAAAGGAAAAAAAACCCTGAAGAATTGGGAACAAAATACTGTCAAATGCCTAGGGGGAGAGTAAAAGTATCTTGTACTCCTTTCTCTATGCATTCTTTCTCTCAAGGATCTCTTCCTTTATACTCCAGTCTCAGCATTTTAAAAAATCAATTGTCAAATTTTGATAATATTTAGAAATCCAGACTTTATGTTGGAAAATAAAAAAGCAAGAGCTTTAATTGTATAGTGAACCAGAAAGATGTGAAAGAACTTTAGTTGATATTTATTCTCTCTATAGAGACCTATTTAATGTTATCAAAAATTTATAATTTCATTAAACAACAAATAGGTAGAGTCTAAGTGATACCCAACACTAAACTTAATCAAATCTAACATGCTTAGTTGATCCTACTTCTTAAGCTGACATAACTAGTAACCAACTGGTCAGGCAGTAGCAAAAGTCAAAATGGAAAAGAAATACACTAGGAGCCACCTTACTCTTTGGCATATGCAATAGCCGGTGCTGAGATTTTCAAAATGGCTGATTTTTGAGTCATTGACAGATAGCATTTTTAAAGTTGGTTGTTTTTATTATGCGAAGAGTAAAGTTGGCATTCTGTTGAGATGAATTTCAGTGAGGTTTATGGTTGTTCTTTCCATTTCTGGGCTCTTGTCCTATGAGATATTATCCATTTCAAAAAGTTGTGCTATTTCAGCAATTTCTTGTTCAACATTGACAGTTGCCATTTCACAAATATTAGATAGATTGAAAAGACCTATAAGATCATTAAATCTATCCCCCTGGCACTGTAGGCGAAGCAAGTGAAGCAAAACTATTATTTTTTTGTGGGTTATATTTGGTAGGGTCGTTTCTAGTAAAAATAATATTGAGTGAAATGGGTGAGGGTGCCTAGATAAGTAAAAAGTTTCTGGTAGGAAGTTTTATTGTTGCTTTTCTTTCTTATCAATTTGAATATTATTAATCATTAGGTGCCTATTTTATTCCCAAATGCATATTTTAAAACAAATTCTGAGTTTCAATTTATACTCTTCATTTAAAGCCCACATTCTGGTTAATTTTAGCATTGATTTGATAAGCTGATTCTGAATGGGATCCCACAACTGATAGTCATGGAAATCATTACATCAGTGTGTAAAGCAATAAAAATTATAGACTGCATTATCTTTAATATAATAAAAATAATTTCATAGATGTTTGTATTTTTCTAAAGTTTAATAGTGGCAAAAGGGTTCTGGTTTGTATTAAATAGCTGAATATTATTGAATATTGTGAAATTCGTTCTTTCCCATTGATGTTCCAAGGGAAAATACAGTAAGGAAACATCTATGTACAATTATTCAAATATTAGGGATGTATATTCATTACATTTAATTAAAATTAAATTTTATAAATTTAAGCATTTTATAAGTATCTAATTTTTCATAAAGTATCCATGAATCCATTCTTTGGGTACAGAAAAATATCCAAAATATTAAATACCATATTTAAATACAAGAAAGATTTCTTTACAAGCATACATCCAAAATACTTTTGATCTTTCTTGTTGTTAAATACTATTTGATTAAATCCACCAAAAGTATTTTTCTAGCATAAGTTTTGCAATACAAATCAAGCCACACATAAATGAGGAACAATCCCTCAGGAAACATCAAAACATCACCTCTTACAAATAAATTACAAGAAAAAAATAGCAAGAAAGTAAAGGACACTACATACCAGCAATTATACTGTCATTAATAGAAGCTAGTCCTGAAAGATCTGTCTTCCAAGAACTCCTGAAATGAGGTGGGGATGTGTGCAATTAAAGCTGTTTCTTTGGGTCCCTACTACATTATTTATTTAATTTTTGCTTACCGTGTTTGCAAAGCACAAAAAATCAAACATTTTATAAAAATCCTTTATCTGCCTTCCAAAATGTTATAGAAAAATTATGGATCCCACTGTCACCATGCCTGGTGGTAGACATATCCTAAAATGTCTATAAATTTCTGGTACAAAATAATTCAATATTATATTATCATGCTCTCAAAGCACACTCAGAAAACAGATACTGCAGGCAGTCTCAACTCCAAAGACTACCTTACAATACAGTGTGAAGTTCTAAGTTAAGCATAGGCTGTGGCTGCTCATACTCCAGTACAAAACAGTGAAATGCCATTTGCAAAATTCCGTTCCTCTTATCCTGCTTTAACTGTGTAACCCAGTGTTATCTGAATAATGGAACAGATATTCATTAGTAAGTGCTAAGTTCTCCTGGCATATATAACACTTGAATAATATGTAGGAAGATTTCTACAGGTACAGAGTCCTTCTGTTGGGAGAGTAATGATGTAAATTCACATATGATATATTGATATTAATACTTTATCTCTAACGATAGAGACTTTTTGGCAGGAAATTGACAGTTAATAGGTAAGCAATAGGGTAAACACATTAGGTCAAAGGAAGAAACACTTGAGAAATAATTTTTTAAAAATCTGTTCTAATTAGGAGTTTTACAAATATTTCACTCTATGCAAGGTGGATTCACTTGCTGTAGTAACATTAGATTCCATACTTCCACTCCCCAGGTCTTGTGAGAGATGCCCCTTCAGTTGATGTCAGGAGCATGGATTTTTTTCTCATAATGTAAACATCTTTCAACAATGAGTGTGATTGTATTTTAATGCTATAGTACTTATTTTGTATATATCATTGCTCCTAAAATGCAAAATATCTCTTTTATATAATGCTCACCCTCCTGCCTCACCAAATGCAGTCTGTTTCAGAATGAAAAAAACTGGCAGTGCTGGATTTATTGAGGATTTGCAGGCTGATTTTCAACGGGTGCCCCCGCTAAAGAAGGTCCAAGTGTAAATCTGGCCACACACCAATGTCATGTTCACTCTCTGCCTCATCACCTTCTACTTAATCCATACTGTAACTATATGCCAGAATCTTAGCTAAGTTCTTTGGGAACTTTGTAGCCCATCTACTCTTATTCTCTCGTTTAAAGAGAAACAAAATCCAGGAAGAAGACTTAACTTGCCCAAGTTATAGTAGGTCCCAGTAAAGCTACTACTAGACAAAAAGTGGTCTGGACTCCTGCCAATGTTGTGTGACCTGTGGCATGTGGCTGTGCATGAGGGACGGTGCCTTCTTGAGCACCGGCACATCTTCTCCCAGCATCATTGTCAGGCAGGGATCACTCTTGCTGTCCTGGAGATGAGGTGTACTTCTTGACTTTCACATTGCTACCCCATTGGCTCCTATGCTGCCAAGCTGCAAGAAATTCTAGATTTCCATCTCTGAAAAATGAAAACATAAATTTAAAAATGAAAATATTTAAAAAGAGGTATAAATAAAATATAATTGCAGGAATAAGAGCATAATACTGGTGAACTGGTTTTATAAATTTAGGATACCACAACTTTGAATGTTAAAATGCTAAATTAGAAATAAAGAATCTAGTTTTGGGCTTCCTTCTAAATACCATTTAAAGTTTTGGTAAATTTCTTAAGCCCTCTGTTTCTCATTTGCCTTATCTGTAATTTAAGAGGATTGTACTAGGTGATCCTTAAGGTCTCTTCTAGGAAGAAATTTTTGTGATTCTTTATCATGCAAAGCAAAGTGGTGAATGGAGACAACCACATAACAGTATCAAAGAGTAAACAAGGCTCAATATTTTGCTGTACTTTTCTGCACATTTTAGATAAAAATTATTTTTAAATCCTAAATGACCAATGAAATCACCTCTGCTTTAACTTTACTCTGTGTGCCAATGGCTGCAGCCAGAACTCCATGTTTGCCTCATACCCACTGAATCCAGTAGACCATGTTAAGTAGAATGTTAGCTTGAGCCACGTGAAATTGGTATACACTGCACTTATATTAAAATGGACCCACATTTCCTGTGGCAGAATAAGATCAGCAATGCACACAAATATAAATAAATTGAAAACTTCAAGGCTTGTTTACATAACTGCGTTCTAGCTTATATGTGAAGGTTTTATAATTAGGAAAACTTTGCTTGTCAAAACTTGTCATTTAAAATTGGTTCTCACTTGCTCTTCCCTGTGATTTTTTTTAACAATGATTTTTAATCACCTTCTTCACCAAAAATAAGTTTAAGTGTCTCTTCAATTCATTTGCACTTCTACTTCTCCAACTTTTCCTGGCGGTTTTTTTTCTTGTATGTAGCATTAAATAGTTCTGCTCTGGTTCCCCTGTATTAACCCTGGGGCTGAATTTTGCCTTTATATGCACATACCAACACATTGATAGTAAACTTTTAGTTGAGTCCTTCAAAGAATATTTGAGCCTATTGTTAGAACAATGCATGCATCTAAAGAATAATTTGTTCACCATTTTTCACATTTCAAAAATTTTCCTGAGAACACCCAATTTTTAAAACCTCTGCTGTGAAATCTTCTATATCCCATTGAGACTAAAATGGAAATAGTTTCCCAATTAAACATTTCCCTTTACTGTATCCCCCATCCCCAAGCCGAGGCTCCTTTTTCTGTTTTTAGTCTGGCAGTGGACACTATATTCAAAATAGGAATCAAGTTAATGCCTTACAAAGGTATAGCTTCACTCTCTCTTCTCATCTTCTTCCCCTTTGATGAGATAACCAAGTAAATCCAGGTTGCTTTTTCTAATGCAGTTGTGCTCTATGCTGATGGTTTGGCAGATTTTCCCACAATATCCTTCAAATACTTTTCTGGGTATATGTTCTGCATAATTGGCTCCTTGATCCTGTGCTTATTGTTTTGTATCTGTATACCTGAACTGCATTTGGCATCCTCTGCCTTAATCACCTGCAATTCAAATCCTTTTCAATCTGATCATATTGCATCTTATTATTTGCTAAGACTTCAATTTCAGCAACACCAGCAAATTCAATGATCTTTTCTTCTCTGCACACGTCCCAAAATATGTAGGTCTTATTCCCAGAGCTCTGGAAAGCATTTGATTTCTCACCCCCTTGGAAGATGAGCTTGCCATCTATGACTGCTTTTTGTCTACTACTCTTAAATTAGTTTTCTGCTACAATATGCTATTTTACCTCCCATTCCCTTAGTCTGCTTTAGATATAAATCTTCAATGTGAAACCTTGTCAAATGCTCTTTGAAAACATTTTTTCTTATCTATTGAGGCAGCGATGCCATCCAAGAGCTCTGGAAGATTAGCTAAATATGGTCCCCCATGTGTGAGTCCTTCTTGACTATCTCCATGCAGTCTTGCTAGAATTCTCTACTGACATTCAGAGCAAGCCAAGCAGTCTCTTAAGGTAGACATTGGACAGACAAAGCAAGAAATAAGCATTTCTAGTTTTATTCCCCTACATGATTAGGGACAGAGGAATAGAGCCCAAATTTTCCGGGACTTATCTGGAGAGGACTACATGTTGGTGGAATGGGGTTTGTCACACAAGGGTCAGATGTGGGCAAAGTACAGTTGTGTGCAGCCTAGGAATTCATGCAGGCACTTGGTGTGGCCTGTCCAGGCAGTCTGGGCAGATGAGAGACTTTATTAAGCATTTACAGCATGGCAGACCCTGTTCTTTTTTTTTTTTTTTTTAGACGGAGTTTCACTCTGTCGCCCAGGCTAGAGTGCAGAGTGCAATGGCGCAATCTCGGCTCACTGCAACCTCTGCCTCCCAGGTTCAAGCAGTTCTTCTGCTTCAGCCTCCTAAGTAGCTGGGATCACAAGCACATGCCACCATGCATGGCTAATTTTTTGAATTTTTTTAGTGGAGACAGGGTTTCACCATGTTGGCCAGGCTGGTCTTGAACTCCTGACCTCAAGTGATCCACTTGCCTTGGCCTACCAAAGTGCTGGGATTACAGGCGTAAGCCACTGCGCCTGGCCAAGCAGACCCTGTACTAATCCATTTACAGTCTTTTAACCTAAGGACATTATTTTGAAATAAATATAGGCTTACAGAAAAGTTGTAGAAATAATACAGAGAATTACCAACTCTCTTTTATCTTGCTTCTCCTAATGATAGCATCTTGCATAATCATGGTATGATTATCAAAACTTAGAAATTAAATGGGTATAATATTATTAATGAAACTATAGACTATTACATTTTTTACAAGTTTTTCCCTTAATGTTCTTTTTCTGCACTAGGTTGTGCTTCATTAATCTTCTCCAATCTCTGACAACTTCTTGCCTTTCTTTGTCTGGCCTGCCACAGTCTTGTTGTTTCTCATGATCTGACACACTTTTGAAGAGTATCACTTAGGTATTTTGTAGACTGACATCCAATGGTTTTCTTTTTCCTTCTGGTGTTATCTCACAATTACCTTAAGACATTATGCAGTTTTTGGCAGTAATAGCACAGAAATAATGTGTCCATCCCAGTGAAGGGTGCATCAAGGAATAATGTTAACCTTAATCATTTGGCAAGATAGTGTCTGCCAGCTTTCTCCATGATAAAGTGACTATTTTTCCTTTTGTAAATAATAATGATCTTGAGGGAGATACTTGGAAGTTATGCAAATGCTGTGTTTCTCCCCAAACTTCACCACATTAATTTTAGCATCCATCCGTGTAGCTTGCCTACAGTTATTATTGCAATGGTTGCCTATTGGTGATTTTCAACTTCCCTCATTTCTTCTACATTTATTAATTGCAATTCTTCTGTTAAAAAAAGCATTTCTCTCTTTGTTCTCTTTTAAAGGAAAATGATTTCACATTAATATAATGCAATTATCCTTTTTATAAAATCAGAGCTTTCCTTTCTCTCCTATTCATTTAGTTATTTATTTATTTAATTATTTACATCAGTGTGAACTCATGGATATTTATTTCATTTTAAGGATGATGTATAAGACAGCCTCCAAAATTTTAACAATATGAAAGGATTAATAATTATGTGTGAGAATATCAGCAATATCTATGTAAAAAATGTATCTAGGAAAATATGTTTATAAAGTACTCAGCATGCATAGTTTATCTGATGGATAAAATGGCTTATTAGGATTACCCCAATGACAACCAGATTTGCATCAATGAATTAAAACTTTAAAAAGCACCATCATTCCTGTATCTTACCTGAAGAAATGTAGGGTTGGAGGGAGGTGAAAACAGAGATATACAGATTCAGCATCAGAAATTATCGTGTAGTTGATAATCCTAATAATCAGGAACAGGGCAGGTAGCAGAGTGTGACATTTGAGGGGCACAAAATGATGCCCACAAGCTGTCTATGGAGGAAGTCAAGTCTGGGTGGGAAGTACTGGCATATAGCAGAGAAAATTGAAACTGATAGGAGGGATGATGAAATAACTCTGCCAAACGTGCCTTGCTCACCCAAGGCTGTTATTAATAAGTTGCTGACACATAGTCACAGAACTTATTGCTGATGCACCAGGCCTTCGTAATCGACAAAACTGAATCCCAGAAGGATAGGACTGAGGGTGCTGATATAACTCCTGTCCCTGTCATACCTAGCTCGGAACTAGCACAGGCCTGGGCCTACAGGTCTGTCTGTCACCAGACCCAGTTGGAGGGAGTAGAAGACAAAATCTGGAGAAACAAAGCAGGTGGTGAGAATGCCTTTATCAAGCAGAGAATAAAGTTTTATAGCAATATTTTGTTGACCACATCTATTCATCCATTATTCCATCTATCCCTTTGCTTCTTCAACAAATATTTATGGAGTACATATTGTATTTCAAAGACAGTGATAAGCTCTGAGAGCTCACTGGTAAACAAGGCATGATCCTTGCTCTCCAGAGGTATTTATAATCTTCAACTTTCCTCTAAGCCCCTGTTTGAAAATTCCTGCCTCCAAATTATACACTCATCAATTCAAAATATTTGTAATTGAGATCTATAATGACTTCTAAACCAAGATATGTTATAGAGATATAGAGATAAAAGTCTGTGGATTTGTTCTAAAGAACCAGTCTCTTGTTATGTAGAGATAAGATAAAGTCTCTGGATCTAATACGTAAACAAAGTTGTGATGCAACGTGGTAAGTTCTATGAAGGAGATGTACACAAGATCAGTGGCAAAAGATGGAAGAGGCACCTACCTTAGACCAGAAACATCTAAGGATTTTTAATAACAAAGACATTGCCCCAAGTCCTGAAAGGAGAGTGAAGGTTTTCAAGTTCAGCAAGTATTGAAAGGATTGCAAAAGATTAGCCAGTTCTGGATGCAAGAGACAGCAAACTGCACTTATTATAGCAAGTCATAGAATGAGGCGGGATTATAGTGATAGAGCACCTGGGCAGGAGAGAGCTAACATAGGAGAGTAGAGAAGTAGACAAGGAGCAGATAATGATGCACCTTGGAAAATCCTCTACAGAGATTAAATTTTATCCTGAAAGGCACCAGAAGCTATTTAGGAAAAAAAAAAAAAAAGAAAAAGAAAAAAGAGAAGAAAAGGTGGCTTGATCAGGTTTAGATTTGGGGTAACCACCTTGGAGGCAGTGTAAAGAATAGATACATGAGATGTAACACAATAGACAAGGTAGCAAGAAAGAACACCATGAAGATAAATCAGTCAAGAAATAATCAAACAATACAGGGGGCAGCCATGATGGTATAAATAATGTGATGGATTCTGTATGCATGTATGTGGAATGTAAGAATGTAGTCACTGCATGACTGTGAAAATGGGGTACCATCCTCACAAAGAAGGAAAACTAGAGATGAAGCAGATATAAGTGAGAAATCAATTTGCACATGATGAATTAGTGGTGTCTATAAAAAAATCAGGAAATGCCCAAATCAAAGTAATAATTCTGGGGCTCAGAGAAATCTGAACCTGATATAGTGATTTGGGCAGCATGTAGTCAACAAATAGTCATTTCTCATTTACTAGATGTCACGCAGTATTGGAAATGCCATTGAATGATGTGAATCGAGTTCCTGCCATCAAGGAACTTACAAACTGAAATACAGAAGACATCAAGGTTAGAAAAATAGAAACAATCTTTGTGGGGTGGTATAAGAGATTGTTCTCAGTTCTTTATTTTCTCGTCATTTCCCGTTGTTCTCAAACTTGCATGTGCATATGAATTGCCGAATTGCCTGGGGGTCATCTTTTTGTTGTTGCTGTTGTTTTGAGACAAGATCTCACTCTGTCACCCAGGCTGTAGTCTGGAGTGCGATGGCATGATCTCAGCTCACTGCAACCTCTGCTTCTTAGATTCAAGCAATTCTCCTGCCTCAGCCTCCTGAGTACCTGAGATTACAGGTGTGCACCACCACGCCCAGGTAATTTTTGTATTTTTAGTAGAGATGGGGTTTCACCATGTTGGCCAGGCTCATCTCGAACTCCTGACCTGAAGTGATCCACTTGCCTTGGCTTCCCAAAGTGCTGGGATTACAGGTATGAGCCACTGCACCCAGTCCCCTGGGGATCTTAATAAGGCGAAGATTCTGATTCCATAGTAGGTCTGAGGTGGAGCCTGAGGTTCTGCATTTCTGACACATCCTCACATGACAATGATGAAGCTGCTGGTCTGTGGACCTCACTGTGAACAGTATGGCTGTTATCTTCGAGTCAAAGTAGCTAAGAGGCATAATTAGAAAAAAGAGTGTTAGACAGACCAAGCAAGGGAGGTGCTGACCGCTGGGACAGGAGGAGGGAATGATGGCAGGAAAAGGAGAACCAATTCTCCATGAAAGAAGGCTTGTGAGTACCAGCGACACTATTCACCACATACTATTTCACGTAAACTCCATGAATCTGCTCAAATCCAAATTCTGTTAATGAGTAAGATAAATATAACATCATAATGACAGGATCAAATTCACACATAACAATATTAACTTTAAATGTAAATGGACTAAATGCTCTAATTAAAAGACACAGACTGGCAAATTGGATAAAGAGTCAAGACCCCATCAGTGTGCTGTATTCAGGAAACCCATCTCACGTGCAGAGACACACATAGGCTCAAAATAAAAGGATGGAAGAAGATCTACCAAGCAAATGGAAAACAAAAGAAGGCAGGGGTTGCAATCCTACTCTCTGATAAAACAGACTTTAAACCCACAAAGATCAAAAGAGACAAAGAAGGCCATTACATAATGCTAAAGAGATCAATTCAACAAGAAGAGCTAACTATCCTAAATATATATGCACCCAATACAGGAGCACCCAGATTCATAAAGCAAGTCCTGAGTGACCTACAAAGAGACTTAGACTCCCACACAATAATAATGGGAGACTTTAACACCCCACTGTCAACATTAGACAGATCAACGAGACAGAAAGTTAACAAGGATACCCAGGAATTGAACTCAGCTTTGCACCAAGCGGACCTAATAGACATCTACAGAACTCTCCACCCCAGATCAACAGAATATAAATTTTTTTCAGCACCACACCACACCTATTCCAAAATTGACCACATAGTTGGAAGTAAAGCACTCCTCAGCAAATGTAAAAGATCAGAAATTATAACAAACTGTCTCTCAGACCACAGTGCAATCAAACTAGAACTCAGGATTAAGAAACTCAGAACCACTCAACTAAGTGGAAACTGAACAACTTGCTCCTGAATGACTACTGGGTACATAACGAAATCAAGGCAGAAATAAAGATGTTCTTTGAAACCAATGAGAGCAAAGACACAACATACCAGAATCTCTGGGACACATTCAAAGCAGTGTGTAGAGGGAAATTTATAGCACTAAATGCCCACAAGAGAAAGCAGGAAAGATCCAAAATTGACACCCTAACATCACAATTAAAAGAACTAGAAAAGCAAGAGCAAACACATTCGAAAGCTAGCAGAAAGCAAGAAATAACTAAAATCAGAGCAGAACTGAAGGAAATAGAGACACAAAAAACCCTTCAAAAAATTAATGAATCCAGGAGCTGGTTTTTTGAAAGGATCAACAAAATTGATAGACTGTTAGCAAGACTAATAAAGAAGAAAAGAGAGAAGAATCAAATAGACGCAATAAAAAATAATAAAGGGGATATCACCACCGATCCCACAGAAATACAAACTACCATCAGAGAATACTACGAACACCTCTACGCAAATAAACTAGAAAATCTAGAAGAAATGGATAAATTCTTCGACACATACACCCTCCCAAGACTACACCAGGAAGAAGTTGAATCTCTGAATAGACCAATAACAGGCTCTGAAATTATGGCAATAATCAATAGCTTACCAACCAAAAAGAGTCCAGGACCAGATGGATTCACAGCTGAATTCTACCAGAGGTACAAGGAGGAACTGGTACCATTCCTTCTGAAACTATTCCAATCAATAGAAAAAGAGGGAATCCTCCCTAACTCATTTTATGAGGCCAGCATCATCCTGATACCAAAGCCAGGCAGAGATACAACCAAAAAAAAGAAATTTAGACCAATATCCTTGATGAACATTGATGCAAAAATCCTCAATAAAATACTGGCAAACCAAATCCAGCAGCACATCAAAAAGCTTATCCACCATGATCAAGTGGGCTTCATCCCTGGGATGCAAGGCTGGTTCAATATACACAAATCAATAAATGTAATCCAGCATATAAACAGAATCAAAGACAAAAACCATATGATTATCTCAATAGATGCAGAAAAGGCCTTTAACAAAATTCAACAATGCTTCATGCTAAAAACTCTCAATAAATTAGGTATTGATGGGACATATCTCAAAATAATAAGAGCTGTCTATGACAAACCCACAGCCAATATCATACTGAATGGGCAAAAACTGGAAGCATTCCCTTTGAAAACTGGCACAAGACAGGGATGCCCTCTCTCACCACTCCTATTCAACATAGTGTGGGAAGTTCTGGCCAGGGCAATTAGGCAGAAGAAGGAAATAAAGGGTGTTCAATTAGGAAAAAAGGAAGTCAAATTGTCCCTGTTTGCAGAGGACATGATTGTATATCTAGAAAACCCCATTGTCTCAGCCCCAAATCTCCTTAAGGTGATAAGCAACTTCAGCAAAGTCTCAGGATACAAAATCAATGTACAAAAATCACAAGCATTCTTATACACCAATAACAGACAAACACAGAGCCAAATCATGAGTGAACTCCCATTCACAATTGCTGCAAAGAGAATAAAATACCTAGGAATCCAACTTACAAGGGATGTGAAGGACCTCTTCAAGGAGAACTACAAACCACTGCTCAATGAAATAAAAGAGGATACAAACAAATGGAAGAACATTCCATGCTCATAGGTAGGAAGAATCAATGTCATGAAAATGGCCATACTGCCCAAGGTAATTTATAGATTCAATGCCATCCCCATCAAGCTACCAATGACTTTCTTCACAGAATTGGAAAAAACTACTTTCAAGTTCATATGGAACCAAAAAAGAGCCCGCATCACCAAGTCAATCCTAAGCCAAAAGAACAAAGCTGGAGGCATCACGCTACCTGACTTCAAACTATACTACAAGGCTACAGTAACCAAAACAGCATGGTACTGGTACCAAAACAGAGATATAGATCATTGGAACAGAACACAACCCTCAGAAATAACACCACATATCTACAACTATCTGATCTTTGACAAATCTGAGAAAAACAAGCAATGGGGAAAGGATTCCCTATTTAATAAATGGTGCTGGGAAAACTGCCTAGCCATATGTAGAAAGCTGAAACTGGATTCCTTCCTTACACCTTATACAAAAATTAATTCAAGATGGATTACAGACTTAAATGTTAGAGCTAAAACCATAAAAACCCTAGAAGAAAACCTAGGCATTACCATTCAGGACATAGGCATGGACAAGGACTTCATGTCTAAAACACCAAAAGCAATGGCAACAAAAGCCAAAATTGACAAATGGGATCTGATTAAACTCAAGAGCTTCTGCACAGCAAAAGAAACTACCATCAGAGTGAACAGGCAACCTACAAAATGGGAGAAAATTTTCGCAATCTACTCATCTGACAAAGGACTAATATCCAGAATCTACAATGAACTCAAACAAATTTACAAGAAAAAAACAACCCCATCAAAAAGTGGGTGAAGGACATGAACAGACACTTCTCAAAAGAAGACATTTATGCAGCCAAAAAACACATGAAAAGATGCTCACCATCACTGGCCATCAGAGAAATGCAGATCAAAACCACAATGAGATACCATCTCACACCAGTCAGAATGGCAATCATTAAAAAGTCAGGAAACAACAGGTGCTGGAGAGAATGTGGAGAAATAGGAACACTTTTACACTGTTGGTGGGACTGTAAACTAGTTCAACCATTGTGGAAGTCAGTGTGGTGATTCCTCAGGGATCTAGAACTAGAAATACCATTTGACCCCGCCATCCCATTACTGGGTATATACCCAAAGGACTATAAATCATGCTGCTATAAAGACACATGCACATGTATGTTTATTGCGGCACTATTCACAATAGCAAAGACTTGGAACCAACCCAAATGTCCAACAATGATAGACTGGATTAAGAAAATGTGGCACATATACACCATGGAATACTATGCAGCCATGAAAAATGATGAGTTCATGTCCTTTGTAGGGACATGGATGAAATTGGAAATCATCATTCTCAGTAAACTATTGCAAGAACAAAAAACCAAACACCGCATATTCTCACTCATAGGTAGGAGTTGAACAATGAGAACACATGGACACAGGAAGGGGAACATCACACTCTGGGGACTGTTGTTGGGTGGGGGGAGAGGGTAGGGATAGCTTTAGGAGATATACCTAATGCTAAATGACGAGTTAATGGGTGCAGCACACCAGCATGGCACATGTATACATATGTAACTAACCTGCACATTGTGCACATGTACCCTAAAACTTAAAGTATAATAATAATAATAAAAAGATAAATATTATTAAGACCCTTTTTTTTACTGATTTTTTCTTTTAATGTAATATGAGGATCCTAGAAAAGGAGTGTGAAATGGAGTCAGAGTTTCAGTTTGAACCCCAGGTCTGTTTTATTGACCTGTTACATGGATGGTGTTTATTTTCTCTCTCCACGGCTCAGTTTCCTGTTCTTCTGATACCAAGATAGTACTTGCTATGGTCTATGTCCCCCCAAAATTCTCATGTTGAAATCCAGTCACCTTTGTGATGGTGTTAGGAGGTGGGGCCTTCGGGCGGGGATTAGGTCATGGAGGCAAAGCACTCAAAGATGGGATTGGTGTCTTTATAACAGAGTCCAAGGGAGCTCCATCACCCCTTCTGCCATGTGAGGACACAATGAGAAGGCTCTGTTCTGTGAAATAGAAAGTGGGCCCTCACCAGCCACCCAATCTCTCAGCACGCTGATCTTGAACTTCCAGGCTTCGGAACAGTGAGAAACAAATTTGTGTTGTTTATCAATTTATGGTATTTTTGTCACAGCAGCCTGAATGAACGAAGACAGCACTTGCTTCCTCACAGGGCGCTGTGAAGATCACAGAACTAAGGGACACTAAGATGCCTACTGCAGGACCAGGAAAAGAATCCTTGCTGCTTTTCTTATTTTGTTCATTATTTCCTTTCTTTAGGGAAAAAGCTTTTCTCCATGTGAGAAAGATGATTCACCAAGACTCTGGGCACAAAGAAGTCATGTGCTCACTATCTCTGGGATGGGGAGTCTCTCCAAGTGTGATTCTCAGGCCAGTAGCACTAGCATCACTATGAGTGTGGAAGAAATGAGATTTCATGGGCCCTAAACTTACCACTGAATCTCTGGGAATGGGGCTTAGGAAAATATATTATAGCAAGGTCTCCAGAAGATTCTGATGGATGACAAAGTCCAAGAACCACTGTTCCACATGATCCCAGCCTAAATGAGATGCCCTTATTCCAGGATTTGTGGGTTATGGGTGCCCCAGGTTCATGTGTTTCTCCTCAGCCAGGTGAGGATCTGAGATCCCAAATGGGCCTAGGAAAGAAACACAGCTTCCTCCTCAGCCCTCAGGCCAGGACTAAGGGCTGGCCAGAACTTCTTCCAAATTCCCTCACCCACATTAATGTTGTTAAATAAAACCACTTTCAGGTGATCTGATCATCACAGTTTTACACACTTATATATAACAAAGGTTTCCCTTTATATTTGTAAAAATTAATCAGAGCGGTCTCAGAGTGAAAAAGGAACACAGCTAAGTGGCTGGCCTGGGCTCCACACCAAATCTTTGACACCAATTCTTTTTCTTACTACTTAAAAGAGATTCATAACAATAGCTTCCAGATTTGATTCCTTCCTCTTTTTTCCTAAAAAGATCCCTTATCAAATCAATATATTCCATGAACCAGACCACATCTGGTGTTTATTTTGAAAGCCTGTACAATTTGGGCTCTATCTTCAGAAAATTCTCTTAGCTTTTAAAAATTACCCTGAGCACATTGTCTTTCTTCTCTCAATTAGCAAAAGGCCTGCTCGTGGCTCAGTCACCAAAAAGAAATAAAAATATACATCAGAAAAATGGAAAGCTATTCTTCTCCCTTAGCCGTTGCAGTAGAGCATAATGACATATGGGACAATGGAGAAATCTGCAGAAAGTTGTTCTGAATTTTAGCCTAAGGACAGGCCCAAATCACTAGTCAGTATTAAAACTATAATCCTAGACTACCTTTAAAATATACTTTGCCCCCATAACTGTGATGATCAAAATCCCATTTTAATCAACCCACCAAAATTTCGAATGCATAATAGAGAAAATATATAAAGAAGAAAGTTATACGACTTTTTAAATCAATGATTCTTTCTCTCTCTCTTTCTCTCTGACCCACACACAAACACACAAATGTGCACGCACAGTCACATAGATACACAACATTAAAAGAAAAAATTACCAATAGTTTTCTCCACACAAGACTAAACTCCGTTCCAAACAGTTTTAAGGCAATGGAAAGGGGTGAGAAAACTTCCTCAGAGATCTGTGAAAGCCTGCAAGATTCCTTGTGATCGAAGGACTGCTTGTTTTGAAGACTAATGAGACTAATGAGTTCTCACTTCTGCAAAGCTCTGGGAACAGGGAATGTCTGGCTCAGTTAGGATATCTGGTAAAACTTACTTTTTATGAAAACAGAGCATTGGTACCTTTTAAGACTTTATATAATAGATATTAAATATTGTGTGCATGAAATCATATTTCACATTATTATTAGGTTTCTAGAAGATAAATGACAATCTTTACATAAGAAAAGAACTTCAGTGCTTCAAATTAAAAAAGTTAACCATGTGTTTTATTAATCAACTTATATATATACTTGAAAATTAAAACAGGTATAAATGTTTCCCCCTTTAAACTATTTTTATATAAATATTTCATTTTAGAACCTCACAACTAAATTACTTCAGATAGTCGTAATATCCACAGTTTACAAATGAGTAAAATAAAACAAAAAGAAATTAAGTGAATTTCCCAAGTTTAGAAAACAAGCTAGTGTCAGAACTACGACCATAACCCAGGTTGCCTGACTCCAATTTTCAATATGATTATTCATATTGAAACTGATGAATGAAATGAAGATATTTGCCAAATATACCAGCCAGAATTGTTTCCAATCATCCCCAAATGTAACTTTGATAGTTCTAGGTAATCCTTAATTTTTGATGTCAATTACATCCTCTACTTGTGGTCTAAAATCAAATTCAGAAATTCAGACAAAAAATACACATGCAAAAAAGTAGAATAATCCTAAGGATGAATATGATACTTGAACTGAAGGGTAAGAACTAAAACTGAGAAATCACCATCTCTGGCACCATGTGTTCATTCAATTCAACCCAAATGACAAATATAATAAGTCAACTACTGCTAGGTGCAGAAAATGAAGTAGTTCCAGACTGCAAGAAACACATAATATTCTATGAATATTAGATTAAAATGAAAGTATGGAATTATATATTTTAAGCAAGCTGTAATCACTATTATATGGTGACAAATTGTTTTTGCAGTAATTAGTTTATGTTGGTAGTTACTAGATTATTGTTACGTGCTTCTAATATGTTGTTGATGTTTTCTAATGATTCAGTTGAAATAGACAAGTTATTACTATAGATTGACAATGTCAAGTAGAAAAAGTTTATAGCTATACCAAATAGATATATTTAATTTGAAATATTTAAATAATAGAAAACGTATATTTGAGCAAACTAATTATTTTGAGAATCAAAAGATTAAATAACTGACACCTTTGGAAAAAAATAATAGGCTTCGAGTGGCATTCTCTCATGCCCAATACTCTGCTGTGCTTTTTAAGGGAAATTACAGCTGCCAGAGTTAATTTAATTTAACATAATTTAATTGTTGAATTTGTATTTTGTACACATCACTGAAGGCCCTAAAGCAACAGTATGCTTTTCTTTAAATGAATCATGTTTTTTACACAGTTTAAAGAAATGATTGGTTTTGAGGACAGTAGTGAACTGCAAAGAACTACCTAAGTATGCAAAATACCATCCAGCAACGTTTCCCTGACACCAATCCACCAATGAATGCGCTAAAAAATTAAGAAGTAGATTTCACTTCTTTTACAAAACATAATTTAGTCTTAATTCCCACTAAATACAAACACCACAGTCACAGAGCTTGGATTAGACCTTATATCTCCCTCACAACTTACCTTCCCTGGCCCCGCTTTCTCCAGCATTCACCCCTGTCCACCTGCATGCTTTAACTCTCTGTGTACAAGAGCATCACATTGTCTACATATATGAGTCTCACATACAATGTATCATTTTATAAGTTGTTGTTAATATCAACAAAAGCACAATAGTCTCTAATCCCAAACAAGCTAATGGATTTACTTAAGGACACTACAATGTAATGAAAAGAAGAATGAAATACTATAAAAAATTATCTTATATCCAGCTTAGGTGATGAACAGTTGTGTGTGTGACTTCTGGATTCATCTGTTTTCAAGTCACAGCTTCTCTCTTCCTGCCTCCTTAAAAGCCCTCATCCTAACAGGTTTCCTGGTCTGAATCTCTAGGGTTCCAGAATAAAAAAGCAGTGCCTGCCCTTGAAAATACTTGCTCCTCTTCCTTTTTGAAGGCAGAATGATATACCTAAAAGCAAATGATTCTGTAATAAGATAGAGTTGCAAGACATACTTAAGTCCTTTTAAATACACGTATAATGTATTTTTCAAATCTTACTGTCTTTTAGGAACTATGTACTTAAGCATTCCTTCACACTAGTAAAAGCAGCTACCATTATTACCTGCATTTTACTGATGTGTTACTTTCTGAAAGTTACAGTCACACTGTAAGTAAAGACAAGAATTTTTTTGATGGTTGTGATCAACACTTAGCTGGTTTTCAGTGGGACGTTCAGCTGTTATATCTTGTTCTTTGTGCTGCCTGACTTCTACGTGGACATTCATTTAGATAGCCATGAATATACTTGATTGCCATATACAAAACTCATGCTGAATTCTGCTCTCATGTTTCCTCTTGTGACAGGGAAGTTACTTTGATCTCCTGGCTTTCGCTTTCAGACAAATGCTTTGCCTTTCTCAGGAACATAAGGAAATCATAGCCTCTCTTCTCTGTTCTGTAGGAGACTTGGTGAAAGTTCCTTAGGCCTCTCTGACACTGACACATACAGTCATTTTTACTTTCCATGCCATGATCGTCATAGGATAGAATTCCCAGAAGTTCTAGAAACAAGTTTGATTGTCCATTGTCCAGTAGTAGAACAGGCTTGGTCTATCTTACCCCCAGGTATCCAAATTTAGTAGAAGTTCTACTGACAATTCCTCTAGAAGCTGAACAGTGGAATGCGGTGGGCAGGAAGCCTCTTTCTCAAAGAATTTTATCAGTTGCTGTCACTTGTGGTGGTGCAGGGGAGCTGGCACAGCCTGACTTGTGAAAGCCAATTGTTAGCATCTCTTCCCAACTTCACAATGAGTGCTGGCACATTGGTGGCTTGAAATCAGCCATGATAAGAGTATTTATACTACAGAATTGAAAACATTACAAATTGCAGCTTTCCACCCACCCCCGACCCCCCTCCCCCAAATGCTGATTTTTAAACATTTGCCAGCATTGCTCAAGCTTCTCTTCAAGTTCCTTTTGCTTCCCCCCAACCAGGAAGAGTTGTATTTTTTTTAAAATACTTTTCTGTGGTTACGGGTGAACATATCAAGATCCATATGTATTCTCAAATCTTCTAGTCTTATAGGTGCTGCAATCCTTCTTGGACTATTAGAGACCTTATATTTAGTGTTCTTAATGAGGATGAGTAAACAGTTTTAAAGAAAGTAGGGGAAAACTGGTTTATACTTCACAAACTATATTCACGAAAATAAGATCATGCACTTGCATGTGAAAAATGTCCTAGTGTGTCCCAAAGGGCATGGTGTTGCCAGAAGGGAGTAGCAGTCTCCTGGGTTTAGAAACTCATTAGAGTGGTCTTCTTTACGGCCTCCAGGAACTGACACCAGTGCTTCCTGCTTCAGGATGCAGACCCTAATTAAAATCCTGGTGATAAAATATCATTGAAAAGTCCACTCCCAGAAACATGAAATAGGTGTACATTTCCTATTCATCCTGCTAAATGCAACGACAAACCATGGACATTATATGTTAAGTAAAACAAGACTCTGGAAGGTGGGGACAAAAGGACAGGCTAGCTAGGGATCTCAGGACATGGGACTGACACAATAATGAGTTCCCTGGGATTTCTCAGACACGGAGCTGAAATAGTCAGCAATCCAGAAACCTAAGACCCAGACAAAAGAAGCCCCAGCAGGATCCCACTCTGTCTAGTCAAAGGACAAAGAAAGGTGTGGCCTCTAGAAGGAAAACTTTTAGATAATCATTATTCTACTCCAGCCAAACATCATGGAAAAGCAAACAACAAATAAACAAAACCAAATAAACAAAAACTGAGGCCTCAGCACCACCCGTGATAGTAAAGGCTAAATGAGAAGCTCAGACTTCCACCCTCCTGTGGCTGTGACAAATGGTCCAAAACCCCCACTGCGTTGGTGTCAGAGAAGGCAAAGGAAGTAGCTGGAACTTTCATGCTCACTAGCTGATGAAGGACTCCTTTCTTCCTTCATGGTATTAGTGGCAAATGTACAGACAATAGGGGATCCCGAACTTCTACACCCTGCATTGCAATTGCTCCCAACATGGTGTCAGTGGAGAACAGTTGGAAAGTCAAACCTTCTGCTCCTGTTCAGCAGCCCAGCAGGACCAGAAATCATCTCCCCACCACACACACACACTCAGGGGTAAATGGAGGCCAGTGAAGAACCTGGGCTTCTACCTCCACCTGGTAGTAACAAGGTAGCCTTCTCCTTCCCCTGCTGGAGTGTATTAAGAAGCTAAAAATGAATAAAATAAGATCCAGAGTCTCATAAGATAAATACAAAAACATTCAGTTTTCCAAAAAATTACTCATAATACTAATAACCAAAGGGTTCTCAAAATGAATGAAAAGCATTTGAATAATCTGACAAAATTTTAAAGCAGCCAGGGTAATAACGATTCAATGAGAAACTACAAACACACTTAAAACAAAGCCTGGCAGAGACACAACAAAAAAAGAGAATTTTAGACCAATATCCCTGATGAACATCGATGCAAAAATCCTCAATAAAATACTGGCAAACTGAATCCATCAGCACAAATAGCTTATCTACCACGATCAAGTTGGCTTCATCCCTGGGATGCAAGGCTGGTTCAACATACACAAATCAATAAATGTAATCCATCATATAAACAGAACCAAAGACAAAAACCATATGATTATCTCAAAAGATGCAAAAAAAGGCCTTTGACAAAATTCAACAGCCCTGCATGCTAAAAACTCTCAATAAACTAGGTATTGATGGGATGTATCTCAAAATAATAAGATCTATTTATGACAAACCCACAGCCAATATCATACTGAATGGGCAAAAATTGGAAGCATTCCCTTTGAAAACTGGCACAAGATAGGGATACCCTCTCTCACCACTCCTATTCAACACAGTGTTGGAAGTTCTGGCCACGGCAATCAGGAAGGAGAAAGAAATAAAAAATATTCAATTAGGAAGAGAGGGAGTCAAATTGTCCCCCTTTGCAGATGACATGACTGTATATTTAGAAAACCCCATCATCTCAGCCCCAAATCTCCTTAAGCTGATAAGCAACTTCAGCAAAGTCTCAGGATACAAAATCAATGTGCAAAAATCACAAGCATTCTTATACACCAATAACAGACAAACACAGAGCCAAATCATGAGTGAACTCCCATTCACAATTGCTGCAAAGAGAATAAAATACCTAGGAATCCAACCTACAAGGGATGTGAAGGACCTCTTCAAGGAGAACTACAAACCACTGCTCAACAAAATCAAAAAGGGCACAAACAAATGGAAGAACATTCTGTGCTCATGGATAGGAGGAATCAATATCATGAAAATGGCCATACTGCCCGAGGTAATTTATAGATTCAATGCCATCCCCATCAAGCTACCAGTGACTTTCTTCACAGAATTGGAAAAAACTACTTTAAAGTTCATATGGAACCAAAAAAGAGCCCGAATTGCCAAGACAATCCTAAGCCAAAAGAACAAAACTGGAGGCATCATGCTACCTGACTTCCAACTATACTACAAAGCTATAGAAACCAAAACAGCATTGTACTGGTACCAAAACAAAGATATAGACCAATGCAACAGAACGGAGCCCTCAGAAATAACACCACACATCTACAACCATCTCATCTTTGACAAACCTGACAAAAACAAGCAATGGGGAAAGGATTCCCTATTTAATAAATGGTGCTGGGAAAACTGCCTAGCTATATGTAGAAAGCTGAAACTGGACCCCTTCCTTACACCTTATACAAAAATTAATTCAAGATGGATTAAAGACTTAAATTGTAGACCTAAAACCATAAAAACCCTAGAAGAAAACCTAGGCAATACCATTCAGGACATAGGCACGGGCAAGGACTTCATGACTAAAACACCAAAAGCAATGGCAACAAAAGCCAAAATTGACAAATGGGATCTGATTAAACTAAAGAGCTTCTGCACAGCAAAAGAAACTACCATCAGAGTGAACAGGCAACCTACAGAATGGGAGAAAATTTTTGCAATCTACCCATCTGACAAAGGGCTAATATCAAGAATCTACAATGAACTCAAACAAATTTAGAAGAAAAAATCAAACAACTGCATAAAAAATTGGGCGAAGTATATGAACAGACACTTTTCAAGAGAAGACATTTATGCAGCCAACAGACACATGAAAAAACACACATCATCACTGGCCATCAGAGAAATGCAAATCAAAACCACAATGAGATACCATCTCATGCCAGTTAGAATGGCAATCATTAAAAAGTCAGGAAACAACAGGTGCTGGAGAGGACGTTGAGAAATAGGAACACTTTTACACTGTTGGTGGGACTGTAAACTAGTTCAACCATTGTGGAGGACAGTGTGGCAATTCCTCAAGGATCTAGAACTAGAAGTACCATTTGACTCAGTGATCCCATTACTGGGTATATACCCAAAGGATTATAAATCATGCTGCTATAAAGACACATGCACACATATGTTTATTGCAGCACTATTCACAATAGCAAAGACTTGGAACCAACCCAAATGTCCATCGATAATAGACTGGATTAAGAAAATGGTGCACATATACACTATGGAATACTATGCAGCCATAAAAAAGGATGAGTTCATGTCCTTTGTAAGGACATGGAAGAAGCTGGAAACCATCATTCTGAGCAAACTATCTCAAGGACAGAAAACCAAACACCGCATTTTCTTACTCATAGGTAGAAACTGAACAATGAGAACACTTGGACACAGGGTGGGGAACATCACACACCAGGACCTGTCGTGGGGTGGGGGGAGTGGGGAGGGATAACATTAGGAGAAATACCTAATATAAATGACAAGTTAATGGGTGCAGCACAGCAACATGGCACATGTATACATATGTAACAAACCTGCATGTTGTGCACATGTGCCCTAGAACTTAAAGTATAATTTAGAAAAAAGAGAGAGAAATACATCCACAGTTATAGTTGGAGACTTCAACATTCCTCTCTCAACAACTGATAGAACAAATAGGCAGAAAATCAGCAAGGAAACAAACGAAGTCAAAAATACCATTAACCAATAAGACCTAATTAACGTTCATGAAACAGTCCACTCAACAACATAAGAATACACATTATTTTCAAGTGCCCATAAAGCATATACAAAGATAGAACACATACTGGATTATAAAACAAGCCTCAACAGATTTAAAAGTATTGAAATCATAGAGAGTGTGTTCTGTGACCCAGTGGAATCAAACTAGAAACTAGTCATAGACAGATAACAGGAAACACTCAAAATATCTGGAAACTAAACGACCCAAAATATCCTGTGGTCAAAAAAAAAATAGTCTCCACAGAAATTGAAAAAATAATACATTGAACTGAATAAAACTAAAAACATAATTTGTCAAAATTGCTGCAATACAACCATGGCAGTCTGAGGGGAAAATTTATCACACTACATTTATAAATTAAAAACAGAGGAAAATGCTGAAAACATCTGAGTATCCAACTCAAGTGCCTAGGAAAATAAGAGTATAATAAACCCAAACCAACAGATGGAAGAAATAATGAATATAAAATCATAAATTAATGAGATTGAAAGCCAAAAAAAAATAGAAAAGATAAATAAAACAAAAAGCTAGTTACTTGAAAAGATCAATAAAATTAACAATCTTCTAGCAAGTGTTACCAAAAATAGAGAAGATACAAATTACTAATATCAAAAATGAAACAGGAGTATTACTACAGACCTACAGACAGCAAAAAAAGAAGTAAATTCTACAACAATTCTATACACATAAATTTGACAACTTAGATAAAATGGACCAGTTCTCAATAAAAAAAAATCTATCACAACTTAACCAACATGAAATATGTAATCTGAATAGCCACATAACTATTGAATTTGTAATTTAAAAACTCCCCCAAATGATAACTGTAGGCCTATGTAGTTTCAATGGAGAATTATATTAATTGTTTAAAGAAAAATTAACACCATTTCTATATAAAGTTTTCCAGAAACTGGAAGAGAATGGAACACCTTCCAATTCATTTTATGAAGCTAATATTACCCTGATAACAAATTCACCCAAAGACAGTACAAAAATAGAAAGCCACAGACCAAGATACCTCATGACACAGAAAGCTTTAAAAAAAATAGCAAATATAATTTATCAATACATAAAACCAACCATACACCATGATCACATGGTAGTTATTCAAAGATACAAGGCTGGTTCAATATTTGAAAGTCAATCAATATAATCTACCACATTAATAGACTAAAGAAGAAAAATAACATGACCATATCAGTCAATGCAGAAAAAGCATTTGACAGAATTCAGTGCAGATTCATAATAAAAACAAAACAAGCAAACAAAAAATCACTCCCAGGAAAATAGTAATAGAGGGAAACTTCCTCAATTTGATAAAGACCATCCATAAGAAAACCTACAGCTAACACTATACTTAATGGCAAAATAGTCAATGCTTTCCCCATAAGATTAGGTACAAGGCAAAGATGTCCTCTCCTATCACCCTTTTCAACATAGTGCTGTAAGTTCTGACCAGAACAATAAGACAAGAAAAGGAAGTAAAATTCTTACAGATTAAAAAGGATGAAAGAAAATTGTCCCTATTTGTATGACATGATTGTCTATGTAGAAAGTTCAAAAGAATTTTTTAAAATGCCTAGAACTAAGAAATAAGTTTAGCATATTCAAAGGGTATATACATATAAAACGATTGTATTGAAATTGAAAATTAAAAAAACTAAGAAACAAGTTTAGCATATTCAAAGGGTCTATAAATATAAAATAATTGTATTGAAATTGAAAATAAAAAAACTCGTATTTCTATATACTAGCAATGAAGGTGTAGATAGAAAAATTAAAATATATTATTTACAATTGTTTAAAAAATAAAAAAGGAAATACTTAAGTGTAAATCTACCAAAATATGTATAAGATTTGTATGCTGAAAACTATGCAACACTGATGAAAGAAATTTTTAAAAAATCTAAGTAAATGGAGAGGCACGGGGCTTTATGGATTGGAAGACTCAACATAGTATGTCAATACTCCCTAAATTGACAGATAGGTTTAATACAATTTCTATCAAAACCCAGCAATATATTGTATAGATACAAAAATTTTCTAAAATTTATATGAAAAGGTAAAGAAACTAGAATAGCAAAAACAATTTTATAAAAGATGAAAGGTATCAGCCTACTTGACTTTAAGACTTACTATGTAGCTATGGTAATCAAAACTGTATGGTTCTGGCAGTGGGATACAGGCATAAATCAATGAAATAGAACAAGAAATTCAGAAATAGACCCACCCACACAAATATGCTCAACTGAGTTTGACAAAGGTGCAAAAGCAATTCATTGCAGGAAAGACAGCCTTTCCAACAAGTGGTGCAGGAACAATTAGACATCCACAGGCAAAAAAAAAAAAAAAAAAAAGAAAAGAAAAGGAAAACCTCAATTTATGCTTCACATCTCATTAAAAATGCAAAATGTAAAACTATAAAACTTTTTTAATAAGAAACATGAGAACACTCATTAGGATACAGGACTAAGCATGAATTTCACAATGAAAGCATGATCTATAAAATAAAATATTGACAAGTTGAAAACTTTTTCAGTGAAAGACTGAAAAGATGATGAAGACAAGCTATGCAGTGGGAGAAAATATTTGCAAACAATTCATCTAAATACTAATGTCTAGAATATATAAGGAATTTCCAAAACTCAACAGTAAAAACAATCCAACTGGACAAAGTACAAAAGACATGAAGAGACATTTACCTAAAACAATCACATGAAAAGATGATAAGGAGGGGTCCAAGATGGCCAATTAGAAGCAACTGCAGTCTGCGGCACTCATGGAGAGGAACGAAAGGGGCGAGTGCATATGGCACCTTCAACTGAAATATCCAGGTACTCACATTGAGACTGATCAGAGAAACAACTTGACCCACTGAGACAATGAGGAAAAGCAGTGTGGGGTGATGGCCCGCCTGGGAGTGACATGGAGCCAAGGGAATCACCACCCCCAGCAAAGGGAAGCAATGAATGATTGTACAACCCTGGAAAACCATGCTTCTCCCATTGATCTTTGCAACCCGCAGATCAGGAGGTCCACCTGTGGGCCCACACCACCAGTGCCTTGGGTCTGACATACACAGCTGTGTGGAATCTCAGCAGAGCAGCTTCTCAGGCATGCACAGAGACTCAGGAGTTTTACATTCCAGCCCCAGGACCCCCGGAAAAGATGTCTGCAGCTCAGACAAGGTGGGAGGTCCATATATACCCCTAAGAAGGGAGCTGAACCCAGGGGCCTAAGCAGTGTTGGTCCGCGGGCCCCACTTCCACAGCACCTCACAAGATAGAACTCACTGGCTTGGAATTCTAGCCAGCCACTGGCAACAAGATGCGGTCTGCCTGACACAGGACAGAACCCCAGCAGGGAGGGGTGGGCCACCATCCCCTTTTCAGTCAACTCAAGACATTCCAGCCAGAGGGCTTTGAAGAGTCCAAATGGTCGCAGTGAGGTAGGTTCCCCCCAGCACAGCATGGCTGCTTTACCAAAACGTGGCCAGACTGCTTCTTTAAGCAGGACCCCGATCTATTCTGCCTCACTGGGCGGGATCTCCCAGCCAAGGCCTCCGGCCATCCCCACCCGCATTCTACAAACAGAGCTCTGATCTCTCCCTGGAAGAAAGTGCCAGCGGGGAGAGGCAGGTCGCCACCTTGGTTGTGTGGACCACTCAGCCATTCTAGCCTGTGGGCTTTGGAGAGTTCAAGCGGCTGGGGGCAGAAGTGGCTCCCCAGCATGAAAGGGCTGTTTTGTCAAGGTATGCTTAGACTGCTTCTTTAAGCAGACCGCTATCTCACCGGATGATATCTCCCTGCTGAGGCCTTCAGCCACCCTCACCTGCACATACTCTATGGACAGAGCTCTGATCTCTCCCTGGGATGGAGTGCTGTGGTGGAGGGGCGAGGATTGGCGGGGAGAAGGTGTGGGCTACCATCTTTGTTGTTTGGATGACTCAGCTGTTCCAGCCTGTGGGCCATAGAGAGTCCAAGCAGACAGGGGCAGAGGTGATTCTCCAGCACAACAGGGCTGTTTTGTTGAGGCATGGCCAGACTGCTGCTTTAAGCAGGATCCTATCCACTCCTCCTTGTGGGCGAGTCCTCCTAGCCAGGGCCTCCAGCCACCCCTGCCCATGTTCTATAGCAGACAGAGTTAAAATTTCTCCCTGGGTTGGAGTGCCTAAGGGGCAGGGTAGGCTGCCACCTTGGCTGTTCAGGCATCTCAGCCAGTCCAGACTGTGGGCCTTGGAGAGCCCAAACTGATCAGGAGCTGAAGGGATTCCCAACACAGCACAACTGCTCTACCAAACAGCAGCCAGACTGTTTCTTTAAGTGGATTTCTAATCCTGTTCCTCCTGACTGGGTGACACCTTCCAACTGAGGTCTCCAGCCACCTCCTACAGGCACATTTGGACCAGTTACAGGTCAGTACCCCCTTGGGACAAGGGGACAGAGCTTCCAGAGGAAGGGGCAGGCTGCCATCTTTGCTGTTTTGCAGACTTTACTGGTGATACCTCCAGGTATGGGAAAAACTGAGGCAACTAGGGTCTGGAACAGACCCCCAGCAAACCCCAGCAGCCCTATGGGACAGTGGCCAGACTGTTAAAAGAAAAACAAACAAACAGAAAACAACAACAACAAATTACAAAAACCCTATCCAAAGGTCACCAACCTTAAAGATCTGAGGTAGATAAGCCCAGGAAGATGAGAAAGAATCAAGGGAAAAATGCTGAGTACTCAAAAATCCAGAGTGCCCCTTTTCCTCCAAATGACTGCAACACCTCCCCAGCAAGGGCTCAGAACTGGGCTGAGGATGAGATGTCTGACATGACAGAAGCAGGCTTCGGAACGTGGATAAAAACAAACTTTGCTGAGCTAAAAGAGAATGTTGTAACCCAATGGAAAAAAGCTAAGAATCATGATAAAACAATGCAGGAGCTGACAGCCAAAATAGCCAGTTTAGAGAGGAATATAACTGATTTGATAGAGCTGAAAAGCACACTACAAGAACTTCACAGTGCAATAACAAGTATTAATAGCGGAATAGATAAAGTGGAGGAAAAAGTCTTAGAGCTTAAAGATGATCTTTCTGAAATAAGACAGGCAGACAAGAATAGAGAAAAAAAGAATGAAAAGGAATGAAAAAACCCTCTAAGAAATAGAGGATTATGTAAAGAGACTGAATCTGCAACTGATTGAGGTACCTAAAAGAGATGGGCAGAATGGAACCAATTTGGAAAACATATTTCAGGATATCATCCAGGAGAATTTCCTGAACCTAGCAAGGCAGGCCAACAATCAAATTCAGGAAATGTGGAGAATCCCAGTAAGATACTCTATGACAAGATCATCCCCAAGACACACAATCATCAGATTCTCCAAGGTTGAAATGAAAGAAAAAATTTTAAGAGTAGCCAGAAAGAAAGCCCAGGTCACCTACAAAAGGAAGTCCATTACTAATAGCAGAACTTTCAGCTGAAACCCTGCAAGCCAGAAGAGATTGGGGGTCAATATTCAACATACTTAAAGAAAGGAATTTCCAACCCAGAATTTCATTTTCAGTCAAACTAAGCTTTATAAGTGAAGGAGAAATAAGATTCTTTTCAGACAGGCAAATGCTGAGGGAATTTGTTACTACCAGACCTCCCTTACAGGAGCTCCTGAAGGAAGCACTAAATATAGAAAGGAAAATCCATTACCAGCCACTACAAAAACACACTTAAGTACATAGACTAGTGACACTATGAAGCAACCACATAAACAAGTCTGCAAAATAACCAGCTGGAATCATAACAGGATCAAATCCACACATAACGATACTAACCTTAAATGTAAATGGGATAAATGCCCCAGTTAAAAGACACAGAATGGCAAGCTAGATAAAGAACCAAGACCCATCAGTATGCTCTCTTCAAGAGACCCATCTCACTTGCAAAGACATACATGAGCTTGAAATATAGGGATGGAGGGAAATTTACCAATTTTTCTAAAAGGATGGAGGAAAATTTGCCAAACAGGAATCACAATCCTAGTTTCTGACAAAACAGAGGTTAAATCAGCAAAGGTCAAAAAAGACAGAGAAGGACATTACATAATGGTAAAGGGTTCAATTAAACAAGAAGAGCTAACTATCCTAAATATATATGCATCCAATACAGGGGCACCTAGATTCATAAAGCAAGTTCTTAGAGACCTTCAAAGAGACTTAGACTCGCACACAATAATAGTGGAAGACTTTAACACCCCAGTGACAATATTGGAGAGATCACTGAGACAGAAAATCCGCCAAGATATTCAGGACCTGAACTCAGCTCTGGAACAAGTGGGCCCGATAGACATCTACAGACTTCTCCACCCGAAACCAACATAATATACATTCTTCTCATTGCCACAAGGCACTTACTCTAAAATTGATCACATAATAGGAAGTAAAACACTCCTCAGTAAATACAAAAGAACTGAAAAAATAGCAAACAGAAACAGTCTCTCAGACCACAGCACAAGCAAATTAGAACTCAAGATTAAGAAATTACTCAAAACCATACAGCTACACGGAAATTGAACAACCTGCTCCTGAATAACTTTTGGGTAAATAATTAAATTAAGGCGGAAATCAAGAAGTTCTTTGAAACTAATGAGACCAAAGAGATAATGTAGCTGAATCTCTGGGACAAAGCTAAAGCAGTGTTAAGAGGGAAATTTATAGGACTAAATGCCCACATCAAAAAGCTAGAAAGATCTCAAGTTAACAATCTAACATCACAACTAAAAAATCTAGAAAACCCAGAGCAAACAAACCCCAAAGGTAGCAAAATACAAGAAATAACCAAGATCAGAGCTGAACTGAGGAAGATAGAGACACGAAAAACCTTTCAAAAAAATCAATGAATTCAGGAGCTATTTTTTTGAAAAAATTAATAAAATATATAGACTGCTAGCTAGACTAATAAAGAAGAGAGAAGTTTCAAATAAGCACAGTTAGAAATAATGAAGAGAATGTTACCACTGACCCCACAAGAAATAAAAATAACAATCAGAAACTACTAGGAACACCTCTATCCTCACAAATCAGAAAAGCTAGAGGAAATGGATAAATTCCTGGACACATACATTCTACCAAGACTCAACCTGGAAGAAGTTAAATCCCTGAATAGACCAATAACAGGTTTTGAGATTGAGGTAATAAATAGCCTACCAACCAAAAATAAGCCCAGGACCAGATAGATTTACAGCTGAATTCTACCAGAGGTACAAGGAAGAGCTGGTACCATTTCTACTGAAACTATTGCAAAAAATTGAGGAGAAGGGACTCCTCCCTAAATCACTCTATGAGGCCAGCATCATACTGATACCAAAACCTGGCAGAGGTACAACAAAAAAGAAAACTTCAGGTCAATATCTTTGATGAACATCAATGCAAAAATCCTCAACAAAATATTGGCAAACCAAATCCAGCAGCACATCAAAAAGTTTATCCACCACAATCAAGTAGGCTTCATTCCTGGGATGCAAGGCTGCTTCAACATATGCAAATAAATAAATGCGATTCATCACATCACATAAACAAAACTAAAGATAAAAACCACATGATTATCTCACTAGATGCAGTAAAGGCCTTCAATAAAATTTAACATCCTTTCATATTAAAAACTCTCAAAAAACTAGGGATTGAAGGAACATACCTCAAAATAATAAGAGCCATATATGACAAACCCTCAGCCAACATCATACTGAATGGACAAAAACTAGACATATTCCCTGTGAAAAACCAGCACAAGACAAAGTTTTTCTCTCTCACCACTCCTATTCAACATAGTATTGGAAGTTCTGGCTGGGCAATCAGGCAAAAGAAAGAAATAAAGGTATTCAAATAGGAAGAGAGGTAGTCAAACTATTTTTGTTTGCAGATGACATGATCCTACATCTAGAAAACCCCATCGTCTCAGCCCAAAAGCTTCTTAAGCTGGTAAGCAACTTCAAAAAAGTCTTAGGATCAATATGCAAATATTTCTAGCATTCCTATACACCACCAACAAGCAAGCCAAGAGCAAAATCACAAATGAACTCCCATTCACAATTCCCACAAAAAAGAATAAAATACCTCAAATACAGCTAACAAGGAAAGTTAAGGATCTCTTCAGGGAGAACTACAAACCACTGCCCAAAGAAATCAGAAATAACACAAACAAATAGAAAAACATTCCATGCTCATGGATAGAAAGAATCAAATTGTGAAAATGGCCATACTACCCAAAACGATTGATAGATTCCCATAAAACTACCATTGACATTCTTCACAGAATTAGAAAAAAATATTTTAGAACTCATGTGGAACCAAAATGAGCCCAAATAGCCAAGACAACCCTAAGAAAAATGATTAAAGCTGGAGGCATCATGCTACCCAACTTTCTATTCTACAGGGCTGCAGTAACCAGAACAACATGGACTTGTACAAGAACAAACACATAGATCAATGGAACCAAATAAAGAACCCAGAAATAAGACAGAACAACTACAACCATTTGATCTTTGACAAACCTGACACAAAGAAGCAATGGGAAATGATTCCCTAATTAATAAATCATGCTGGAAGATCTGGTTTGCTACATGCAGAAAATTGAAACTAGACACCTTCCTTACACCTTATACAAAAATCAACTCAAGATGGATTAAATACTTAAATGTAAAACCCCAAACTTTAAAACTCTAGAAGAAAACCTAGTAAATACCATCAGGACAGAGGCACGGGCAAAGATTTTGTGACAAAGACACCAAAAGCAATTGCAACAAAAGCCAAAATTGACAAATGGGATCTAATTAAACTAAAGAGCTTCTGCACAGCAAAAGAAACTATCATCAGAGTAAACAGGCAACCTACAGAATGGGAGAACATTTTTGAAATCTATCCATCTGACAAAGGGCTAATATCCAGAATCTACAAGGAACTTAAGCAAATTTACAAGAAATAAAACAACCTCATCAAAAAGTAGGCAAAGGATATGAACAGTCACTTCTCAAAAGAAGACATTTATGCGGGCAACAAACATATGAAAAAAAGCTCATCATCACTGGTCATTAGAGAAATGCAAATCAAAACCACAGTGAAATACCATCTCACACCAGTTAGAAGGGCAACCATTAAAAAGTCAGGAAACCACAGATACTGGTAAGGTTATGAAGAAAAATGAACGCTTTTACACTGTTGGTGGGAGTGTAAATTAGTTAAACTATTGTGGAAGAAAGGGTGATGATTCCTCAAAGATCTAGAGGCAGAAATACCATTTGATGCAGCAATCCCATTACAGTGTATATCGCCAAAGGAATATAAATCATTATATTATAAAGATACATGTATGCATATGTTCATTGCAGCACTATTCACAATAGTAAAGACATGGAACCAACCTAAATGCTGATCAATGATAGACTGGATGAAGAAAATTTGGTACATGTACACCATGGAATACTATACAACCATAAAAAGGAATGCGATCATGTCCTTTGCAAGAACATGGATGGAGCTGGGAGCCATTATCCTTAGCAAACTAACACAGGAACAGAAAACCAGATTCCACATACTCTTACTTATAAGTGGGAGCTGAATTATGAGAACACATGGACACTTGGTAGGAAGAGCAACACACACTCTCAGAGGGTGAGGGGTGGGAGGAGGGAGAGCATCAGGAAGAATAGCTAATGGGTGCTGCGCTTAATGCCTGGGTGATGGGGATGATCTGTGCGGTAAATCACCATGGCATATGTTTACCTATGTACCAAACCTGCACATCCTGCATATGTACCACTGAACTTAAAATAAAAGTTGGAAATAAAAAAAAGAAAAGATGATCAATAGCATTAGCCAATGGGGAAATGCAAATTAAAAACCACAACAAGTTATTACTCCATACCAAACAGAATCGCTAGTATAAAAAATAGTTACTACACCAAAACCTGGTAAGGATGCATAGAAACTGAGTCACTCATGCACTCATGGTGGGAATGTGAAATAATACAGCCATTTTGGAAACAGTTTTGTTATTTCTTAAAAATTTCAACATGCAACTACTACACAACCTAGCAATTGTACTCCTGGATACTTACCCTAGACAAACAATGACTTACATTTACATGAAACCTGTATGTAAAGTTTATAGAAGCTTATTTATAAACTATGAATTATTTTGGCTAGTAATTTATAGCAGACCAAAACTGGAAAAAACTCAGATGTCTTTAGGTGGGTGAACGATTAAAGAGTCAGTACATTCACACCATGAAATACTATTTAGCAATAAAAAGGCACAGATTATTGATACATAAAACAACCTGAATGAATCTCCAGAGAATGATGCTGAGAAAAAATACTCAATACCCAAAGGTTACATACTATATGATACTATTATGTAACATAATAGAAATGACAAAATTATAGAAATAAAGAATAGTGGTTACCAAGGGTAAGGAAAGGATGGGGAGGAATGAAAACAGATGTGAGTAGACAATGGCCACCTGAAGGATCTGATGGTGATGAAAATATTCTGCATATTAACTATTTCAATAACGATGTCTTGATTGGGATACTGTACTACAGTTCTGTGTGATGTTATCACTAGGAGAACCTGGATAAAGAATATATGAACTCTCTGTATTCTTTCATGTAATTGTATGTGAATTTAAAATTACCTTAATATAAAAGAGTTTAATTAGAAAGAAAATCAGACCTAACCGAATTATAAGAACTCAGATGCTGCTTGGTCTTCTTAGCTTGCCAATTCCATCCTGGGCTTGCCCCTGCATCATGCAGCAAACACCCATCTGGAGCATCTCTGGACACCCTGGCAGTGTTCATGGCATGACGCTCACACATCTACTCATAAGGCCTCTCATCCTGTGCATCCCAGACTTGCCTGTTTCTGTCTTTATGATGTCTTCCTTTTTGTAATTCCAACTCATTTATTTATACCTACCACTTTAATCCCTTCTCTGTCTTCATCCTTTCACTGATTTCCTGGGCATCAGAATGCCCTTTCTCTTACTACCTAAATCTGTCCACTATGTCTCTCTTGCCACGAGGAGAAGAAAGGGTCTCCATTGCTCCAACTCATAAGTGGAGCTGGATGTTCTGAGGTAAATTGCAGATCTTTATTTTTTTAAATTTCCTTCAATATAATCCATAGGTTCAGAAGAAATTGCAAATCTTTTAAATAGGAGGCATAGAAATGAAGCTAACATGAATTAGGTGCAGATCACCAAGGCACCGTAACCAAAAATTAGAAAGTGAGGTATCTCCTTCTGGCTTGCTGTGCATGAATCTACCCATGTTTGTGGTCAGAAGCATTTTTGAAGAAGACAATGAACTATGCTCTGCACCATATTCAAGCTCCTGAATATTTCCTTTTTCTCAAATCATTCATGATCCATATCTATTTAAAACCAAAGCCAAACAAACAATTGACAAACACAGAGAGAGAATTTTGGACTCTTTCTAATTTTACTTATTAAATGCTGTATTGTTAAAAAGTGCAAGTTTCTCATTTTAAAAAGGGGGAAAAAAAGCAAAACCAATATTCTCTCTTTCATTAACCTTGAGTCATGAATTCAGATATTCCCTAAATTAACATCCTTATCTCCTGCCTGATGGGTATCGCCTACGCTATGGTGCTGAGACAATGGTAAATATCCTGATTTCATTGGCCTTGTTTAAAACAGTAAAAATACACTGAGCAATAGCATCTGTTCTCTGATATATGCCGATACCAAAATTGGCTCTCACTGGAGAGATCCAAATGAATATCATTGCTGGCCTATGTTCTATCAGAGAAAAGAGCCAAGGAAGACACACCTCTTCCTGCCATGATTTACCTCCAGAGTAGATGAATGGCCCAGCCACAGCTTTGCCTCATTTCAGGCACAGTTCCAGGCTTATAGATAATTAAAAATGAGAATAAAAAGCATGTGTGTGAAAAAAAAAAATCCACTGGATTTATCCAATAGTGAAGATGGGCACACAGTGAAGCTGGCAGATGTAGCAAATAAGTTCTTTATTTTTATACTATGTGTTGTAAAATCTATCAAAGACAAGGCTGGACATCATCTGTCTGCTCTGGGAAAATGATCACTCTGAACATCTCGGCTGTGCCGAAACATGTTTCTCTGGAAGGAGAATTGGATTATCAAGCCCTTCTTGCATAATAACTGATCTCAGAAGCAAAGACTATTCTCCCAACTCAGCCTGGCTAGTGTGCCTCATGCTCTGTGCACCAGCCTCAGGCCTTCTCTGGGTGGGGGCTCACTTCTCCAACCTGTACAGGATGCAGGCACTGTTCTGAACCTGCTCTTTGGGTGTGTCAGATTCCATAACATTGCAACAAACATATCACTGAATTTACTCTTTAGAGGCAATTGGAAAACCAACTTTTATGATATAAACAAAGCAAGGAAGAAATGGTGGTTCCTCTTTAAACAGCATTTCTTGGGGCAGGAGAAAGAAGAAATACCATGATATTGAGAGTTGTGACTCCTAATTTCTCCTGAAATCAGAGGCACTTTTTAAAATAAGTCAAACAATCACCCTGGACTTTCTTCCATCCCCTCCCTCCAGTCTTCCCCTTCTTGTCTTTAAATGCATAGAATTTCATTTTCTAGTTCTTAAAATTATATTTGTAAAAATTTCAAACCATATTTGAGAAGGTTTACTTTAAATTTTTTTTCCCCAGCTACCCTTTTCAAACTAAAGAATCTTTATCTTAAAAGATACTAAAATATTAAGTACTTACCCAAATCCAAAAAGAGAATGAGATTACACAACATTTCAAAGATGCAGCCAGCCTCTGACCATGTTCCACAGCAGGGAAACATGTGAGTACAGTACCAAACAGAAATATTTTAAGAAGAATGCTTGCTGCTAAAATGTCAGCTAAAGCCATAATTTCTATGTTTATTGACGTTAATGTAGGGTGCTCTTTCAGGAAAAAAAAAAATCAAACTATCCCACTCTCCCTGGTTGTTCTACATCTGCATTTGGAGCCAGTTAAACTTTGCAAGATACTTCCGATTTCTCTGTTACTGTTCCCTTACACCTGCATTCCTTGTTCCCATTTTATTCCTAGCTTTCTCTTCACACCCAAGAGGTGACTCATTTCAGTGGTAAATGAACAAGAATATGCCCAAGGTTTGAAAATTTTCAAATGAGAGTGTTAAGTGAATGCAGAAGATTATACTTAAAATACCTGTCACAACTCAGGTGGCATCTGTTTCAAGAGCACAAATAATCCAATATTTTGTCGTCTCATCATTCACGGCTCTTTCAGAGAAAACAGAAAGCAGAAAAAGCTACAAGCGAAACCAAATAAACAAATTTTGGTTAGACAAGGGGGACAAACCAGGCTATTTTAAAACCTGAAAATGTAATCACCTTACTTGCTTATGTGAAATGCTCATGTTTTGACAAAGTTTTAAAGCCTGCATTTTCTGAATTAACATGGTTATCCAAATACCAGTTGATTTAAAGTGAGAATGATAGTGGTGAGAGTGAAGATGGCATAGCTACTATGCTATATATAAGCTACATGTAAAAAATTACACATTTACACACACATACAAACTTTTTAAGTGATTAGACAGGACTTCTTTAATTCGTATAATTAAAACAACCATATACATTTTGTTAGGGGCCAATGGATGCCTTTGGAGAATTTAAAATATATTAAAAATATAAATAATACAATTTATCTATTTTCTATATTTTATTTATATAAGCAAGACAAAATAGACATGTACATCTTCAAGGTTGCTATGCAAGTTGCTGAGATGCATGATTCTATATAATTCCATCACTCCCATACTTATATCAATATTTAGAAATTTGCTCTAGGGAGAGATTGATTTACCATATGTGGTGATAACAACCATTACAAACTCCCAATATTTCACAAACCACGATATAAATTGACTTTACTTCACACTCCTGGATGCCATTAGGCTCCTCCCCTACCAGGGAAATTGTTTCCATGGTAACTGAAAGAGAAAAAGCACAGGGAGGGAAAAAAGACACAAAAAGCTAACGAAATGAGATATCTATGGAATAAACCAAATATGGGAAAGTGTTGGATGTCATAACACTTTTATTGCTTCTAGACCCATATACACCTAAAGATGCTACTAAGGCCACACTGTCTGACAGACGAGTTGTAAAGGAAATTCTTTGCCTGAGGTTGGACTTGTTAAAATGGCCAACAATCAGCAGGGCTGCCTGCTATTTCCCATCGTAGAGGACGCTTTATAAATCAAGCCTGCTAAATCTTTCTATCCACCAACTCTGCAGAACCAGTGTGGACATGGTCATAATAATTCAGTGTATGGCAGATAGTTGGGTTGGAAGCAGAGCTGTTCACAGGGACAACGAATCACCCTTCGTAAGGTAGCTGCAGTCCTTGTTTCCACCTCACACAGAATTCTCTGGTGGGTGTCAAGTATTAAAATCCATTCAGATCTGTTGGGGCACTGAGGAAGCTCTCTTGAACGAAACATTAGGTTGCACCTGCTTGTATCTTTTTCCTCATGTTGCTGAAGTAAAATATGCAGCTAACGTAATTTAATTTTTATTAGATTCCGCATATATGTGGCTTTTAGAATGAACTCAGGGGAATGCACATTACTTATAAACATATACTTTTTAATTAATTTTTCTTTGTAATTCAAAGTAGATGTCTAGTGCATTCATGGAACGATATGGGCTCCCTCTGGGGGGCAATTTTAATACCTGCAATTCCCTAGCTTGTTAATCAAAGACTTTTTAGCCTTGTAGATAATTTATATCTGCTTAATGTTCAAAAGGTTGAAATTGCAGCAATATGAAAAAAAAATCCTTACCTCTGACAAAATCAGAAAAGATAAAAACCTCATGGACATTCTATAGAAATGAGAAATGTTAGAAATATTCTTTCTTTCTGAGCTGCATTCTGTGAAAATATTTTACAGCTTTATGAAGAAAATAAAAAGTATTTGTTTTTCCAGAAGACACAGTGAAATTGCTTGGCTTAAAATGCAGCAATGTCCAGGATTCCCCATCTCAGAACATGCCTATTTCCAGCAGTTTTGTATTTTGAAAAAATGCCTTTTTTGGTTCTTATAAAAATGTTATTGACCAAAAAGTTTCATAGAAGAAATTTAGATGCGAGGGTTTAGCTTAGGTTTTAGTTCATTTTTGCCAGCTCTAAAGCTCTCCTGTTGTGTTTATGTGTCCCCTGTTCATTAAGCTCAGTTTCAGCTGAGCATAGACCAGGTGATAAGAATGGATCCCACTGCACCCAAGGGAGTGACTTTAGACACAAAACTATAGAGAGGAGGTGCTGTGCATCACAGAAGTAAAGGGGATGGAATGTCATGTTCTCTCCATCTGTGTTCCATCTCCATGGTGTGGCACTGGCTCCAGCAGGTATGTGCATGGCTGTGTGGGTATTTGCACACATACAAGCACATTCACACTTGGACACATACTTGCATACATACATACATACATATACACACACTTTTTAAAATAGGAACACAGCTACATTTTAACTAAAAGTGGCAGCTCTACAATGGGGATAAGAAATAGAATTATGGACTCTCAGAGATGGAGGGAAGATTTGAGAATTTCCAGTCTAATCTTTCACAAGGTGGAATTTCCTATAGCAGCACTGGATGGGGGTAATTCAACCTAAACTTAGAACTCCGGGCATGGGAATCTCACTAGCATATGAGCCAGCCTAGAGCATCATGGGACAGCTGAAATTATTAGAAAGCTCTCCTTTTAACCAACGTTACATTTGCCTTTAAAAAAATTCTACTGTATTATGCTCTGAAGCCAAAGAGAATAGATTGATTTTCTTTTCCATGAAGCCTGAAAGTCCTCAAATATGTTTGAACACAATTGTTCTCTTACTTTTGAGCAAAACATTCTCCTTTGCCTCATTTGTTCCTCTCATGATAAGACTTCTAGAACCTTATTATCTTGGTTGACATAGTTAAACCTATTTGGCACCCAAACTCAATACTGTACTCCAGATACGTTTATAATTTACACGGACGAGAGTACACTGGACTCTGTTTTCATTTCTTACCACATGATGCTTTTATTGGTGCAATCTAAGATCAGGTGTTCTTATTTTCACAACCAGGTCATGCTGTCAGCTCACATTGAACTTGTAGTTACCCTAACCCTCCTAGATCTTTTTACTGCTTGACTTCTGGCCTTCCCATTCTGCACTAAGCCAGCTGACTTTCTGAAGCTAACTGCAGACCATTATGTTTATCATTGCTACAATTTATCTCAGAGGTTTTAAGCCTTTCTTTTAGCCTGTTCATATCATTTTCAATCTTAGTTCTATTATTTTAGTATTTGCAGTTAATTTTGGATTTTGAGTCAGTCACAGAGTTGGATGGGATATGATTTATGACTCAATATAACTCCTCAGTAAAATTTTACAGAGGCCCTGATGAAGAAATGATCTCTGGGCTGCTTCCAGAGACTTCTTTTGGAGGAACAGAAATATACACTCTCTGGTGTGAATCCACCTAGCTACGCTATCAGATCTTATTTGTACACTTTATCCATAAAGGGAAACTATGAAAGAGTTGTATAAATTCCTCTTGCAACTAAGGAATACTCTGATTCTCATTTACTGTTTGATGTGTATGTACAAGGAAAGAAAATGTGATTAGTTTGGTGTGACTGATATAGCTTGTGCTGTTTCCAATATTCTTTCTTTTTGTTTACTCCTTAGATTTAATGGGCATTTCTTCTTACTAGTATTTTTCTATGTTACAATTATCTCCCTCCATAGAAATTATTGTAAGAATCTTATCTGGGCTTTTTTCTCCCTCGTTTGAGACTTCTGCTAATGTAAGAAAATCTCCTGCCAAATGCATTCTTCCTGATCATCATTAAACACTGCCAGTTCCTTACTGAGAACCCAGGTTTCAGGCTCACCACCTATAGTCCAAAAAGCTAAATTCTATTTTTTAATACCATCTCTTTGGCCTGCTTGGAAGTCACTACATTCATAGGAATGAACTGATATTACCCATAACTTCAAGTCCTTTAAAATACTTTACTTTTAAATAACTATATTACCTCTTCGTGTAAATCTACAGAATTTGGAAAAATACCGATAGATTTGATGACTCTGGATAAGTCCTCTGTCCTTGAGGCTGTGGTTTCCGTGATGAAATTTAGTACTTCCAAGAGCTAGGTCGGGACATTGTGTTCTTGGCTGCCTTTCTTTCTGTGGTAGGAACTCTCTTCCAGTTGGTCAGGAGCTCAAATGGGATGAAAAGACAAGAGAAGGGATAAAGCAGCATGAGGTAAGAAAACCAGAGTGATTCTGGGTCCTGACTGAGCTGAGGGCTTACCAGTTACTCCACAGCCATGCAAGGCCATGGGTGCTAGGCAAAAGATAGCACGACCCTTCCCTGAGGCTCAGATAATCCCTCCAACTCCATATCACACCCAGCACCTCCTAATTCAGAACACTTGTCTCTGCTCTGGTGCTCCAGTTTCCAACCTGATTCCATGTGCCTTGTCTTGGACCGTCTAATTCACTCTCTCACATTGGGGCTTTCCCTGTGCTATCAGGTTTAATGCTAATTCCACTCTTGAAGTTATCTCTTAGATCTGTTATGTAATATTTTCAGGGGATCTTTTGATGCTATGGACATTTTGTGGCTCTGCATGTGAGGAATGAAGTGACAATTAGGGGATGAAGTAATTATTGCTTGGTAAATATTTGTTTAGATGACCTTTTTTTTCAGGACCACAATATACCAACGGTACCAAAGAGGCTATATCAAAATGGTTATTTCAAAACCTTTCTCCTGGCTCTCTGTTCAGCTTCTGACCTCAACTCCATTGAAGTGGGACTACCCTATATCACTTGACACACCTTGCTCCCAGGCCTAGCCCCAGGAACCCAGCTCTGAGTCCTGACTCCTGCTTGCTGAGGACAGGATATTCAATAATTACATGAAGCCATTGAGCTAGTTTTACACTATCTGACCACTCCCAGTTTCTTTGTTCTTATTATAGAGGGAAGAAAACCAAACTCTTTTTTATGCTGCTCACTATTCCTTTGCCAGCCCACATAAGGACAGAATCTGGGACAACCAACGCATGTTGGAAAGATTTGAGGGAGCATAAAAGCTCAAAAATGAAGACTGATGATACAAATGTAACAGTGGCTTGAGTTTGGGGCATCACAATATTCCATAGATTTATATAATTATTTTTGTATAAGAGTGCAGTAGCATTCAGGTGGCTAGGAAAGGTGTGGGACACTGCCAGGCATCAAGGATGGGCCACTGCAAGGGAAGAGGCTGTTTCTGTTGAGGATTACAGTGAGACTAAGCAATAGGAAATGGGGCAGTAGGAGGATATTTGATTCTGTTCCTGAGGGAGGTTAGAATTTTCTCATGCCCCAATCTTTTAAAGTTTTTTTTTGGTTTGGGTGTTTGTTTGTTTGTTTGTTTGTTTGTTTGTTTGTTTTAGATAGAGTCTCACTCTGTCACCCAGGCTGGAATGTCGTGGCTCAATCTTGACTCACTGCAACCTCCACCTCCCGGATTCAAGCAATTCTCCTGCCTCAGCCACCTGAGTAGCTAGGATTACAGGCGTGCACCACCACATCCCGCTAATTTTTGTATTTTTAATAGAGACGGGGTTTCATCATGTTGGTCAGGCTGGTCTTAAAGTCTTAATGTTGGGATTCCCTCAAACTGCTCAAGACAGTAAGGTGACTATACCTCCCAGGCAGATATTTCTGCGCTTTCATCTACTGCCCCTTGACTCACAAATGTGGATGTCCAGCCAAGACCCTCCCCTGAGTGACAAGGTGATCAATCTAACTCCCATGGATAACCTCAAAGGTGTCTAAAATTCAACGGCCCAGACTAGGATACTTGATTTACCTTCTTTTCTGAGCCTGCTCCCTAAGTCAGTAAATAGGGATTCCCTATATGAGTGAATAGCATCACCATCCATCTACAAGCAAAGTCAAAAACAGTAGTTCTTCATTCCTGCCACACCCACACCCAATTCAGCAGCAAGTGTTATTAGCACTTCCTCATAAATATTTCCTATTGCTCTGTAGGATTTCAACACACATGCCGCCTGAAGTTGTCCTACTTATTAATCTGCTCGCTTCTTTACTCAGTTATTATCTATCTCTTCCACATGTAAGTTCTATGAGAACAGAAGCTTGTATGTCTATTTCACCACCATGTCTCTTTTGTTTGAAACAGGGTGCTCAGTAAATACCTGATGAATGCGTGTAACACTGTGAAAATCACCTCTTCTTTAATTTCTAAATTCTCCTTATTTAAACAAGTTTAACAGTGCTTTCTGAATATCAACAAAATACAGTTTCTGAATATTAACAAAATACATGCAATCTTAGCTCACAATAACAGTAAAGAGAATTAGTGATTCAAATAAAAATTATTTAGTTACTGAAATTTGTGCGCTGACAATCATTGATTTGTAATAGGAAAATGTTTCTAGTCAATATTTTCATGAGAAACCGTTAATTTTTAATCTTCTGTAAGACATTATATGAGAGTTCAACTTGATGCAAAGTAAAGTGAGTGGCAAGAGAAATCGAATTCTCCCTCGATAGTCTTACCTCAGTACTTAGTTATAGATGTCCCTTGAAGGGATATAAAAAGTTATATGAAAAATCAATAGGAAACATTAATAAAGTATGATTTATAATCTGGAAGACATGATTTAACGAGATGATCTCAAAATCCATATTTGAACAGTTGTGTGCACAGTTCAAATAAAAATCTATGCATAAATCTATAAGCATGTAGATGAAAAACACTCAGTTTGAATGTATACCAAATTTGTACATATAAATATCAGTCAACAAAAGCTCATTCAGGTAGAATAAGCAGTAGGTAAAAAGCCAAAAGGCCTGGTAGCTAGCCAGTTGCTCATCAACCATTAATTAACTTGCCAGGCCTATAAAAACCAGTATAATTAAAGATATAATCACTAGAGTTTACTGAACAATTACTACACATCAGGCACTCCATTCAAAGCCCTTTACAAAGTATTAGTTCACTTAATTATCGAAATAATCTTATGAGAGTGCTGTAATAAAAATCCCTTTAACTAAAACCTCAAACCAAAAGACTTAAAGCAACAATTATTTATTATTAATTGCGATTTTGGGCTTGCTTGGTAGTTTCTCTCTGGTTTCTCCTAGGATCACTAGTGTAATTGCATTCCTCTGGAGGATTCACTGAGCTGGGAGGTTTAAGATGCTTAACTCATATATCTGATATCTGGCTTCTCTTTCAATAATCTTGGGCTTCTTCACAATATGGTGCTTTTAAAGCAAAAGCAGAATCTTCCAGGTCATTCACATAACATCATTTACTGTGCATTTTATTTGTCAAAACAAGTCACAGGGTTAACCCAGATTCGAAGAGATTACCCCCTTGGTCAAGAGGATTAGCAAAGTCACATTACACAGATGAGTATATAGTGGCATGGCAGACTTTGTGCTCATTAGACAATCAACCACAAATAAGTATTATTGTTATTTGTATTTTACAGATGAGAAACCTAACACATAGAGAGATATGGTAGCTTGCCCAAGGTCACAGCAAGTAAGTAGTGGTGCTGATATTTGAACCCAGGCTCTCTAGCTGTAAAACCAGCTAGAGATACCTTCAAAACAGCATTGGATGAGGTCATGAGACCTGACTCCTGGGACTCCCAAGGATAAGCCACTCTCCTACCCTACCTCTGTGTTTCATATTAACACAATAAAGAGGTTAGAGTTGAAGACCCTTAGGTATTGTCCAACTTGAAGATGGCATAGTCTTTCATTTTCATGAAGAAATTTTACACACACACACACACATGAGCTCACGTTTTTGTTTTCAGATTGAATCAATTCCTGTGTCTGTGCAAGTTTAAATCAATAACCTTGTTCACATACGCTTGCTTCTGCAGAACGAGGTCCGTGACACCCAACCCAGAGTTTCAGTGTGAGGATACATAATTGGAAATGAAAGTAATCACTTGATTTAAGGCATTTTTACTTTTTATATTTATTTCTCGTTTCCCACAATGGTGAAATTCATTATTAAGAATTATAATCTGCATAGATTTTTGGTATTATACAAATAAACAGTAAGATACTACCACAATGTATATGCTGAGATAACATTTTTGGGTGTGTCTGTTGTTCATAGAACAAACACTAAACTTAAACGTTGTTGTCTTTACATGTGTTCCCTCAGTGGCTTCTCTTTCTCTCCTTCAGGTCACCCTATCCCTCATTTATCTCCTGAACAATACCATGGATCTCCTTCAGCCTGCCAGATCCCTCTGCAGAGCCCCTCTCCCACAGAACACATCAGCCTAAGAGTGTTGATTTATAACCCCATTGTGCACCCTTCCTTAAGCAATGGTCCCGTGTCTCGAACTCTTTTTCTTTCTTTTTTTAAAAAACATTTTTAAAGTAATATATGGAAGTGTTTTTTTATTTTACTTTACATACAGAATGTGCAGGTTTGTTACCTAGATATATGTGTGGATGGTGGTTTGCTGCACCTATTGACCCGTCCTCTAAGTTCCCTCCCCTCGCCCCCCAACCCTGCAACAGGTCCCAGTGTGTGTTGTTCCCCTCGCTGTGTCCATATGTTCTCATTTCAAACCCTTTTCCAATATGACCTTGGCTCAGTTAACCATCATTTTGAGGATATATCTGATGAAGAAACTTATGTCATATTAATTTTCCCAATTTAGGAAAGCCAAAGATTAGGTAGTTGAGGGAGAAGATGATGTTAGTAAAAAGCAAACAAACAAAAACTTCAGAATCAAGAGTAGAATCTGAGTGTAGTGATATGTGGAATATTATTCAAGTATCTTTTACCCTATGATAAAAAGAGAAAATTAGACCAGATCAGTAGCTGGTTTTCAGAAACTAGGAATTTGTAGAACAAACAGAAGGAACAGATTTTGAGAAAGGAGAACGTGCAAGGCAGAAAAGTCCTTGCAACATCCGAGGTATTTACTCGGTCTACAAGGCCCCATGCAGGCTGGCCTGTATCTTGCCTCAGACTCCTTTCTACCATTCTTATGGTGAATGCCAGCTATCTTGGCTTCCTGCTGTGCCTCCAACCCTCAGGTTCCACCTCAGAGCCTTTATACTTTTCCTGTCTCTACCTGTCGTGCTGTCCCCCAGATGACCTCATAACCAGCTGCCTCCTCTCTTCTGAGTACACAGTTGGTACCTTCTCAATGATGCCTCCCTGCTCTTCCTGTCTGGTACCAAAACCTGTAACCCTCTGTCCCCAGCACTGCTGATCTCCTAGTTCAATATAACCTTCGAGTTTCTTCCACAGCATTTATTACCTTCTCATATATTGTATAATTTGCTGTCTTCATTACATGTAGTATTTATTTCCCTACTCTGAAACTTAGGGTGTAAGAGGGCATGAATTTTCATCTGTTGTAATAGGCTCCAAAAAAAAAATGTTCTTCATTTTTCATCCTTCTCTGTATTAGTCTGCTAGGTTTGCCATAACAAAATACCACGGACTGGGTGGCTTAAACAACAAACATTTATTTTCTCACAGCTCTGGAAACTAAAAGTCCAAGATCAAGGTGCCGGCAGGTTTATTTTCTCCCGAGGCTTCTCTCCTTGAATTGCAGATGGCCACCTTCGTGCTGTGTCCTCAGATGGTCTATTCCTGCAGAGCAGACTGAGACTGCAGCAATGATCTAGCAAAACATGACAGAGCTCGTGAGAGAGAGCCTGGCCTCAGCTATCTGCTATTCCTTTTTTCACAGGCACACATAGGAAGGTGTTTTGAAATTTGCAAAAGCTTATTTTAAAGGGAATAATAGATTAGACTGGTGAAGACTTTTGCTTAAGGCTCCAAATCCCTAGCAATAAATCCTTACCAATGAACTATAATCTCCATTAAAAGAGGTCATGGATATAAGCAAAACTCTACTGCCTACCATGACATCTGGCAAAAGCAGACTATTAATAAATATTTGCAGAATGAATGATTAAATGAATCAAGGGTTACAAAGAAAGGTAACAAACACTGAGAGACTCTCAAAAATATGCTGGAAATATCAGAGAAAGGCAGATTCCTTTCTAAATCTCCAGTCTCATTACTTGAAAGCAACCAATAATTTCTTTCATTTTTAAAGCACCCGTACAGATGCCCAACCAATATGCTGAACCATCAATTAAAATAAACTGTACAAAATGCCCACTCTGCAAAGTGTGCCTGCCTCTGGCACATGTTCCATTTCAACACTGGCATCACCAAAATAACTAATGTGGCTGTTCAGTTCTAGGGTCAGCAACTTGTTCTCTCAATTTCTAAATCCCAAGGCAAACAGCTTTGAGATGCTAGAATGAAGAAAGCTGAAAAGAAATTGCCAGTTCTTTTGTTGCCTTATTAAGTCTGGGGCATTCTATTTAATCACATCTTCCTCTAGGAGAAAGCAACTATTTGAAGAAAAATACATTCCTGGTATCTGAATGCTGTCTTTCAATAAGTAGCAAAGATCAAAGAGGATGTATTTTCTAATCTTTGAATATTAACAATGTCCCTTGTACTGCAAAATGGAATTACTTAGGGCTGTTACAGAGACCCCTGTAGTTTTGAGCATATAAATGAAATGTCTTAATACAGAATATGAAATTAATTGTAACATATTTAATATCCCTCAAATAAATTGGAAAGAACAAGATATTTGGCACTTGGATATTTATTTTAAACATTTTACCAAGTGCACAGGACCTTGTAATGTGTCTGTAATATTTAACAGAGATAAGATATCCTACCCAAGCTCAGCATTTTCTTCTCATGTTTGTAGTTTTTGTTATAAGAAAATTGGACAGTTTTATCACTAGGTGATATTTATTAACCAGGGTCTGGGAAAGGGGAAGAGACAGTTTACTGCTGGATCAGCATGTGGCCTGCCAAAAAAATAAAAGGACACTCATAGTCAGTGATTTTAATCTGTTGGTCAGTTCTTTTAGGAAAATGCAGAGAAAAGGTTCAGAGTACACAGTACTAAAGTGTATAACTTCTGTTTTATGATTTGCAAAGAGTAGGACACTCGTTGACTGGTGAATTTATTCTCTATGTTTGAAAGATAGCACTTTGATTTATTACCCAATGAAGATCTTCTCATTTTTGTAATCACCTTATCATTCCAAGAGGATTCCAGTGCATAGCTCATTTTTCCCTTCTTTCTGATGTCCCTTATACTTGTGCCTTTTAATCATAGGACACTTTGCCCAAGAATGTATTTTCAGAAAATTGAGATACACGTTCTGTATGGGTGAAGGCAACTGTGTCATCTACATTTTCCACGATTCATCCGTGCCCTTTGTTCTTGGACATGATAGAAAATCTGTTTTCACTCTCAATTGGAAAGCCAGCATGGGTTAGACCAGATGGCTGTTGACCTTCAGGCAATAGAGAATGGGAGAGATTCCCAACTGTTCTCATTACTCTGGGCAATGACCTCCTTTGGAGCAACAGCTTCAAGAAGCTGACACCTAGAAAACTTTCTCCTTGAACACTAGACTCTCTGCTAGTTGTTTGTTGAGAAGCTCTAGGTTGCCTAATTGTCCTAGTGTCAATGCCTTGTGCCATTGTTATATGCATTACCCTTTATCCGTTGAAGGCAAGCTGCTGACATTATAAAAGTCTTGATAAGTAAGTGAAGACATTTAAGTCTAGATGTCTGAGAATGTGAGAATTTTTTTCCAATTTTTATTTTCCTGTGCATGGGTCATAGCAGACACTCAATATGTGTGTGGGGGGGCGGGGAAGGGTGTTGAGGCTGTGATTGGTTGATTGAATGCTTAAAAGATAAATGTTCTAATTGTATTATTTGTAAGATAGTTGCAGAAAATGTATTCATACAGAAACATAACACATTGCAAGTATTGTCTCACTTTCTTTTCCAATAGTGCTAGTGACTTTTGCTAGACCAAGAATTTAGAACTACGTAACTAGTGAGTAGAGGAGATAGGACTTGATTAAGTCTCTCTGTCCAATTCTGATGCTCAAACGTTTAACTTACAATGTTCCTACTACTTCCTTTTTTGTTACCATGGGGAAATGACTAACTAGGATTAAATTTACATCCCCAAATCGTGGAATAATGTCTCTGTAAAATTTTGTCAAAAGCCCAACCCTACTCATTCTTTCTTTCTTTATATACTTTAAAGAAATAAATGGCTACATGTGACTTTTATCAGTGTACTGGCTACAAAGAATTGAAAGAGCTGATGAGTGCTTGACAGAGATTGGAATAAGAATATTTTTCTCTTCTATTTCTATCAGGTTGCCTTTTCGATCTGATCTGATCTGACATCTCCCCCCAGGACGTCTGAGTGTGCAGGGTTATCAGTCCTCTGTCTTGCTCCTATCATCTAGTCCAAGAAAAACTGGCATCTTGCTGGGCTGGGTCTATAGCTCTCTGGACTGCATATATTAAATGAATAAAACTGAAAGAATTAGGTCACTGGAGCAAGTGTATCCACTTATTGGGCCACAGATGAAGAGAAATCTCAAATTTGCCCTTCATTATAGAATGTATCTGAATCCAGTGTTATATCATATATTGGTTGAAATTGCAGACAGAACAGCCCTTTTCACCCACACAGTCACACAAATATAGCTTCTTGGCAAACTTACATTCACACACAAGGTGGCAGTAAGTAGAATTTTTTTATGTTGATCTTAAAACAATCCACTTCCTTACACCTTAGTGCCATAATTCTGTCACCTGGATCAGCAAAAGTAACGATTCTTCAGGAGGCAGAGCAGAATGAGATGAACCTTCCTGATGAAGAGAGAAAAAAAATCCCACAATCCCAGGTCTCAGTGGACAGAGGGACTGACGGAGTATCTTGTGGCTCGCTGGCACATTTGTGCTGGTCCACTGGAGGGTAAGCCCCAAGTTAGAACGAGTAAAAATATCCATTTAAGTCTTATCCTTATTGTTGGTTCCTCCATAGCAAAACTTTTGCAGGAAGCAAAGACCTTTCTTCCTTGTGCTGTGTCTTATTTCCCTGGCACCGCTCATCCTTCTGAGTATATCAGTTAACAAGTACTTACCAGTTTAAAGAAGGATTTTTGTTTATATAGCTACACACTCAAAACACAACCACTATATGTCTTAAAGGCCTCAGTTTTTTATCTTAAAAAAGTGAAATTGGGCACAATGTTATTTACTGGGTACTTTTGAAAAGACCAAATAATAGCTTTTCAATATATCCTGCATTAAGCAGCATCAAAATGATGCATGAAAATAGTATCTGACAATGACTCGGTAAGTGTGTGTGTGTGTGTGTGTGTATGTGTTTGTGTGTGTGTGTGTACATGGTTATAGCATGTTAATGTATCTGCCTATAGTTTAGACTTCATTCACAAAATTGTTCTGATCTGCTTAGGGATATTTTTACTAGAATTTATCTTTATTATTTGACACAAACCTATTCATTTCATAGTCATCACTTTAAAACTAACACAATTGTTATGAAACCATGTTGGATTTTGAAGGAAATTAACCAATCAATAATCAGATTTTTAAAAACCCATTTTTGAAAAAGTGTATATCTTGTTGCATTGCTAAGAAAACACCTCACAATACTTTTTTTCCTTTACTGAATAAAAGAGTTGTTTACAATGATGGCTTGCAGGGAAGACAAATACCCTCTTCCCTCTTCTGGCTATAATCCCATCAAAATTTCATTTGGCTAAGGGAAATAATAATAGATTTCAAGAGCCAACTCTTCCCTATTGGTTTTGGCTGCTTAGGATTTTGAGAAGAATTTTGAGGCTCCGTCCAGACAAGGAGGAAAAGTGTTGTTATCAATTAGTGATGTTGTCTTTGAGAGCACAAGTGGGTAATTAAGTCACATATGCCATATAGTTGGCATATTTGCTTTAAGGCTTTTCTTAAAGATAATCACTTCTATTGAGTTGAATCGTATGAAAAACAGTTGTATACAGTGAGTGATATAAATGGTTTACATTTATTGAATATCATGTTTTAAAGATTTAAATTTTTATATGGCACAAAATATAAGAAATGGCAGAAATTTCATCAGTTTAATAAGTAACTTTTGTATTGCCTTTTCCAGGTTACAGAGCACACTTTACAGACGTAATCTCATATGTGCACCAACAAGCCTATGAATAAAGTATCGTATTTTCCCTATTTATATATATTTGGTCTAAGACAGAAAAAAAAGCAATATTTTATCCAAAATTACACCAAGGATGAAAATGCATGCCTCACGAAAGTGGCAGAGTAAGGTTGTTGAAAACTCAAGGATCTTAAGAGAGGTATATTCTCTAATCATAAAGGCTCTAAAACAAGTCCGAGAGGATGCCTTTTGGACAATCCAGTGAACAGTTGATACTTAATTGTTCTACTATATGATCCAACCAAATCAAACAGCTTATAGTTCCACAGTAAAATAAAACGACACAAAACTATAATTTTTGACAATCTGTCCCTTTGTTCTGAAATGTCCCCTCCCCACTTTTACTATCTGGCTAGCTGCTACATATCATTCAAGACAATTCAGGATTTTTGACAGCCTTACTTCTTCCTTCCCACAACTGGAATCCATTTCCATCTTCTATACATTGATCAACCAGGAATCTTCTACCACAACCTCACACCAGGAAGCTTTGATTTCTGCCCATCTTCTTAGTGTTCTCCTGGGAGGAAAATATGGAGTTTTATATTTTATTAGATTACCAGAACATCAATGGGCCATATGGAATCACCATGCTTTAAAATACCCAAAGATATGCTTGATGCATTTTTCTTTATCTCTCTTGAAAATTCCCATTTTCTTATCTCCATGGGGTAAGTGGTACTTAGAAGGACCTAGCTGCTGGGGGCCAACCAGGGAAGCTTTCTCATCTACTCCATGGAGGTGGATGGGTTATTAGTTACAAAGATTTTGCTTTTCTCTTTCTTTTTTTCCCCTCACTCTTTCTCTGCTTCCAGAGATTGGCTATAAAATTCAGAATATGGAGTCAAGAGAATGTCTTTACTTGGAGTCCCCACTTAAATCTTTAGGCACAAGAAACACTCTCTAATCCAAGTTCAATGGAAACTCTTTATTAAAATATTAGAGAGCTGAAAAAGTCACCATGACACTTATTCCACTAGTGTGGGTTGTGGTAGTAATTCATCTAGGAAAGATTATTGACATGGAAGGCGGTGGTCATTCTGGATTCCCTGGCTATAATAGCATCCAATAACTACAAATCCCCAAGATCGTAATACTCCTTAGATAGATTTCTATAAATGTATTTACCAATTAATCAGAATAAAGTAAAACTTGCAACTAAAAACTCACTAACTTACCATAACCTTTTTCTTCAATTTTTCTTAACTTTTCAAGATGTTATTCAATTTGATTCATTTGGTTATTTGATGTAGTAATCTCCTTCATGATACCCTATTAACACAATTTAAAGTCGTATCGAAGTTTTTGAGCCAATTCACCAAAATGTATAAATATATTTCCCCTGTAGTTTTGAGACAATGAGGGGATCGTCACATGTTTAGTGGGAAGGTCACTATACACAACTGTTAGTTCCTCTCATACGTTCTGTTTCACTGCTGTTATTATCCTGATGTGTAGTAAAACAGTGGTGCTGTGGAAAAGCCAAAGAGCTAAGATATCGATTCAGCCCCATCATTATTTCTTTTCCTTCTATTACATTTCTTCAGAATTCATCTTTCTTTGCAAAACATATAAACTAGACCAGATAGGATTCACCTCACCTTTACCCTGCTTGTTTGTAGATAATTTTTAAATGACTACAAAAGCAAAGAAAAATATTATAAGCGAAATATCAAGATTGAGAACATTTAAGTGTCTGTGCTAATACGTGGCAAATATAGTTAATTATAGGTAAATGCAAAATAATGAGCTTTCCAGTAAAGAATATAACATTGGAAACATCTGCCTAATGGAAAAGTGCTGCAGCATTCTGATTAGAAACACATTTGAGAAGTTGCTACAAAATTGTATCCATTTAGCCTTTAGACGATGCAGAATTGCAGAGAAAGGGGGAGTTAAATTACTAAAACAAAGTATTGTAAATCAAAGGTAGAATTATGCAAACAAAGTATGCATTTGTTCTTAGAAAATACAGAGTGTGGGTCACTTTGTTTTTAAATCAAGATATCAAAATTATTCGAAATGGGCCACCTGCTGGGTCCAAAATGACTAGAAATTTCAAAACAAGTTATATGAAATTGGAAGATACACTAATTTATAGAAATAGTAAAGTAATTCCATTGGAAATAAATGAAAAGTAAAGAGACTCAATGTTACAGTATTGGAAAAAGGGGAAAAAAGTGTAAAACTTCCCAAAGTTACATAAATTTAAATGTGTTTTAAAAATCCCTTGAAGCAAGATAATCAGTAAAATAAGAATACAGTTAAATACTTTCCAAGCCAGGATTACAGAATCCTGAATGGAACAAATCAGACTGTAGTAGGAAATTCAATGGATCCAAATTAACTATTAGTTTTTCAGCTTTTGAAATGACACTGATATATTTTCAGTTAATCCATAAATAAGGTGAGCTGCTTTGCTAACCCCAAGACTACCAGTTGTATGAATAAGGATTTATTGAGAAAATCCTTAGCCATAGTACAAATGTACTACCCCAAGTATAGGACTGAAATATTGCAAAATTTACTTAATTTGCATCTAAATAATTAAAATATGAGATTTGTAAGACTTGTGTCTCAAAGGGAAAATGTTAGATAACCTAATATATGATCAGAAATATTGAACAAAATGGTTTTTTTTGTTCACAAAAAAGTGAAAACTTCCCTAGCTAAAATGTAAGTCATAAGAGTCCCATTGTTGTGTCAGACCTATCTTTTCTATTTTCAGAAAAAGTATGAGTAAATTAACAAATTTATTTAAAGGAAAAAACACAAATCTTCATCAAAAAATTAAACTTTCTTATTTCATGAATTATGTTTATAATTTCCTGAGATCTCATCTGAATTCTTGTTCTATCCATTAGTTTTCACATACAGATAAAAGTATTTCATATTTATCATAGCTACAGAACATTTCTAACTACTTAGCAGATGGTTAAACTTCAGCTTTCCCAAAACACTTTTTACAATTTCAATACATATTTTCTATGCCGTCATTGCTGATTTTTAGATAAATGTCCATTCTGTTTGCTGTCATTGATTACCACAATACAATAGTATGGACATTAACAAGCAGCCGCCAAACATATACCTACCCACATTGTTTGAAAAAAAAAAAAGAGCCACAAAGTCTGGATATTTGAAGGAAAAGACAGGACTTCTATTCAATTTTATTTAAATTGATTTAGTGGTTATTTTTCCAGTGTCTATTTTGTACAAGGCAGTTTGATTTCTAAAACATGCCCCTAAAAGTCCACAAAATGGATAATCCCAACTCAGATCATCAAATGTTGGGCAGCTTTCACGTCCTTTGCTATGGGGGTTATCATGGCTTCCCCAGTCTAATCAACATTTCTTCAGAGGTGCATCGGGGGCTTTTTATCTGACTCACATGTCTGTGGGGTTAGTGCTGTTGGTGCTGAGAAAAGGCCAGCAACATGGGTAACCTACAAAAATTGATCTTGATATCATAGTATAGGCCTGAAAAAAGCTCCCAGTACTTGCATCCCACTTTTTCCATTTGCCCTTTAGAATCTGCGTGTCCAGAGTGTGGGCTGGAGATGAAGGCTGGGCGAATGAGAGGAGCATTTACAGAGCATCTCCCTCTGCTTTTCAGACTGAATCCTGAAACAGCTGCTCAATGCTCTTTTATGTTTATTATCTCTCCGAGCTCCTTAATCCTCCCAACATCTCTATGAGGCAGGCTGTACTATTATCCTCAACGTACAAATGGGTGAAGTTTGAGAAAATGAATCATCTGTCCCTGCAAAGCTGTGCTTATCTCCTCATGGGTTTCATCAGGGCCACCTGGTATGTGGTTCAGTCTCAGGGGTGGGCCAGCCAGCGCCCTGGGGAAGAAGAAGAAATAGGAAAACTTGATCTATGTCTTTTGCTGAAAGGAAATACTGGTAGACAACTTCACTACAGAGTTATCTTTTTCTCCTACAAAAACGTAACCTTGACTAACTCATAGCCCCTCTCTAACCTTGGACATAGAGGCAGTGTGAGAACTCTCGCTGATTTTTCTCCTGATATTTTTCCATGTCCTCTCTACAAAGGGAATACGGTGTTCACTATCTAAATCTCCAAACAACTAGCTAGGGGTTGGTAAATTTAATCTGGTCAAGTATTTGTCTTTTCTAAGAAATTATCCCAATTTCTGTGTTTGGTGCTGCCTGTTTTTTTTGTTTTTGTTTTTGCTTTTGTTTTTCCATTCATTTGACAAATGTTTACCCAGCACCTACTGTGCTTCCTATATTGTTTCTCACATCAAGGATCTAAAAAAAGAAAAGCTTCCTGCAGTTATGACATTGATTTTCTATGAAATGAAATAACTAATAAATATGGTGCAATAAGGTAAACTACATGATCAAGATAAGTACAAGATATCATGAGAATGTGAAGAAATGAAACTAAAACAGAAAAAGATCAGAGAAATACTTTCAGGAATTTTGAAGGGTAAGAAGGAGAATTGGTAAAAGAACAAAGCTGTGGGTAAGTTCCTGGGATGTTATTATGACTAGTGAACATTTATAGAATCCCAAGAGAAGATGAAAGTAGAGAGGAAGACAGAAACCCTGATATGAAATATGAATTTTATCCTGAGGGCAGTGGAGAGCCATTGAAGGATTTAAAAAGGGAGATACATTTGATACAGATCATTCTGACAGCAATGTGAAGAATGGGTTTGAAGAAGGAGACCTCATGTATTAAGTAGTAACTGACACAATTATGATAGAAACGTAAAGTCACTACCATTGAACATGAAAATTATTTGTAAGCTAGAAAAAGTGATTCTTCTGCCCTTTCAATAACTATGCAAACCAGTGTTGATAAATGAGTTATCTATTTCAGTCATAACTGATCATACTTAATGTCATATGTTTTCTGCAGGTTAAATGTTGCTTCAAAGTTTGAATACACTCTGGCTTCTCAACCTCCTTGTATCTAACTCTTAATGGTATTTATATGTTTACCAAGAAGTATATGTTGCCTTTGAAAAAACACCTGACTTGTAAGTAGAGGCAAAACCCAGCAACTCATATAAAGGGGGAAATCTGATAAGAATGTCATTATATACCCTGTACATATTCAGCCAGATATTGGACATTATTTGCATATTGTTGTACATATTTTTAAAAAATCTAAGCCAAGCATGATGGCTCACATCTGTAGTCCCAGCTACGTAGGAGACTGAAGCAGAAGGATCACTTCAGCCCAGTAGTTCAAGGCTGAAGTGAACTATGATCCTGCCACTGCACTCCAGCCTGAGTGACAAAGCGAGACTCCTTCTCTCAAAAAAGAAAATCTAGTGGTCATAGAATTCGGGCAAAATTTTATATGAAGGAAAATGTGTTCCAGACTGTAACGAAGTCCAGACACTGTGTAAAGTATTTGTTCTCTAGGTTAAAATTTGTCATTTATAAATGGAAATATAGATTCTATACACGGCCTGATTTTTGAACTCAAGTTAATTAGGGCAATGTCTGACATAATATGTTATCTACATTTTGCAGAAGAAGAGCAATTAAGATTCAGAGAGAGTAATTTTCCAAGGGTAACACAGCAAGGAAATGATAAAACTGACTCTAAGTCCATATACTTGCTTCCACATCAAACATATTATTTGTAAAGTGCTTTGTGTTCTACAAAATGCTTCCATATACATTTTCTTATTTGGTCCATTCTGTAGGTGAGAAAGTTGAATACAGTAGCTATAAAAATATTACATCACTTGGATATAACTACAGGTATAAGGGCAAGAAGAACTGAGCAAAGCAGTGAAATCCCATTTTCAGAATAGAGATTTTGCCTCCTTCCCCCTATATTCTATTCCTCTGGAATATATTTATAGAAAATAAAGATAAGAAATTACATGAAAGTATACTGAGAGAAAGGGAAAGACAGTGGTCTCAGGTATTGTGACTTTTCTGCCATTGTGATTTATTCTTGAGATGTGCAACCCTACATAAAAGCTTCCTTCTACGAACAGTCAATGAAGAGCCCTCTTGTATTGAACTACAGAAAAACAAAGGTAGAACCATTGAATACAGGCAAACGATTTTAAAAGTGGCTCTCAGTATTTGCATTTTATATAAAAATTAGAGCTCCATACACCTATGTGAATTCACACACACACACACACACCCCATGTGTACCTTCTGTTATTTCTTCTAAAAATCCAAAAAGATGTGAAGAATGAAGATTTCTATAAATTTTGTTAAATAATCATACCCCGTAAACATAAGCTATGCAATACTAAGAAATAAAAGTCTTAGGTTTTCTGGGTTTTTTTCCTCTGATGACTAAACAAATTTAGTCAATTATTTGATGACTTTGAATGACTTTATTTTCTAGCAAGCATTAATAGGAAAATGGATTTTAAGTTGAAATAACAATTGGAAAACAACAACAACAAAAATCCCTGTAACAATATTAAAGGTATCAACTAGTGCTTCCACAATAACTTCATCAGTTTATAAGATATCTACAATATTAAAATAAAATGGACATGCGTGAGTTCTAGTTCTGTTTCTGTCACTTCTTAATTTGTTACTTTAGGCTAGTCTTCTCGATATTACTTGTCTATTAAAAAGAAATGATAATTTCTTCCAAGTGTATCCCGTGAGTTTTTTTTTAACAAACAATATGATGTATCTAAAAAAGCCTTGCAATCTATGAAATGCCACCATATAATATGTTGTTATTATTGCTGTTGTTTACTTATTTAGATTGAACTATTTTTTGCTCAATATGGTCTTCTCAAGGGTTAAACATTTGACAATGCAGAGTATTTTCATTACATTGATAAAGACCTCATGGGTATAAGTGCATTAATTCAAAAGCAGAGATAAGCAATTAAAAAAATTAGGACCAAAAACTTCTTGTTTCTGACAATTATATATGAAAATATGTTCATTTCCCATACTTTTTGTGTGTGTGTGTGTGAGAGAGTCTCACTCTGTCACCCAGGCTGTGGTGCAGTGGCGCGATCTCGGCTCACTGCAAGCTCCGCCTCCCGGGTTCACGCCATTCTCCTGCCTCAGCTTCCCGAGTAGCTGGGACTACAGGTGCCCACCACCATGCCCGGATAATTATTTTGTATTTTTAGTAGAGACGGGTTTTCACCGTGTTACCCAGGAAGGTCTCGATCTCCTGAGCTCATGATCCGCACGCCTCGACCTCCCAAAGTGCTGGGATTACAGGCATGAGCCACTGCGCCCAGCCATGTTCTTTGCTTTTATAGTTTCTTAGTCGTCTTAATTCTAACTACTTTCAACTATACACAAGTTCAACAACATACGCTCATGGACAGATTTGAAATACTTTTGGACTGGCCTTTGAGGTCTCAATCTTCCAAAGCTGCCTGTTTTACCATAACCTCCCTTCTTCTAGTCCTCAGTTTCTCTCATCTCTACCAACCTATTCTTCAAGGCCAGCAGTTCCTTGACCTTTTCGTTGCTACTTGATCAGAGTCTTCTTGCTCCACTATTGAGCAATTAAACCATGGTCTATCTTTAGAATCACTCATCATTAACTCTTACTTTTCTTACTCCCTTTTCTTTTTACTCTACTGATCCAGACCATTCCTAGAGTTGAATCCCAATAGTTATGCAGGGATAGGCCTCAGGCAAACGTCTCTATACCCATACATCACTATACCTATACAGCTGCTGGACAACATTGTCACACAGATTGATGACACAAACAAATTACAGTTTTCAACCTAAGTGGTACACTGAATTAAGTAAGACTGTTTTCGGACTCTGAAGCTAATTGAACCTCATTTTATGTTCATCATGTATCACTCTATTATAACATGTGTCATATTATGATCCACACAGAGATAGCACTTTTACTTACTCCCTCTTTGCTAATGCCAAAAGCTTCATTTCAAAGGCAGCTACCTCCGTGTACCTCAAAGAGCTACCACACATCCCTGTCCTCATACTTCTCTTCCAAAACTTCCCACTGTCCTTGGTTTCTTCAGTCTCTGTCCCTTTGGCTTGGTACCACTCTCTCTGTCTATTGAACATCTTTTTCTGTCAACAAGACAGTTCCTTGACCCTACATCCAAAAGGCTGATAGGCTGATATCCCTCCCCAGTTGAGACTTTCACAGAGATCAGGACACCAGGCCTCAGCCTGCCTGGGAGTGGTGATTGGACATATTTATTACAATTACCTGTTTATGTATCTGTATCTCCTACAAGACATTGAGACACTTGAGATCAACAACTGCAGTTGAAGTTTAAAACATAGGCGTTAAACTCCATAAAATAAGGTTGTATTATTCAGGGTTCCCTAGAAGAACAGAACTAATAGGATATATATATACACACACATATATATATATACATATATATACACACATATATATACATATATACACATATATATACATATATACACATATATACATATATACACACATATATACATATATACACATATATACACATATACACATATATATACACATATATACATATATACACATATATATACATACATATACATATATATACACATATATATACATATATACACATATATATACACATATATATCTAATAGGAGATATATATATATCTAATAGGAGAGATATATATATATAGGAGTTTAATAAGTATTAATTTACATGATCACAGGGTCCCACAATAGGCTGTCTGCAAGTTTGAGGAGCAAGGAGAGCCATCCCATGTCTCAAAACTGAAGAACTTGGAGTCCGATGTTGGAGGGCCGGAAGTATCCAGCACAGGAGAAAGATGTAGGCTGGGAGGCTAGGCCAATCTTGCCTTTCAAGTTTTTCTGCCGGTTTTATATTCACTTACAGCTGATTACATTGTGTCCACCAGATTAAGGGTGAGTTGGTCGTCCCCAGCCCACTGACTCAAATGTTAATCTCCTTTGGCAACACCCTCGAAGACACACCCAGGATCAATGCTTTGCATCCTTCAATACAATCAAGTTGACACTCAGTATTAACTATCACAAATGTCTTCTGTGGACAACCTGCTTCAAATTCACCTTGGATTTTTTAAAATGCCCTTTCCTGGACCCTACCCAATTTCCATCATATTGCTGTCATGGGGCTGAGACGGAAACATGTGGACAAGTTCCCTAGGTGGTTCTTATGCACTGTTTGGGAAGCTCTGCTCTCAAGACACATGTATAACAGTGGTGAGAAAGTAAGTGCTTTAGGAGATCCAAGCAGGCTATAAAAATGTAGAAGTAAGGGTGGCTTCTGGGTTGATGAAAAAGCTCCTAGTATTTGGGTCTGGAAGATTGTTGGGTCCTCAATAAGATGGATTCAGAATTGCTAAACCTTTTAATTTCCTGATGCCAGAAACCTGAATTTCTGTGTGAAATCTGATTATTTCCATTCAATGGCATATTATTCACAATTTGCTTAAAAAACTCTTTGAAGTAAACATGTCTCCAGCCAGATTGTAATTCTGATTTTAGAGCAGTATAATCGAGTGTAACCAGAAAACAAAAGTATTTGAGGACCAAGCAAGGAAGGAGGGACACTTAATTGAAAGAGTCCAAAAGGAAGGAGAACTATGAGGAAGAGGTCAAGAGAAGAGAAGATTACAAATGAGGGATGGTCAGCAGTGGCAGGTGGCAGGAAGAGGTCAAGCAGGATGAAGACTGAAAATAGACAATTGGCAATTAGGAGGTCACTGGTGACTTTGGGGACAGCACTTTCAGAGTTATAGGGCAGAAGCCAGAGTGTAATGGGCTGACGATGGGTGGGATTAAAATAGAGAGAGAAACATCAAGTCTAGATTATTCTTTCCAAACATATTGCAGTGACATTAAGGAGGGAGATAATGTAGTGCATTGGGAGAGTGGAGCAGTACAAACAAAGCTGCTTTTGTAACTATTGAAATATAACATAGAAATCTGAGCAAATCCCCAGGTGTATACCTCAGTGAATTCTCCCAAAGCAGACAACTCTTTAACAAAGTTTAAGACACAGAACATCAGAATGTCACCAGCATCACAGAATCCCTCCTCACACATCTCTGTCATGATTCTGTTCTTCATCACCATCAGAAATTGCTCTCCTGATCTTTAATGTCATAGATAATATTGCCTTTTGTAAACTTTGTGCAAATGAAATCATAGAGTATGTAATCTTTTGTGTCCATTTATGTAACTCACAATAATGTTCTTAAGATTCATCCACATTATTGCATATATCTAGTGTTCATTTATTTCCATTGCTATATAATATGGACAAATTACAATGTGGCATTTGGGATTGATTTCTCCTTTTCCCAATTGTGAATAGTGCTGCTATATATACTTAGTATGGCTTTATGCACATATGCATGCCCTCTCCTGATTATATGCCTACAAGTGGAATTGCTGGGTCATAAGTTAAGCATATGTTCAAATGCATAAATAATTTTCCATTTTTCAAGTAATTATACAATTTATATTTATATCTGCATTCTCATCATCAGCATATAGGAGATCCTATTGCTCCTTACTTTGTAGTATTTAGTATTATCTTTCTTAATATTAGTTACGTGGTGTTTTATAATGTTGTTTCATTGTGAATTTTTGCATTTTCTTGATGATCTGTCAAGTCAGGCCACCTTGCATATGTTTGCTGGCCATTTGGTTATCTTCTCTTCATTAAAGTGCCTACTCATCTCAAGTCTTTGCCCATTTTTTTTCTATTGAGTGATCTGAATTGTTTATTATTGAATTAAAGAGGATTTCTTTATATATTCTTCAAATGTATTAAAAGGTACAAGTTTCCCTTTTTTGTTACATATACTACAAATATTTTCTCCCACTCTGAACATTTATTTTCACTCTTATTGGTGCCTTGTGATGAACAAAAGATCTTAATTTAACACAGTCAAATTTGTCAATCTTTTCTTTACGTTTAGTGCCATAAATCCTGTAGCTCTTATAGTAAGTCTTGATGTCTAGTAGAGTATCATTTTTTTACCCTGCTTTTCTTTTCTAAATGTGTCTTTACTATTCTTGGCCATTGCATTCCAATATAAACTTTAGAACTAAATTATCAACTTAGACACTGACATACATGAGCATGCGTGAGCGCACACACACACACAAATAAAACCAGCTGTCATTTTTATCAAATTTTATAGAATTTACGGACCTATTTGAGAATTTACCTATTTTTAACATTAAGTCTTCTAGTCTATAAACATACACCTTCATCTATTTAGGTCTCTTTTACTTTCTCCAAATATATTTTATAGCTATCTATGCAGAGCTCTTTCAAAATTTTTGTTAAATTTATTCTAAAAATTTTTGGTGTACTTTGATGCTCCTGTAAATTGTATAAGTTTTTAAATGTTACTTTCTAGTTGTTAATTGAAACCTTGGTAAAGTCACCTATTAATCTTAATAATCTATTTGTAAATTTTAATATTTTTTGCATAAACATTCAGGTCATTTAAAAATGATGAGAGTTTTCTTTCTTTGCTTCTAATCTTTACCCTATAGTGTCGTTCCTCGCTTTTCAAACTCTCTGAAACTTCCCTACAATGTTGAAAAGATGGATGGTAACTGTCATACTTCCCTTGGTCCTGACCTCGGGTGGAAAAACCTTAAATGTTTCCCCATTAGTTCTGCTTAGATTATGGATTTTTAACCTTTCCTCTTTCTAATTAATAAATTTAAGGTTTTAGCTACTTCTCATTGGTTTTTATATGAAATAATTCAAAATCCGTTTAAAATTTTCATTCTATTTTCTCTTTTAACCAATTATCAATATAGAAGTGTTTAAATTTTCAAAACGTAGGGATTTTCTAGTTATCTTATTATTTATTTTTAAATTTCACCATGATCAGAGATCATATTAAGTATAATTTAAACTGTTAGATATATGTAAAGATTTACTGTTTAGTGCAGGATATGGTTAATATTTGTAAAAGCTTTATGTACATTTGGAAAAAATATGGGTTCTTCAGTTTTTTAATGCAATATTCTATCTATGTCATTTAGGTCAACTTTGTTAATTATGTTATTTAAATCTATAGTCATATTAACATTTTTCAGATTATTCTATCTATTCGAGAGAGAAAGGTATTAAAACATCTTTCTATAATTGCCAATATGCCTATTTCATCTGTAGTTCTGTTCATTTTTTGTACATATGAGTCCACATTATTAGTTGAATGCTATTTTAATATTATTGTATATTTCCAGTGAATCAAATTTTTTGTTATTAGAAAAGTTGACAAGACATTATGATTATTTTATGCCATTATATTTATTTTTATTGCTCAAATACTTCTTATTTTTGGCTTTTATTTCTTCCTGTATCTTAGATTATTTGCCTTGTGCCTGAAGAGTTCTCTTTTGATTGCATCTTTGTGGCAATTTTGCCCAGGTTTTCTTCATCTGAAAAGGTTTTAATATCACCTTTATTTTTTAAGGACATATGCATTGCATATAGAATTTAATGCTGGCAATTATTATCTTCTAGCACATTAAAGACAGCATTTCTTTGTATTTTAGTTTCCTTTTTATATGTTGGCAAATGGACTGTTTCCTGATTGTGGCTCCTTTCAAACTAATGTGTCTTTTCATCTCTGCATGTTTTTATCACATTTGTCTTCACATTTTTTCAATAGTTTTTCTATGTGTGCCTACTTGTGATTTTCCTTGCGTTGATCCAGCTTAGATCAGTAGGGTTCACAGTGCTTCTTGAATTTGTGTTTTATTTCTTTCCTCAGCTTTAGAAAATCCCCAGTTATTATTTCGAAAACATTTCCTCTATTTTTAGACTTCAATTGCATGTATTTTTACTGTATATCCTGTCTTTTATGCTTTCTTGTCTTTTTTTAATCTTTCCATCCTTTTGTATGTCTCTGTTTCCTTGTGACTGTTTTCTTCTGCTCTGTCTTCTAGTTCTCCAGTCCCCTTTTCAACTATCTCTTCTGCTCTTATTCCCAACTACTGAATTAATTTTGATTAAGGAAATTTTCAGTTTGAGAGTTTTAATTTGTTTGTTACTTATCATTTTCAGTTCTATGTAAAATTCTCAAACTTTTTTCATTTCCATGATCATACTAGGCATAATTAGTTTAAAATCTTTGTCAGATAATCTCATTATCAGGATCTCCTGTGAATCATTTTCTATTATGTTCCTTTTTCTTATAATTTTTATCAAGTTGTTTTGTTTCTTCATTTGCCTGAACATTTTTGATTAGGTGCTGATCATCATCTATGAAAAACAGTAGAAACAATTTAAAACCTGAAATTATTTTCCTATGCACCAGAGCAGATTTATCTTTATTTCTAGCAGGTGGCTAAGGACCTTCACAATCTTAGGTCATCTTAATATAAACCGAGTCTGAGATAACTTAAAGCTGACTTTAGGTCCCTGTAAAGGAAGGTTTATTTCTGCCTTAATCTTACTCTTGAATACTGACCTTTGGTTTTCAATGTAAAGGCTGAACAGTATATCAAGAGATCAAGTTAAAAAAAAAAGATCTTGGACAAGGATGTTGGTAGCAGTAGAACTAGTAGGTAGTGGTTATGTTGAAAATATATTTCACAGATTGAAACAAGAAGATTTGCTGGCGAATTCAATCTCGAAAGAAGTAAAAACAATTTTTCCTAAGTTTCTCACTTAGGAATTGAATACCATGTACTCAGATAAATAGGAATAACGGAAGAATGCACTTGGTGAATGAGTATCAAGAATGTTATTGTAAACGTGTTAAGTGTTGAGAGGTTTATGATACATCTGTTATTTACCATATAAATACACAGTAGCAATAACATGACTTTACCATCCTATCTACTAGAAAATATATCTACTTACAGTGCAATCATGGGTAAACCATCTTTATCTGAAACTTGTAAGAGTTCTTATTCTAACAATTACCACAACTGAGATTATGGCACCATTGACATGATCTATCTAATAAATATATTCCTGCCTGAGAGGACATCTCTCATGTCTTCTCAAAGTAACTTCTGCTGTATTAGTTGCTACTCCATGTATGATATAGAAGGGAGAGAAATACACTCTAAGACTGGGAATAAAGAGGGGAAGAATTGTGAGTCAGACTTTAGCTGACAGGTACTCAAAACATGCAATAGAGAGTGAGGAAGTGCCAAGCTGAAGATCCTAAGCAGCATCTACCATGGACTCCTTAAGCCCTGGAAATGTATCTGACCTATAGGTACCATCTCAAGAAGCATCAAAGGATAATGAATGGCTGCAAATTTGAGTTGACAACACTGTGAAGTTATTTGTTTGTTTTTATTTTTGCAAACACAAATCCACAGGATCTTGTATAACATTTTCTCTAACAGTAACCTTCTAAAAGATTATATTATCCTATTGTGGAGGGTCATCTGAATGGAATTTTCCCTCTCTTTAGGGATCGAGAGGAATATTTTGTCTAAGTTACATCAGTAGTACAAGTGTATTACATCTTGAAATGTATTTCTTACCCACAATTAGCTCAGACGGCATAGGCATCAAAAGACTGAAGGTTTAATTTTCCAAAGCTGTTTCCAGCATTGCCATGAAACTATACTGCTGATCCTTCCACTGATTCAACATCTGAGAGTAGAAGTACCTCTTATCACTTTAGTTTATATACACAAATTTAAGAAACTAAAGGATATAAAAGACTCCAGAAAAATAATACTCTATCTCTTCATTACTATTATGCTCCCTGTTTCAAAGTGCAGAATAGATAAGAGGGTAACTGAAACCTAGAGGAGAATATGGTAAAACAAAAGACTTAGAAAGTAGTTAGAAGAGAGAAATTGAAATGTTCCTGACACATAGAAATGATAAATACTCAAGGTGATGGATATTCCAGATATTCTGACTTGATCATTACGCATTCTATGCATATAACAAAATATGACTTATACCCTATAAATATTTAAATATTATGTATCTATAATTATTGCTTGTTAGTATTTTTAATATGGGATTCCGTAGGTACTTGTCTGTGTCATAGAACAACCATAAATATTTCTTATTTTCCCAAAAAATAAACACTGTATTTTCCTCCCACTTTTCCAACTTCTGTAATTTAGGAAACAGGCCAAAAAAGGGTGATATGCGATGACAAATCTGTTCATAGCCAATTTCTCTCATTTAAATTTAAAAAATAAACAAAAATCAATAGATGATATCTCCCTGGAAAACAAATTCACTGAAACTGAAAGTAAATGAACAAGTATTTGTTCTTTTTACAACAATCTATAATGTTAATTTTAGATGCATAACTAATATTTAAAGGGATAACCACATCAGCGATCGGGTTTGGGAATTCTTTGCTAACATGACCAGCTCAATACTAAAATCCTAGAGGGCAAAAATTTTAATGAATTTGGTTTGCGTTGGGTTTTGTTTAAATCTATCACAATCAAACCTATTATTGAAAATGTTGGGTCACCATTTGATATCTCTTGCTAGTTGTATATTTTACAATTGTCCCTTCATTTTGTCAACAATACAGAAAATCTACATGTTGCATAAAAAGAACAATTATTTTTCTTTTTAAACAAAGAAATTAGATCAGAATGATTCCTGTCCCAAAGATCATATTATAGGAAGCTTATACGTAGCTTTCCAATCTTTCTTCCATGAGATTCTATATGCTAGTGAGAACATATTAGAACAAGAAATAATTTGACATAAGGCAGTTTTGGCAATAGAGTGAAACAATGGCTTTTGCCAAGGACACCTGGAGTGAAATTGTAAAGAAGTTATATGAGATGAAATGAATTTTATCCATGCTGTAACATTCAATCTACATCTTTTCTGATAAGAAAGAGAAAAAATATTGGAATACTTTATCATGTATTTAACATTAAAGGAGATAGTTAAACCAATAGACTAAGTAATAATTACACTTCTGTCATTTGCTATAGATGCTATATAATTTAACTCTTACATTTTTAAATGATCAATTTTCCCCTGTAATATACTTTGAACAATCACTTCCTCATTCTATTGGTTAAAAGCTAGAAGAAAAATTTGCTGTAGTAACTTGGGTTCATTTTTCTTAAAAAGAATACATGCAAACTTGGGGTATCAAAAATCAATATTTTACATAGAAAGTATGAGAAGAGGGTAGCAGATTTCATGTCTATGTGCACACAAACACATACATGCAAGGACATGTATACATGCACACACACTCACACATCCTCCACTTGCTGTATTTACAGCATGGAGCCTTATCTTTTCACTGTTGGAACATCCAGGGCAGCACAGAACTTATATCTCCCTTACAAAGTTACAAAACACACAATTATTACTCTATAAAGTGAATTGTGTATCGTGTTTTTGTGGTTATTCAGTTAACTAAAATGTACTTTCAGGTTTTTAAAAATAATATCTAGAATATTTGAAATAACTAAAAAAGGAAAAATCCAATAGAATTGAAAAAGGATACATTATTGTTTCTGCCAATGTATTAGCCCAGCACTTTTCAATAAAAATGTAATGTGAACCACGTATGTAATTTAAAATTTTCTAGTAACCACATTAAAAAACAAATATGAAAAATAAAAAAGTGAAACATATTAATAATACATTTTATTTAGCTCAAGATAGACAAAATATATTCATTTCAATGTATAGTCAATATAAAAATTATTGAGCCATCTTGTGTGTTCTTTCAGATTAGCCTTCAAAATCCAGCGTGTAAATTACCCTTACAGCACATCTTACTTTGAACTAGCTTTATTTCAAGTGCTCAGGAGCCACATGAGGTGTAGTCCTATGAAGACTAGTGTTGATTCCCAAATCAACACCGTTTCTTAATCTCTCTCCTAATTTCCTCACTCATATTCCCAACTGCTACCATTCATCTCCAACTACACAGAATATACCATGGCTGATAGTAATATTTTTGTCCTCCTTCTCCAAATTAATTGCTTCACCTCTTAGATTCCCTGATTTTGGTTACTAACCATTCTGGCATTACTAACCACACTCTCATAGTTGTACAAATTAAAAATATGAAGGATGTTCTCCACTTTTCCTTCTCCCTCATGCATCTTCAATTTAATGTAGGTCAAAGACATACTGAATTTGCACCCTCTTGTGTTTTCCCACTGTCTTTACCTTGCTAAAACCTTAAACATAGATATCTAAATTCTTGAAGACTTCCCAATTCTTCTCGCTATCATTCATCCATCCCAAATTCTTCAGATCACGATCTACACTGAAGGGAAACTGGTCCCTTGAACAAATGTGCTATTAACTTTAAAAAATTAAAATTGAGGCCGGGTGCACTGGCTCACACTTGTAATCCCAGCACTTCGGGAGGCCAAGGCAGGCAGATCACCTGAGGTCAGGAGTTCAAGACCACCCTGGCCAACATGGTGAAACCCCGTCTCTACTAAAAATACAAAAATTAGCCGGGTGTGGTTGTGCATGCCTGTGTAAACTCAGCTACTCAGGGGGCTGAGGCAGGAGAATTGCTTGAACCTGGGAGGCGGAGGTTGCAGTGAGCCTTGCACCATTATACTCCAGCCTGGGCGACAGCAAGACACCATCTCAAAAAAAAAAAAAATTAAAATTGAATTATACTACTCTCTTAAATAAGTCCTACAGATTCTTTTAGCTATATATTTTATTTTAAAAAGTTGCATTTTCTCTATGTATTAATTGTTAGAGATACAGCAGCAAACAGTACAATTTTCTTCCTGTTTTCAAGGAGCTCAAAGTATAGTGTCTATGGCATGCCCACTCAAAAAAAATTTTTTAAATATGCACCCAGACTATATTTCCAGTTGCCCTGTTCAAGTAGACACTTTTACTAGGTTGAGCAACCAAGCCCCAAATCATCATCTTTAGTGATCTAAGACTTTCAACACATATTTTCATCAAAATCACTAGACACGAAGTCACTGATTTCAAGGCACATCAAACTTTTTTCTTAGGTAGGTAATGAATATTCTAGTTTATTACTGTACGAAGCTAAGATTTTGTACATAAATCATTAAAGGGAAAAGAAATGGTTCTAATTTTAAACAAGAGTGTTAAATGCTATTTTCTGATTACGTTTTATGTATCAACCACAATAATATTGGACTGTGGTCTCTTATACTTATTATACTCTTAAATTTATCTTTTACCTTATTTATTTGTTTCAATTTCCTCATTTCTGCCCAGTTCTAATCCACCTTTATTGTATTGTTTTCTCGCTTGTTTTTACTCCTATAGAAATTCTACAAAATAATAACCTTTGGGTTATGAGAAATAATATATCTTTTGGGGTACATATTCCACTCAATAAAATCCATGAGAATCACACTACAAAGTTGGATAACTCTTAAGGCACTTTGTTACAGAGTAAAATGTACTATTACCTTATGTATGGGCTTATTCAAAGAACATAAATGAGAAGCATTTCAGAAAATCTGAATATATTGGAATAAGATGAATAAATTGCATATAATGGCATTTAAATTTATCTTTACCTCAAAAAACATGATTGCCAGCCAGGCGCGGTGGCTCATGCCTGTAAACCCAACACTTTGGGAAGCCGAGGAGGGCGGATCATGAGGTCAAGAGATCGAGACCATCCTGGCCAACTTGGTGAAACCCCATCTCTATTAAAAATACAAAAAAAAAAGGAAGTAGCTGGATGTGGTGGCATGTGCCTGTAATCCCAGCTACTCGGGAGGCTGAGGCAGGAGAATCGCTTGAACCCAGGAGGCAGAGATTGCAGTGAGCCAAGATTACGCCACTGCACTCCATCCTGGCAGCAGAGAGAGACTCTGTCTCAAAAAGAAAAAAAGAAAAAGAAAGGATTGTCTAGTTTTATATTAAAACTAGTTATAGCTAACAATTCGTTTTGCTTAACAGAATCCTGGTTGAAACAATACTGAGATGCTGTGTTCTTGCTGTTACTGTTATTTCTTTTTCTTATTTTGTCATTGCCTACATAATCATTATTTAATCAAGCAAACAACCAAAATATTATGATAAAATCTCTTTGTTTTTCTGACCCTATTTATGTTATGTTTGGCCTTTTATTATGATTGATGCTAATCTGAAAAAGTAGCTGATAGCAGAAAGTTAGAAAGAAGAGATGAAACTCTCATAGAGCCCTTCTGAGGGGCAAGTATCACTCTGCCCAGTATTTTCTGAATTTTTTTTCCAATTTATCTCCATGAATACTCCTGGGGTACTAGTCAGGATACATTAATATCTGTAAGAAGCAATCCCAAAATCTCACTGGCTTTAATGTAATAAGTAATTATTTCTCACTCACGTTGTTATTTAACATGTATCAAAAAAGTGAGAATAGAAGAACTAAAATTCCATTGAAGCATTCAGGAACCCATGTTCTTTCTACCTAATAGTTCTGCCATCCCTTGGGGCTTCTTTTTTCTTCGGTAGATCTTTTGGATGTTGCTGGAGCACAAAGAAATTAAGAGTGGGGAGCAAAGTGGAGGAAGTTTTATGAGCCAGGCTTGGAAATGGTGAACTTCACTTCCGATACTTCATTGGCCAGAATGCAATTACAGGATCTTGGAAGTATAGCATTCTTGGATGCCAAGGAGGAAAAAGAAAAGGTTTTTGCATACAAAGCTGTATTTATGGCATGTGAGGAAGTCAATATTTTTATTTTCATTTTGTAAAAGAGAATAAGAGATATTAAGTACCTTGTCCAAAATCACACAGCTAATAGAGACAACGATAGAATTCAAACTTCAGTTGTCTGACCTTAAAGCCATTTCTCTTTCTACAGTTTGTTTCAGGCTGATTATTCCTTTCTTAGACCTTCCAAAATAATGGGGAGACAGTGGCTGCTCTATTCTCACTCCATTACTCTTTTTAGTAACTTATTTGATTGATGTCTTTGAAACAAGCACTCAAGCATGCTTGACACAGTCCTTCTAACCCGTTTAGAGCAGCCAGGCTTCAGAATATTCTTGTTCATCTCCCTGCTATATGAGAAGTGCCTGCCTAGTCAGGGACACCTCACAGCTCTGCCTGAGATTAGGGTTGGGAATGAAGAGGAAGTTTTAGGTCATGAATCCAAACCACTTCCCCCAATAAAAATTTTCAGTAATATAATTTATATCTTAATCTTTTCATCTTGATTTTATCTCCCTAATGATTCCAAACTCCTGAGGGGGCAGAATAGGGTATTTTTAGCCTTATAGTCATCTACTCTTGTATTTATTTTTCTCTAGAGTAACAATTTATTAAAGTGCAAAATGAAAGTGAATGTATGTCTAAGGTGACTAACTCTTTCCCAGAAGGAAATGTAGTTATTGGTAAGTCCAGGATAACTAAAACAATAGAGGATTTTTATATATTACACCATACTTAATGGTTTTATTTTTAGTTGTGCTATTTGACCTTGAATATAGCCAGTAATAAAGCAGTACCTTGAAATGGGTGGCAGGTAACAGAAATAAAACCAAGAAGAGATTAGTCTTAGTTTGGAATGCATACAAGCATGAACTCAGCATGAACAGGTGATTAATTCAGATCCCTGACATGAGAGGGGAAGAAACTGAAGCTTGGAGAGACCAGACTAGGCAAAAAGTTTGTGGCAAAAGAGGAATGAGGACAAGAACCCTCTGAGACTTGGTCCAGTTTTCATTACTTAATTGTTGAAAGCAAACCTATTCGTTAGCAGTACTTAAATCACTTGTACCGAAAGAACATATCCAACATACGCTCAATGGCAGAGGGTTAATATTTCACTTTAGTAAACCCATGAAGTGAATCTAAATGCAATTAATTAGGGCTGGACTTCAGATTATATTTTTAATGAGATTATTATTTTTACAGTGGAAAACAAATTTAAGTAACACTCTCTAGGCCATATTATAAGTGCAAAGCTGAGCTAGGAAATAAGCTAAAAGTCCCTGTCTATCCCTTATAAGTACAACATAATAAAATTCATTATAATAGCATTCTAGTTTGGCCATAAAACCATAACAAACCATACTTACATGAAAAATAAAGTAACTAATATTTTGCCTAGTTAAACTATAGTAAATTGGTTCTAGTAATAACAACACCATAATAATCATACTGAAAAACAGCTACATGTTACAATACATATATTTACTACACTATTATAATAATTGTAGTTCCACCATAGATTTCTTTCATACAAAAGCTAAATTTACTCCAGTAATTGCATTTTCTTTTTCTTCTGCATAATTATAAATATAAAAGTGTAACTTTTGATGTGATGTATGAAAGGTTCAAATTTATTTTTTTACCATTATTAAAATATTTAGAATTAAGTATCATTATTTGAAAAAAAAAAAACAAAATTTTTCCCAGAACAAATATGTTGGTCCCTGTGTAAGAATAGAAATTTTTTGTAGGATGTCAAAATAAAAAATAAAAGTTAATGATGAAATTTAAGCATAAAAAATAGTTTCATATAAAGGGGAACAACACACACTGGGGCCTATGAGAGGGTGGAGGGTGGGAGGAGGAAGAGAATCAGGAAAAATCACTAAGGGGTACTAAGCTTAATTCCTGGGTGATTAAATAATCTGCATAACATGCCCCCTTGACACATGTCTACCTGTGTAACTTAAAATACACAGGTACTCCTGAACTTAAAATAAAAGTTAAAAAAAAGTCAGTTATATATAGAATACAGAATAACCTGAAATAACTGCACTTAACAGAAAATAAGTTATTTAATCTATTTTATATCATCTCCACAAGAAGACCAGCTTTTCCCCAAGTGTTAACATGGACCCATGAACCTGGACTCTGCCTGCTTCTCCAGCCCTCAGAGAACAATGAGGGCTTCCCAGGAATTTGTAAGAAAAAAAGTTGACCTAAAGGAGCTCATCAACATGCTCTGGGGAATGTCATACACTGCTGAACAGCAATGAGCCTAGGAAGAAACCCAAACAACTTCTTGGCCGTGGCTAATCTTAGCTCATTAAGTATAGACATCTATTATGAGAATTCAGTTCTGCAAAGTTTTAATTAAAGAAACTTCAGCTTCTACAGAAAGCAAAGTTCCTCTTCCTCTGTCCTTCAACTAGAGTGTTCATACTGTGCCACAGACTAGCCTGATGCTCATCAAATCTGTTTCCATTTCCTGAACATAAACTCTACTGTCCAGCCTGTTGATGATTAGGAGGGGTTCACAGGACTAGGCCAAAAGAACATGGGTGGAGCTGGATTTTGCCACTTCCAGGATGATGTGCTTGTGATCCTCACTGTGCTGCTTCCTTTTTATAGTAAGTAAACATGTAGCTCTAAGAGATGAAAAGTGCCCAAGTCTCTAAGTCTCCTGCTCACAAGAGTGCTTCCCAACCCACATGGGCTGTTACTTGAGCATGCAATTAATCCTTACTGCATTATGCCACTGAGAATCTGGGGATGTTTGTTACAGCACTTAACCTTTTTTGACATAAGAAGCCAAATGCCAGTGACCTCTCTACATTCTGCTTTAACACTATTGGTAGAAGCAGTCACAGAAAACAATTTATTATATTATTTTTTCTCTCTTTCTTTCCTCCCTTCCTTTTTTAATCTCTCTCTCTCCCTCCATCTTTTCCCCTTTCCTTTCTTTCTTGCTTCTTCCCATTTCTTTTCTTCCTTGTGAATGGAGCTGGGTAGGTAGAGGGCTGCAATTCTCCCTCATCCCTTATCTCCATGTTTTTCCTTTCTTTCACTTCTCAGTACTATCTCATTACTTGTGTTTTGAATTATATTTAGAATAATACTGTAAACTCAAACATATAATGTTTTGATTGTAACCTACAAAGAACCTCTGTCAAATATCTATACAAATCTAGCACAGAGATTTAAGCAATAAAAGGTTTACGTATAAACTGTCTAAATAGCTTAAGGATGTATTGCAACTGAGAATTTCTCATTATTTAACACTACTTAAAGTAAGGGAGAAAAACACCAGTGATTTTAATTTCGAGATCTATAATTCCTAAGGCAGAAAAAAAGAATTATGTTTCATTCTGTTTACAGGGTCTTTTTTTCCCTGTGATTTCCTGCCTACTGCTTGTTTTCAGAACTTGCATTGCATTGTCTTCAATTCAGCTTCATGTGCACACCCCCGGCTCTGCAGTTCAAGATGATCTTTTTTCTTTTTGCAAGAGAATTCACATATCCAGCTGCCCATCCCCATATAGCTGCTGTATTTTATATGAGTTGTTTCAGAATATTCCCACAATTGAAATGGGTTATCTCACTGTCTTCCCATTGCTTTTGTTTTCTTAAACAGAATTCATCTTACCATACCTCTTACAGCCTATTACTAAGTATTATCCAGAACATACAAATATCTATCAGGGACATTCTTTCTTTAGTAAATTTCCTCTGAAGAAAAACCTTGATAGAAGAAAAAGCAGTAAAGCCTCAGGTGCAATATAGGTATATGTATCAAGCTAGGTTATTATTTTTCAAAATTATCTAGAAGAAGTACATTTTCTACAGAAACTGTTAAAAGCCAGCTTTGCTCTAAATGAAGTTTAGATTTTTTTTATACATAGCTAACATAAAATATAACAATTAACATCTGGTTAATTGGTTTGTAAGTCAGAAGCATGGGAAGCCCAGCCCACTGCTTCATGTCTCTCCTCCCCAACCTGAAGCAAACACTGTAGGTTATCCTGTAGGTGGTCCCTGAGAGCGACGCTTTATAATCCTTACCACAGTATTAAATGCAGTTGTGATCAACTGATCAGAATTAAGCCTCAAATTAAATCCTACTTGCTATATCTTGATTACAGAATTACTGAATATGAGCTTTAAGATCAGAAAGGCCTATGTTCAAATCTCTGCCACTAACTTGTTGCTAAACAAGAGGACATTTGGGGCATTACTACTAACTGGTGGCAGCTTGACAACTGGCCTCTAGAAGTGAGCCTAGAACATGGTGTGAGGCTGACACCCATCTTTCTCTTTGTTTTGCTCAGCCCCCTTTGGGGCAAGAAGGTAGCCTCAGAAGGTAAAGTCAAGTCTAGCTCAGGCACATGCCATCTCATGGATCCAGAGCCCTGACTATTTTCCTTTATCAAACACATTTCAGATTTGCTGGCATTTTTTAAAACCCCTAATGCAAAAAGTCTTATTTTCATCCACCCTTAGATGGAGGAACTGCCAGCACATCTACTGAAGGGTGGCTATACTTATGTCCAGGGAATTTATATCTGTCCTTCTTATGATATCAATCAAAATGTGACCTACTTGGGGGACTTCTTTTGCTATAGCAAAATACTCATACATGTGCAAATGTGCATGCACACATGAAACTTCAGCTCCTGCTACCTATGTCAATTACCTAAAGCAAAGTCCTGCAAATGATCAAGTGTAACATACATGTTACTTCACTTGTCTTTATGAGGGTATCTATTGTTTACTGCTCTTCAAACTACTTCATACTTTATCACAGGGGCTTGTGGCACGATGTCTCAACCAAACAATTCTACTCCACTTAAGATAGATAGTTGAGATTCTAGGTAATTGGATTTAGAAATGGAGATCTCTGATCACTAGGAATAGGCTTATGAGGGAGTTTCCTTTAAATGATTTTTTTCTTAATTATGTAAATGCAAGGGACAAATAACTACCTCTAGTATTCAGAGAACAATGGAATAAGAAGGTTCATAAATTTGGTTTTTTAGAATGCCATGAACAATTTACATAAGATACTCAGGAGCTTTCAGACATAAGGAAATCCATTAGGGAGGATATAGATGTTCCACTGAAGGCCCAATGTCAAGGAAGAGCAATAATGCTCCTAAAATAAAAACTACCTTAGAAGCGAAATAATTTAGATTAACGTCCTGCTTTCTCTACAAGTCTAAATTAAGTGTTTTTTGAAGAGAGTTTTTGTATGTTTTTTGTTACCGTAAATGCCAGGTTCTGGAAGCTTCTACTCACCCAGCCACTCTGTACAATTGTGGGAGCTTAGAAAACAATGGCCAAGCTTGGGAGTGTGTATTAGTCTGATCTCATGCTGCTAATAAAGACATACTTGAGACTGGGTAATTTATAAAGGAAAGAGGTTTAATGGACTCACAATTCCACATGGTGGGGGAGGCCTCGCAATCATGGTGGAAGACGAAGGAAGAGCAAAGGGACTTCTTACATGGCAGCAGGCAAAAGAGCATGTGCATGGGAACTCTCATTTATAAAACAATCAGGTCTCTTGAGACTTATTCACTATCACATGAACAGCATGGGAGGGACCCGTCTGCAGGATTCAATTACCTCTTGCCGGTCTCTCCCACAACACTTGGGAATTCAAGATAAGATTTGGGGGGAGACACAGCCAAACCATATCATTCTGCCCCTGGCCCCTCCCAAATCCCATGCCCTCACATTACAAAACCAATCATGCCTTCTCAACAGTCCCCCAAAGTTTTAACTCATTTCAGCATTAACTCAAAAGTTCACAGTCCAAAGTCTCATCTGAGACAAGGCAAGTCCCTTCCGCCTATAAGCTTGTAAAATCAAAAGCAAGTTCGTTACTTCCTGTATAGAATGGGGGTACAAGCATTGGGTAAATGTTTCTGTTCTAGATGGGAGAAATCGGCCAACGCAAAGAGTCTACAGGCCTCGTGCAAATCCAAAACACAGTAGGGCAGTCATTAAATCTTAAAGCTCTAAAATGATCTCCTTTGACTCGATGTCTCACATCCAGGTCATGCTGCAAAAGGTGGGCTCCCATGCAGCTCTGCCCCCATGGCTTTGCAGGTACAGCACCACTCTTACTGTTTTCATGGGCTGGCTTGAGTGTCTGCGGCTTTTCTAGGTACATAGTGCAAGCTGTCTGTGGATCTACAATTCTGGGGTCTAGAGGACGGTGGCCCTCTTCTCACAACTCCACTAGGCAGTGCCCCAGTAGGGACTCTGTAAAAGGGTTCTGACCCCACATGTCCCTTTCATACTGCCCTAGCAGAGGTTATCCATGAAAGAAATAATAATAGGACCTATATTATAGGCTTGATGTGAGGACTGAATGACTGTATCTATCTATCTATCTATCTATCTATCTATTTATTTATTTTTGGAGACAGGGTCTCACTCTGTCGCCCAAGCTGAGTTGCAGTGGCTGTATCATAGCTCACTGCAGCCTTAAACTCCTGGGCTCATAATCCTCCCACCTCAGCCTACCAAAGTGCTAGGATTACAAACATGCCTGGCCACTAACTGTATTTGTTTAAGCTCTTAGATTGATGCCTGGCACATTATAATCATTATTATTATTATTATTGTTGTCATGGTTATTAACAGTAGCAGCGGTAGTGGCAGTAGCTTTGTGTTACTTGTCTTTATTAAAGAAGTGACACTAGACCTTACTTCCCAGATAAAAGGGATTGTAGACTGAGAGAAATCTGAAGAATGGAAAGGAGAAAACAATTGTTCAAATTGGGACAAGTAATTGAAAGTACAAATATGTTAATTTGGGATAACTAATTTAGAGAAATAAATTTTTTCAAGCAGTTTATACATTTAGTCAATATGCAAAACAAATTTTTAAATAAATACATAAAGAACTTTGTAAAACAGAAGTCTATGTTTCATTATGTCTCTATTGGATACCCCTCCTCAGGTTAATAATGCCTTTGGGTTAAAATATGAGCTGTCCACCAAATAACATACTCTCCACACCTCTGCAGTCACAGAGTAGGAGGATACAGAAAGTTAGCTTACAGCCACCAATTGTTAATTATTGAACAAGACAATAGTAATAATTACCATACCTCAAAGAAAGTAAATATAGTATAGTTTGCTATCTTGATTCTGTTAAGTGAGCATGGGCTCTGGTCTGACTGTAAGAACTATAGTCACAAAAATAAGTTGAAAAGCTGAGAGAAGTGATGGTTTTTCTATGGCTTTTGGCATTAACTTCCTCTTTGGACTCATTTTCTTCTATATAATGACTTTAGTCGGAAGTTACAGTGAAAAAAGGGAAATGCAAAAATACTAGTTTTTGTGTCCTGCAAGGTGTAAACAGGGAAAAAATGAAGTTTTTTTTAGAAAGATAGACATGCACATAGATTTTAGAAGAAATTTTTTTGTGTGTGTTTACACTAATAGTCTACAAGGGTGCTCATTTAGTTGTTTTCTGTAACTACTATCAAATTTGGCAGTTCTTTTCTCTCAAGTGATCTATTCTTCTTTTTGTTGTTGTTGTTGTTTGTTTGTTTTTTTCAGTGATTGAGAAAAGGGGTCCAAATACCAAAACAATTGCTGGTTCAAAAACTAATTAATTACCTGATTTTTTAAAAAAACAATTATTTTGAGACCACATTAAAAAATTACACAAAGAGTATGTCCCAACTCAGAAGAAAGCGAAAAATGACTAATGATCTTACCGCATTCAGAATACAAGGATTTGTCAATGAATCATTATTCTTTGGCTTGCTCAAACTCTTTAAAATTGGGCCCATTTTTCTTTCTCCATTTTTCCATTGGCACTGTCTGCTAATTTTAAATTTTCACTTTTTTTGTGTTGAAGGGGAGTGATTTTCATATAACCTTTCAATGACACAAAAGAGAAACTAGAGTTTTCAGTTTGGATAAGGTAGTGCTTCAAATTAGTAACTGTATCTCATATCAGCAGCTATGCTTAGAAACAAACTCCTGCCAAGTCCAAGTGACCAATGGTAATGACAAAGGGGAAAGAGAAATAAAGGCACATGCAAAAAAAAAAAAAGAGCCAGAGCCTCCCACAGAAGGGAAAAAGAGAGGACTGACAGTGTTAAAGAAAATGAAGTTACTATGCCACTGTTTTTTTAATGAGGAATAATATGTATTCATACAAACACAACTGCTAAAAGGATGAGGACACTGTACAGAGTTGTCTTATTGTAATGCATGTTTTAATGCATGAGTATCATAGGCTCTTCTATTAGGATATTTTAGGCCAGTCATCATATCCTGATCTTATTGGAACAAACTGTTTACACTGACTATTAGAATATATAGTATTTTCTTTCTACTTTTGTAAGCATTGTTTTTTTCTAATTACAAAAGTCATATTTTCACATTGGAGAAAATTAAGACCTTACAGAAAAGGATGAAGCAAAAAGAAATCAATAATAATCTCACAGTCCAGAGATGACTTTGTTGGCATTTCACCTTTTTTTCTTACACATGTATGTATATGTATGTGCACACTTAATATAAAAACTTAGAAAACATTTTGATTGTTTTTAAAACTCAATTTTATCACAGAATGGGTAGGTAGTTATTGTAGGAAAACTAGAAAATGTGAGAAAAGCTTTTAAAAAGAAAAATTACTAATAATTCTACTATCCATATATTTGGGTATTTTGGTCCAGACTTTTTTTTTTTTTTTTTTTTTTTTTGAGATGGAGTCTCGCTCTGTCACCAGGCTGGAGTGCAGTGGTGCAATCTCAGCTCACTGCAACTTCTGACTCCCTGGTTCAAGCGAATCTCCTGCCTCAGCCTCCCGAGTAGCTGGGATTACAGGCATGTGCCACCATGCCTGGCTAATTTTTGTATTTTTAGTAGAGACGGGATTTCACCATGTTGGCCAGGATGGCCTCAATTTCCTGACCTCATGATCCACCTGCCTCAGTCTCCCAAAGTGCTGGGATTACAGGCGTGAGCCACTATACCCAGCCTTAACCTACTCTTAATTTAACAATACGTAATGTATATTTGACCAAGTCATCAATTATGTTCCTATAACATGTCTGTTAATGGCTAAATAACATTCTACTGAATAGCTATACAATCATTTAGCCAATATACTGTAGGATATTTGAGTTATGTAAATGATCATTTTCTAACACTTTTTTAATAATAGGTTGTTGTACATTGAGGGTTGTGTGTATGTGATTGGGAGCAGTATGTGATAGGCATATCTAGTCTTCAATCAGAGAACCAAGAGATTCAATTGGTGCTTGGATCTAACTCAATGCCAACAATGCTACACCGGCCTGGCTGCCATTGACTGAGTTTTTAACAGTAGGACTTGCTAAACAACAACTAAAAAAATAGCAACTTTGGTGCAGAGCAGCCACCCTTGGCCCAAAAAGAAAGGTCTGTATTAGCCCCTTTCTCCTGTACAACAGCACTCACTAAATTCACATCTAGAATAGGAGGGGCACTTGGCATTTCATAATCTAACATCATTTCATAAATGCCCATACGCAAGCTCACACTGATCACTGGAATTAATTACTACTCACAGCAACTGTCTGAAGTCACTTTCTCTTTCCAAGTTCTGTAAATGGAAAAAATAAATAGACACAAGACAAGTGGGCTTTCATAAAACAATAGAGGAAATCAAAAGCAAAATGCCCTTACTATTTCTTTTGCTTCCTCATTTAGAAAGGAATTAAAACTAAAATGAGAAACTTAAATGAGAAAGCATGTTAAGAATGTTTTTCTGAGAGGAAAACAGAGAGAGAGGCTTACTATTACAGAGAGGTTTACTCTTTTCAAAAGCATCTGGGAGATCAGGACACAAACCTAAACAATTTATTTAATCAAATCTATCAAAATATTAGTTAATTTTAACTGTATCATCAAACTGGTCATTAGTGTTCATTAGATAAAAACCCCAAGGAAGGGAATGTGCTTGTGTTCCTGTAAATGTGTAGTATACAATTTCTACCTTTTATTGCACTTTGTGATTAAGCCAATGAATAATTTTTAATCAAGTAAACAAAAAAATACTAGTTAAATTGAACAATATGATCAAATGGTCTTCAGTATTGATTTAAGCCCCAGTGATGAGGATTACTGTGTGCAAATATAGGTATGTGCAGAATGTATATAGTATAATTGCTTTTTCCATTTTAAATTCACATATATCTTCCCATTTGAAAGAAAAATGCTGCTCTATCTATAATGCTGCCTAAGACTATCGCCTCTTCTTTCCAAATACCTGAAGAACAGACAAAGTCTGGGGTCTTCCCTGTAGAAATCCTACTGGACAATATTTCTAATACCGACCATTCAACCAAATCAAACTCCTTTTCTTCCGTCAGAATCATTTAAAAATTCAGTCAAAATAATTAAACTAGAATCTTCAAAGGACAACATTCTAAAGTCTTTGTAGGTTTTATAGAACAGAAACAATTTCATTTTAAAGGCAAAAGATTCAGTGAAAGAGAAAGTATAGAAGAATCCTCACAGCAACAGTACTCAACTAAAAATAAGCAGCAGAGATTCAGCCATGTGGAAGAGTTTCTACCTTACAAATCCTTAAGGGTTTGAATAAGAGAGCTTAGAATAATAGCTGTGTGTGGCGCAGTGGAGGAAGTAACACAGCGTATGGTTGGGTTAGGATGTGTCCAGTCAAGTTGTTGTTCCTTTCCTCTGTCAGAGAAACAGGATTCTTGAGCTGTAGAAGGAAAAAAAAAAGCTGGTTATATTTCTGTGCAGTACTGACGATGCTTATTATTCTTTGTTCCTAATATATAGAGGCGCAATGCTGCTAAGAGCCATGGGCTTTAGAACTAGGAGAGCTGGGTTTAAATCCAAGCATAGCAACTGTGTGGTCTTGCTGGGGCTTACAGCTCTGAATTTCAGCTTCTTTCCTTGTGAAATAAAAATGGTAATGCCTGTCCACCTTTCAGGGCAGATATAAGTAGTAAATGATACACTAAGCGTGGGGAAAAGCATAGCACACCACCAGGTATCTGCTAGATATTCAACACATGTTAGCTTTTTTCTTTCCTTTTTTAAAACACACTTTATGACTTGGGCATTTCTTAATTTTCTGCATTATCAAGTTCAAAGCATTCCCTTTGTTTATCCATGTTTTTCCCGTACTTCACCCTGTTTATCATCACTTGATACATATTTACTTGTTTGTTCTCTACTTTCTGCCATTAGAACACTAGCTACAAGAGGTCAGGAACTTTGTTCAATGCCGAATCTTCACCACTGAAAAATATGTCTATCACGTTGTGAGCGTTCAAGAGATATTTGTTGAAATAAAGAATAAATGGCTTATAAATTTGTTTCATTTAAAGCTGTTTCAAGCATTTCTTACTAAAATAGTCGACAACAACACACCCATTTGTAAATAATATGTACATGAATAGTTATCCTGATATATGCGTTTACAGTTCCATACAAAATTAATAGTGCCTTGAACATAATCAACATTTAATCAATATTTGTGAAACATTTAGTAATAAGCTTCTTATTCAACCAATATATATGCATGAGCATGTCTTGAGATGGCAGAAAAGCATCATTCCTCATTTTTGTCCAGAGAAATTAGTGCTCTTTGTGGAGATAAAATACTACAACCATGTATTGCCTAATTACATATATTCATAATTTACCATAACAAGTACTGCAGGAGTCTTGTGAAATACAATAACCTGAAATTGAGTTGTCATGCATGCATGTACATACCTGCAAATATAATGTTATAAATGTATAGGTGTGTTATGTGCAAATATGTGTATGTGCTTGTTAAATGGATCCTTGCCGTCTATTTGTTGAATAATTCATTAACATAGTCACATATGTGTATATAAAACAAGCTATAAAAATGTTTAGACATTGTGGAATAATATCATAAATGCTGGGGTAAATGCTATATGCCAAATGTCACTGGAATGAATTATGAGGGAAAAAGAATGCTGAAGTTTGATCAAAATATTAGATAAACCATGTGAAATAAGCTTAAAAGAAGAAATGCTGTCTATCATGTTTTTATTTACCATCCTATTAATGTAATTTTTTGCCATAGGTAAGAGAAAGAGAGACAGAGGCAGAGAAACAGGGAGGAATGAAAAACATTTCCTGAAAAAAATTCTCAATAGATTTGTGTTGTCATTCAAAATGAAAACCTATGAGCGTGCTCCCCTTAGCTATGGGTCTTTGGAAAACGGGAGACTAGAAACAGGGAGTGAGAAGTTCTGCTTGTAGAGAGAACATGGCCAACCTCCCTCCCCCACACCCCCAGCACTTCAACTCCTGCCAGGCAGGAACCAGAATCTTTTGTAGAACACCATTATAGTATTAGAAAGTAACACAATCATGAAGGAGAGAAGAAAGGCTTGATGTACATCGCCTTGTGACTCTAAAAGGCCCCCTGTGCCGAATATCCGAATATCGCGGCAGCGCGGAGTCGAAGGAAAGGCCTGCCCAGCTCAACTGTCAGGCCTAAGAGCAGCTCTGAAGCTGGTGAGGAAAAACATTCCTCCCCCAAAAGCTTTTATTTATTTTACTTTTTAAAGATAGTACAAGAGATAATGCAGCACATTTGTGTAATTTCATCCTGAAGCTTGACATTCTCGATCGCTAAGGGCTCTCAGATCTCACACGTGCATGTCTCAGTTCTCATCCCACCCGCTTCAGGGGAGACTCACGCTTCTCTTGTGAAATGTGCTTGAGAGGTTATCATGGGCATTGGCAGAGGAGGGTAGTATTGATAGATAATTCAGACCTATAAGTGTGCGTGTGCGCGCACACATACACAAACACACACACACACACACTCCATACACAAGCTTAGAAGCTTCTCCTCCCATTGCTCTATCTCTTATCTCATGTAACTCCAACCCCACATCACCTTATCCTGGCCCCCTAATCTTCCTCCCGCCCCCACCCGCGCCCCGGAGAACAGACTGACATCTTCCAACTTGATATGTTACCTCCTCAGTAAGGAAACAGGAAAAATCCAATAAAATAATATCTAACATCCTGTAACACTGACACTGCCTCCCCGACAATATCTCCTTCCCCCCATACACACATATACATGCAGACACCCAATTTTTTGCCCCACCTTACAATGAAATTCTGGCTGTTTCCTAGGCCTTTGCAGATGCTCAGGCCCAGTACATCTGAAATCTACGAGCTGAGGGTAAAATAAATACTAGATGTGCAAAGGAGCCAGAAGGAACCATTGCCTTTTCCCAGACGAGAGTCAGGGAGAACAAGAACGTGATTCCTTCCCCATAACAGGTCTGTGAAAATTATGCCTAAAATGGGGAGGTAGAAGAGGGGCAAGAAAAGGTTAAAGAAAAATGGACAACCATAAAAAGATTTATAATTTACTTTTAAAATAAATCAGCAAAGGGAGACCCAATCTGCCATTTACTCCGAGGGCTCTGGGATTCCACGCTGAATAATGTGCCATGGCCCATTTTGATCTGTACTGAAATTAACAATCAGTCCTCCACTTTATGAATTATTATCTTTGTTAGCTTTACCACTAACAGAAATACACTTCCAATGTTTCACATCCACACACTACATCTATTAAAGCAATCTGGGAAATTAGTTTGAGATAAACTGTACAGCAATTTTATTCATAGCTTCCCTGTATCTCACACTGTTAATCTGCATCACAGCTCACTAAATAGTGCCTAATGTTTATTGCATTTAACTGAATGTATACGATTCTGAGGGTACGCCAGGGACCGATTATCATAATTATACATGTTTCTATGGAAACCCACAAGTCTATCAGTTTTGATTCATTATATTGTTATACCTTCTAGCACTTTCTAATTATTAGGTGCCCATAAAAAGTCTCAGTCTTGCTGTTACTATAGAAATGAGCTATAGACAGGCCTCCAATTGTTAACCCTTAAAGAACCAAAATATATAGAATCAGACAGTTGGTAAGCTAGTCATGAAACTGAAATAGCTAATAATTTTACCTATTACTTAAATTTATAATTGATTTGCTGTTATTAATTTCTGAAACTCTTTCACTTAGACAACTCATGAATGATTGCCTCAGATTTTATAAAATTGCTCTGACTTTGAGGTTCCCTATCCCTGATATACACCCTCAGGTATGATAAAAGATACACAAAAACTAATGCAACACTGAATTAGTGAGCACAAAGTGCAAAATGAAAAGTCTTTCAGGACCGATTCCTTATTTCATAGATAAAGACACATTTGCTGGTGTAAACATAGAATTATATGTTAACTGATAAAACAGATAAATCAGAATATAATAGTGAGAACTCAAATGCACTGAGAGTCTTTAAATCAAGCATCTAAAATTGCTTCAGAGCAATATGGCTATTTAAGTATAATTTAATATTGCTGCTTAAATTGCAATTTGTAATTTAATATTTTCATTTTACTTTTTCTTCTACATTCACTAACAGAATCCCGTGAAAATTGAAAGGGACCAAGCAGTTTCATTGTCTCTCTAACCCTCCTGCTATTATAGTTTTCAATTAGAAGTGCCTTTTAATTTAGATCAGGAAAGCTCTCCTAAAGTGACAGCTCGCCCTTCACACTGCATATCTATTTATTTCGGAAGTCAACACACTATTCAATAACCTGAGAACAGCCCTGATTGCTATGCTAATAGTATTCAGAAATATGTCGACACCGATCGAAACAAGTAAACTAAGGCTAATTCATAAAGTGAATAATAAAAGGCAGAGGAAAGCCTTTCATACTTACTACTTCAGCTGGAATCTTAAGCTTACAAATTTAATTTTTTCTCCTCCCTTAGGGAAATGAACGCTATGTGATAACCAAACTGAAATTAGATTTTACCTAATATTACAGCCTAGCCTATTTGACGCGGCTTGTTTTATTATATAAAGCTGCAGTGGGAAGCAGCAGAGACAATGACCGTATATGTTAATGCCTGTGTGAGCTGGGAGATGCTTGCTCCAGCCGCAGCTTTCTTTAGCTCAAAGCTAAATGCATTTTGCTTTTTGAGGTTGGGGGAGGAGAGGGAAAGCCACAGAATTTTAAATGTATGCCCACATTAAAAAACAACAGCACATGTTAGGTAACCATTTTTTTCATATTACAGCCCAAACCACCAACATCCATAGTAACTCCCCACCAATTAGGAATAAATCAAATTGTATAAGCAACAAAAGATACAGACATTTGCATGTTTAAGTTCAAACTCTTTAAAAAAAAAAAAACAGAGAACGGATCAAAGCCTTTTGTTCACAGCTCTTATGTAGCTGTTAGCATTAGAGAAAAGTAGATTTACTACTAAATAGGAAATTTAAAGTAGATTAAGAGTAAATTGAGTTAGATACTTTTAAAAACCCATTCATCAGTACATGCATGTATTATTGCATATATGTGTACAGCCTGGAAATCAATTATATTTATTTCACATTAAAATTAGTCTCCTCCCCATATTCAGACATTGGTTATTCAAAATAATTCAACTACATCTACATTTTTTTACTTAACCATAAAAATTAAACTAAACTTCAACAATAAACATTATATTTTTCACCTTGTTTATGCTTTCACTCCCATAATTATCAATTAGTTTTTCAACCCAATTCACCAACCTTTTTTAAAAATCTCTAGAGCCTATTCCTACTTTTACAACTAGGCAGATATATACATAGGTTGATAAACTCTAACAAAATATATAAGTAAGCAGAAAATACACTAACATTTCTAGACGAGTGAAAGAACTGTATGAGGAGAATAATGCTACTAGGGCCAAAATTTCATACACTCGATAAATAAGCCTTAAAAGTGACAATAAAAGATTCTGAAAGCAAGTGGAACCTGGCGTGTGCTTTTAGAGAATACCTAAAGATCACTGTTAGGTTAGTGAATCCTCGGGGGCTTATATGGGGGTCATATGTTAGGGTCACAAGGGTGATTAGGCAAAGAAAGCAGAGAAAGTAAAGCGTTCAAGCAGCAGGCATATTACCACCTGGGATTTCATTTATTTCCTAGAGATAGAGTCAAGGTAGGTCCCTGCATGGCAAAACTATGAATTAATTATATTCTGCCCCCACCCAGTGAGCATTAAGTGCTCAGATTTTCTTTTTGGGTGGTGGGGGAAAGATGACTTATCATTCACGGTTGGATGTTAAAATCCCAGAGGAGAGAACCAGTAAAAGCAGCTCCTAGTGACAAAAATCCAGTAGCTGTACCATGACTATCCATCAAACTGAAATGTTTTAGGATTCATATTTATTTGCACCACTTTGCCACTGAGGAAAATGTCTAGTCAACTAGAGAACGTCTAAATTCTTGCTTTTTGATTCTTATAGGAAAGGTGAAAAGACATCAGTGAGTTGTGATTTCCTTCAGCAGCGAACGGATTCCTTTGAGAAGGCTGGTCAGTGGCACAGGCGGCTCACAGACCCACACGGCAGGCCTTGGGCATTGTACTAACCCCATGGGTCATTTCTGCAGACCAGTGCTGGCCAGGCCCTGGACAGAGGGGCCAGGCCTGGCTTCCCCTCCTTGAGTGTCAAGGGTGAAGTGAGAAGATAACGTTGTCTCTGAGGTTTGTTATTCAGGGACCCTTGGGCAATGGGTCTTTTTCCAGTTTAATTACTGGAAATCAGGAAAGGATATAGATGGCTTTCTCCCCTGTTAGGAAATAGCCTAATGGTTACAGAGTAGAGTCAGATAAAAGAAAATGGATTCTGCACCAACTGAAGGAGGGCGTTCTGAGGAGAAAAGTACAAGAAGAGAAAGAAGAGAAGACTCAGCTTAGCAGCAGCCACAAACAACAACAACAAAAAATCTCAACCTACTTGATTCCTTCTAATCCCCTTCTTTGCTGATTTTCTTCCTTGTACATTTAACATAGGCAAATGTGTGCCTTTTAACTGTCAATTCCCATGTCTATATAAGCACTATGATTCGGGGCAGAACTGGGCTGCAAAAATTAAGACAATGAAAGAGCTTCTCCCATAGTAGATAAAATATGATTACCATACAAGAAGAGATCAAAGCATTTTAATGTGTTTATTTTTCACAGGCCCTATGTGTCATTTCATTAAAATACTGTAATGCTTATGCTTGAGTAACACAAAAATTCAGGCACCTTAGTTTTTCCTATTTACACATATAAAGAAAGAATATAGTTGTCTCTCTCTCTCTGTCTGTCTCTCTTACCGTATCAGTGTATCAGCAAAACACTCATTATTACTCACTCTGAAAAATAGTCATTTAAAGAAGCTATTTGGCAATACTTATAATTTATATTAGTTTTTATGCTACTTGGATTTTAAAAACAAGAAATAGCCAGTATCCACAAATGTTTGTTTACGTCTTGCTGATAGGAAGAATTCCTTGGATAGTCCACCTACAGCATACATGGCACACATGTGTTCCCTGCTGGCAAGGGGCTTATCTTCTCTTCCAAGGACAGTGCATGGGTACCCAACCGTTAAATAGACAAGGTGTATTGATCAATAGATTAAGGAGTTTGAATATTATTCCATTATTCCATTGTTAATAGAAAGTCATTAACAATATTTTTATTGGGAGATGTAGATTACACTTTGAGGAAAAACAACTTGGAAGTCATGTGCCAGAGCCTAAAATGAGGAAAGCCTTTGGCTAAGAAACTAGTTAGAGACTATTACACTACTACAGGCAGGAGGTTTATACCACATTGTTCACAGTGACAGGAAAAAAGAAATGAGCATAATGAAAAAGAAATAAATTGAACACAGTTTGTGAGGAGAAATGAAGAGTCTAAATAAACAAGGAAAAGTCATAAATGGAATAATGAGGCATTGTGGAAATGTGTTTTGGGGGTAAGAGAACTAGCTTGACTTTCAACACATTGTTTGAGATGATAGTAAAATCCAGTAGGTAGTAAGACTGAAGATCCAAAAATTATCTTGAGAGAAGTCATTAATTTTTATTTTCATGGTCATGCATGTAGTTATTGTTGTTTTTCAGTGAGCAAATAGGTGAATGGATATGAATGGATGAAAAGAACTGAACTGTAGATGTGCTAAGGTATTTGACACCACGAGAATGAATAAATGCTGCAAGAAAATGTGAAAAGAGAAAAATGTATAAATAAGAATTGAATCTTACGATTTTTGTCCATCTATGGGCAAGGGAAGGAGTAAAATAAGGGAAAAAAGGAAATGGGAGGAGTCACAAAAATGAAAGGAGAACAAAGACAATAGGATGTCAAAGAAAGATAAAAATTGAATATAGCCTAAGATGGGTATTAAAGCTGAAAGAAGTTCTGGTGGCATTAAGAGAGAGAGAGAGAGAGAGTGTGTGTGTGTGTGTGTGTGTGTGTGTGTGTGTGTAAAATAAAAGAAAAATGATGCAAGTTTAAAAAAATAAGGGACAACGCTGTCAAAAGACAGATTAAATGTTCTGCTGTGAGAAGCATTAGTTGTTGCAGCAAACCCCAGAAGAGAGGGATAAGGAGAGGAAGTCGGGAGTGTCCCAGAAGGACTTTAGACCTGGAAATGGGGAACCTCTACTTCTGAAAAGGAAAGAAGAGAAAATAGATGATGATCCAGATATATTTTGAGGTTTGAAGAGGGTATATACCCAAATATATAAGTAGGGAAGAAGAAATGCACGCCAGATGGTTTCAAACTAGGGGAAAAAATGGGTGGGTGAAGCAGACTTTAAAGAACTAACTAAATGAGGCCAAAAGGGGAAATTAGGATTGAAAAGTGAAGTGGCAGGGACCTAATATTGCTCATGTGAACAATAATCGCCAGAATTTTTACTCCTTAGTAAAGCTTTCGTCTACAAGCCATAGAAGACTGTCAAACAGGAATAGTGAAGCAAACAGAACTGTCAGCCAAAAAAAAAAAAAGGAATATCTTAAAACTCAATTCAATTAAAAATATATTTCTTGAGTGTTGATTGCATGCCAGGCACTATATGAGCTATTAGCAAGGAAATTTTAATGGACTTCTAGAACCTGGAAGCATGCAAAAAATACAATTTTAAAACATTTGTGCTAATTTTTTAAAACTATAAAAATGAACACCATCTAAAAAGGATGACTCAAGGTGGCATGCACCTGACCTCAGATGATCCCTCTATTTTTTCTTTAATAGCTTTTTGAAAGAATTCTACATTTCCAGCAAAGAAAAAAGGAGAAAAAGAAAATTTGAAAGTGGAGGATCAGATAAATTAAGATTCTACTACTAATAATGCTACTGTGTCACCAAAAGCCAGAGAGATATTGTGTAGGCCTATTACTGCCTTATTTCCCTCTTTCACTAACCCCAGTGACCGTAGGTTTTCTTATGACCTGCAACAAAGCTTCGACAGGGAACACACTGAAATGCTATTCTACAATAGTTAACATATAAAAATGCCCACTGCATTATGAACAGTTCCACATCATCTCATTTATTCTATTATATCAGTAATACTCAAGACAGATATTACTATCATCTCCATTTTTTACATTTATTTTATTTTATCATTTTTTGATAGAGTCTGGCTCTGTTGCCCAGGCTGCAGTACGGTGGCATGATCTTTGCTCACTGCAACCTCCACCTCCCAAGTTCAAGAGATTCTCATGCCTCAGCCTCCCAAATAGCTGGGATTACAGATGTGTGCCACTATGCTTGGCTATTTTTATTTTTATTTTTATTTTTGTATTTTTAGTAGAGATGGGGTTTCTCCATGTAGTCCATGCTGGTCTTGAACTCCTGGCATCAAGTGATCCACCTGCCTCAGCCTCCCAAAGTGCTGAGATTACAGTCATGAGCCACCATGCCCAGCCTCATCTCCATTTTACAGGTGAAAAACTGATGTAAGAAAGGCTGTATAACTGACTAAGATGACTAAACCAGTAAGTGCTCAAGCACAGATTCAAACATAGCTTCATCTTTTTCCAAAGCCTGGAATTTTTCTCCCTAAACTAGTGACACCCAATCTTGGTTGCATATTAGAATAATGTAGAGAAGTTTCAAAACGTATCAATGCCTGGGTCTCATCACAGACCAATTAAGCCAGAATGTGTGTACATGTGGAGCTGGCATCTGTATGTTTAATAGTCTTCCTAAGTGATCCTAATATGTAGTTATGACTGAGTTTCACTTTTTTTACACCAAGCTCCTATATTTCAGTCCTCTTTTCTTCCCTCTGTTTTCATCTGACTTCCTCAAAGTCAGTCCGTTTCTTTTTTTTTTTTAACCAATGTTTTCTCTGGACAAGAAGAGCAAAAACTATATCTTAGGGATCTTACATTTTTAAATTCCTGATTTCTCATCCATAATTATCCATTTTAGCTGAGAGTTTATGATTCTGTGATTGGTATTTATAAAATGTCTTTTATTTTAAATCTAAGTTGAGTTATATATATGTTTATTATAAACATAATATTCATTATTCTTAGAAAACACTGATAATATACCTACTATTTTTTAAGCACTGTTCTAGGAGCTAAAGACATGGTGGGGGAAAGGTAACACAGGCTATTAAAAAGTCAGGATTTCAATTCACCCTTTTAAGCCTAGATTCAGTCCTCTTTCTACTCCCCTACACTGATACAAAGTATATTTATAAACCTGTAGTAAATAAAAAATTACTACAAGAAGGTTTCTATCATCCTGGGGTGGCCTAGGCAAACATGAAGTACATACAGTAAGTATTCTGTGATTTCAAGGGCACAATAAGACACCATTTAATCCAAAACATTTTCTTACTTATCTGTCTATTCTAATTTTCTTCCAATATAAAGCCTGAAATTCCCACTGCTGTTTTAAAATAGACATCAAACATAAAATGATGATGCTTTGGCAGAAATTACTATCACCAGTTACAGAATACCTATTAAGAGGAGCTTAAGTAAATTAGCTTTTTCCTACCAAGAAGTCTAAAGACAGGTGGCCATTGACATTGGTTCAGAGGCTCACAGATGTCAGAGCCAGTATCTCTGTAATTCTCATGAGCAGTGACAAGATGGCTGCTGCAGCATCATCCCTTACATCTGCATCCAAGGCAAGATAAAAGAAAAATGAGTGTCCAGCTATGTTAAGAAAGAAAAACCTGCCCTGAAACTCCAGTTTATTTCTGCTTGTATCAAATGTAAACTGTGCTACATGGTCATTCCTAGCTGCAAGAGAGACTTAGAAATGGTGTTCTTAGCTTTTGTTCCATCTTTAGAATTAGGCATAGGAGAATAAGTTCATAATGGTTATTTGGTTAGACAACTTATAGGCTCTAAGTCACACCATCTTTAGAACCCATGTTCAAAATGTACTGTACTTGTGAGGTGAATCCTAAGGGTTTATAGCCTTACCCTGTCTGCTTGGATTAGTTTATTAAACAAGCTGAATGTTTTTTTGGAAAGCACAGAGCTTCCCAATGAAGGAAACCAGGAGTTTTTAGACAAAATGTCAAAGGTCAATTGTAGCTCTATGTACTGGAAGCACCAAAAAAGTATGAGGATTTCAGTTCTTATGATGGGGAGTAAGGGAGGTAGCTGCTCAAAAATAAAGGAGCTCCAAAGAAAAGAGCTGCCACTAGATTGTGGAAACATGAAGACACAGTTTGGATGGAAGTTTTACCTCTCTCCATGGAAAACCACTTCTAATATGGTAAAAATCACTTTATCTTGTAATGGTTTTATTGAGATATAATTTAAATACCATACAATTCACATATTTAAAGTGTACATTTCAATGATTTTTTAGCATATTCATGGACATATGCAAACATTTCCACAGCCAATTTAGGAACATTGTCATCATCTCAAAAGGGAACCCTGTACCCTTGAGATATCACCTTTATATCCCCACCAACCCCTCCTAAGGTGGGGGGATATAAAGTCCTAAGTAACCACAAATCTACTTTCTATCTCTATAAATTTGCCTATTCTGGATATTTCATGTAAATGAAGTCATACAATATGTGGCCTTTTGGGTCTAACTTCTTTCATTTGGTACAATGTTTTCAAGGTTCATCCATGTGGTAACACACATCATTACTTCATTTCTTTATATGGTTGAATAATATTCCATTATATGAATACCCTACACTTTGTTTATCTGTTCATTAGTTGATGGACATTTGGGTTGTTTCTGCCTTTTGGCTATTGTGAATAATGCTGCCATAAACATTTGCATACAAGTTTTTTTGTGGACATATGCTTTTATTTCTCTTGAGAATATATCTAGGAATGGAAATTATAAGTCATATGGTAATCTTATGTTAACCATTTAAAAAATTGTCAGAGTGTTTTCTATAGTGGCTGTACCATTTTACACTTTCATAGCCATATATAAGTGTTCTGATTTCTCTGCATTCTTGACAACACTTGTTATCTGACTTTTTTATTCTACCCAACCTACTGGGTGTAAAATGATATCTCATTGTGGCTTTCATTTGCATTTTTCTGTTTACTAATGCTGTCAAGGGTCTGTTCATGTGTTTATTGGTCATTATTACATATTCTTTGAATAAATGTCTATTCAGATCCTTTGTTATTATTTGGGTTATTTGTCTTTTTATTAGTAAGTTGTAAATTTTCTTTGTGTATTATAATTACAAGTCTCTTATTAGATATATGATTTTAAAATATTTTACCCATTCTGTGGGTTCTCTTTTCACTTTATTTCTAGCTTCCTTTGAAGTACAAACATTTTTCAATTTTATTGATGTCCACTTTATCTATTGTTTTTATTTTGTTCACACTTTTGGTGTCATATCCAAAAAAAGCATTGCCAAATCTAAATAAACCACTATAAATAAACCATTATATTTTATTCTGCGAGAGTTTTATGATTTAGCTCTTACATTTAGGTTTTATATTTATTTTGAATTAACTTTTGTATATGGTGTGAGGTAAGGGTCTTTTATTTTCATGTGTCTATCCATTTGTTGACAACACTGTTTTTTGCCCATTGAATGGCCTTGCTACCCTTCTTGAAAATCAGTTGAGTACAAATATGTCAGTTTATTTCTGAACTCACAATTCTATTTCATCACTCTATATGTCTATCATTGTGCCAGTTCCACGTTGTCTTGATTACTATTGCTTTGTAATTAAGTCTTGAAATCAGAAAGTATGAGTTCTCCAACTTTTTCAGACAATTTTTTTTCAAGATTGTGTCACCATTTTGAGTTCCTTGCAATTCCATATGAGTTTTAGAATTGGTCTGACGATTTCTATGAGGAAGACAGCTGGGATTCCGATAACCATTGCCTTGTATCTGTAGGTCAATTTGGAGAGCACTGCTATCTTAAAAATATTAAGTCTTCTGATCCATAAACTGCTTCTAATATTGTAAAATACACTTTTACTTTGCTTTATTTAATCTATTTTCACTTTATCAGTCGTGTGAAAGAGGAGTATAATAGGGAAATAGAGAATTTAAGTACAGTGGTATGGAGAACAGAACCCTAGTTAAAAAAACAGAACATGGTGCCTGTAAGTAAATTCAAGTAGAGCAGTTCCCTGTAAGATCAATCTTTTTTGTTTTGGGGGAAATCCTTAAGGCCCCATTCCAGTGCCTCATTTGGGGTCATCTCTTTTTTCCACATGCTGCAGCCCCTGGGCTCCATTCCTTTTTACTGCTGTGGCTGCCATGGCAACGGTTCACATAGGCTGGAAGAGAGAAGATGAGGCCTCTCTGGAGCCATCATTAGTGGTACTCTGGCCAGCAAGGGGTGCCAAGAAGGGCAGTCACTCCCACCTTCTATTTGTAACTATTCACCCCACACACACACAACCACACCCCCCATTTCCAGGTGAAAGACCTGAAACTGACTGAGAGGTGGCATGTGTGCTGTTGCAAGAAGGAGACCATGAGCTCTCTGGAGAGGTTTGTAGGAATTTGTGAGGATTTTGCTAGGAATTCATGTCAGAACACAATTTATAAGTGATTACCTTGTAGATAGCAAAACTTCTTATTTTCACTATACAATAATTAATTTTTACATTTTCTGCACTAAAAAGATCCACACGTTAGCTTCTCCTCTCCTGCTGCACAGTGCATTGAACATCCTAGGGATGTAATAAATGTTTATAAAGATGAGTTTTAATGCCTTGTCTCTAGATGCTGCAGCAAGTTCTGTTTCCATTCAGGGTACATCAGTGGATCACTGCCCCCCCATTCCTTTCCTAGTACAATAGTATGAATTTCAAGAGGACATGAGGTGCATATTTCACCATTCTATTTCATGCATGCACCAGAATATTTTTCTTTATACATATGGGCAGACAAGCAGCTATTAATTAAAATGTGATACCAAATACACTATAGAAGAACTTTGGAGGACAAGGTAGTGGCCTCCTGTCACTCTCCTAGAATAACATTGGGTGGCTAGTCATGGATTTATAGTTCTGGATTTATGTTATATGGAATAATTTGCACATCTCTGGCTTGTGATCAAGAAACCTCCTAATCTTTGATGCCTATGACTGGCAGTTTTTACCTTTGCAAATTCTTTGGTATGCAACCAATGCTGCCTGATACACATGGTGACTAAATATTTATCAAACATTCAGACACTTACTCAGCGGATTAATTATTAAACAAGCTTTCACTGAACTATCTTTCTTTTTGCTACAGTGAATTCTCTGTTGCTCAGTTGACATATGTTCTGAGGAAGCAGGGAAATAGCCAACTCAGCAAATTTTATTACTTTCAAGGTTATGCATTTAAGTGTGTGAAGGCAAGATACACATGAAAGCCCATGTCACTAATTTGGCATGCTTAAAAGAGTGTTTCAAAATATAGGTGAACCTCATCATGGCTTTGACTTATTTACTTTTTTAGCATATTTAATTTTTTAAAAGTAAATCATTAGTAATGCATTAACTGACAAGAAAAAAATCTTCTAACAGATAAAATAATTATTTTTTCTATAAAACATTATTACATGATATTCTCCTGTACATTATTTTATTTTCCCTATTAAACCCAACACAGTTTTTGTATTTCCATTTTATAGATAAAGAAGATGAGGTTCTAAGTGGCCAAACGAGCACTGGAACCTGTATTCTGCTTTATGCAGCATAAAATAGTTACGTTATTAAAGAAAAAGTTAAATAGAGTTGATACTTAGATAAATCAGATTTTATTTTAGCAATAATTTTTATTATTCTCTGTACTCAAACTAAAATTATACTATAGACAATTCCTCTCATTTTTGATAGACTCTGCCAAAAATAAGTTACTGTTTTCTTAAACCAGATAAGAAGAAATTGGAGAAAGGAGTGAGTACTTCGGATTCATCTAAAGCAGCTCTACTATGACATCACGATAGTCAGAAGCAGGATGGGCAGGTCTCCATTGATCAAGTGATCATATAGTAAACACCAGAATCAGTCATCCCAAAACTGGTAACTGTAGAGAAAATTGTAGAAATAAGACAGTAGGGGTAGGGGGCAAAAAGGAAACCAATTTCTGTCACTATTGAACTGTGGGAGATTATTAAGCAATAAGAATCTGTTTTGTGTCTTTGACATAGAATTTGCACTCCTCTGAAGAATATCAGTTCTTTTACAGAGTTTGACAGCTGCCTTCAGTTAAATCTCGGTAATTTTATATCTCTCTGATAAGAAGAATAGATCTCAGGCTGCCACATATAATGCATCCAGCATTTTTATATTCAAATCCAATAATGGGGTCATCAGGTATTTTCCCTTAGATAACCTCAACAAATCACTACAATTAACTTCTAAATGCCAACTCTCTTGCCTTTTCTTTAGTATTCATAATCTACCTTTTTTGACAGTCTGCTTAGTCTTGTAAAATAAAACTTTAAACAATATTCTCCAAATCACGTAAATAAATAATATGGAAATAAGGCACTTTAACATGCTTCCAAATTATTTTTTGTGAAAAAAAATTTAAAATCACACTATTTTCTATACATGTGATAATTAATGTCTATTCTAAATAGGTCAAGATATTAGTATTATATTACTGACCAGTCATTAATTATTAATGTATTGTTTCAAACAAATAATAATAATACAAGTTACAACATTATCAGCAAATGTGTTCATGTTGTAAAACAGGAATGGTATATTTAATTAGTTGTAAGTAATACAAATGCTTGACATAAACTCTTGAGACTTCAGATGTGGAGATGTTTTGTGAGAAGCTTTGAAATCCACTGGCATACACCATTCTTTTATTCAAGACAAATATGCGAGAGAATCAGCAGGAGTCCATTCTGACTTCTAGAGAGTGCCCTGGAGCAGTCCACAGGAAGGTGCTGGAAAAGGCAGCCGCAGATAGTCCAGGTACACGATTATTTCAGCCTGAAATGCAGCAGAATAATCAGACTAGTGTTAAAGTATTGCTACAGTGTACATGACCTGGAAACTGTTTTATGAAGGTTGCAGAGACATCCTAGACCTCCTTTGATAATTATAAAGAAAAGATGCTTTCTCTAGAAAATAAGGAGAAGATTCAAATACAAGGCATAATTTATTTAGTCTTAGAGATATAAATGACATTCCTAATAAGTACTTGGATGAATTGTTAAGTAACTGACATTTTACCCCAGAACATTTAAGTTCTTTATAGAAAAATAAAAGTTCAAATTCTATGGATTTTTCTAGTATTTCCAACTCTGTATTGGAAAATCAAATGCCATTTAAAAAATCAGCAGTTTACCCCCAATAGAATTGCCCTCCAAGTAAACTGAAAGAAGGGGGGACAAAAGGATTTGTAGTATTAGCAATATACAAGGACTGACTTTCAGATCCATGCTAAAGGTCAGGTGTAATATTCAAAAACAAATTAAAAGGCAGCCATTCTATTGGACTCAGAAGATTCCAGCAGACGTTGGGCACCCATGGGCATTGGCTCCAAACATGTTTATTGTGATCACACCCCAGATGATGCTGCAAGCACTATTAAGGACCCTATTCACCACCATCCTTCTTGCATTATGTATGCAGTTATTGTTTTGCATTATGCACTATCTAGAATGATACAAAAACATTTTGCTAAAAAATAAACCACTGGTTTTATGCTTAGCACCAGGATTACAAAATGTGATGTCATGAATTATTCATATCATTCGATTTAATGTAATCATTTTCTCCCCAGTGCTAAGCCTCTGTGAATGGTGTCCTATGCAGCCACTGTTTTGAAGAACTTAATACTAGGGGGAGAAACACCTGGCTTTAACTGACAGTGAATTAGGCTCATTGTCACTTTAGAAAAAAATTGCAATTTCATCTTTGATCTTCTGTACATCTTAATTCCAAGATACATTTATCAGCACTACAGAATAAACCAACCTTAGGAATTTATAGAATTATTGACCTCGACATTTAGACATAGACATATATAAAAGTACACACTTACATTTGAAATTTGAACTATAGAATGGAATTCATCTTTGTCACATTCAAAGCAATAGTGGGACATATTTCTAATGTGTTTACTCTAATAGCAAATAGATTTTGATACACATTTATAATTTATTTAGATCAAATCTTTCAAAGTACTGACCTTAGGACAAAGCATGTTGAGAAAGATAAATATATCAATGCAACTTAGCCTACAGATTAAAGTAATTTATCTTCAAGGCAGCCCCAAAACATCAAAACCAAGAGAATAGAGAGCTTCCAAAAGTTTTTAACTCTACAGAGAAAGGACAAACATCAGTTCCAAATTAGTAGAAGCAACTTTTAAAAATCAGAATCTCCTTATGATAGCTTATGCTTGATTTTTAATCTATGTTTTAAAGTGGTGAAGCTATACTAAAATGTTTTCATTACTCTTAAATTAGAAGCTATACTAAAATGTTTTCATTACTCTTAAATTAGAAAATTGTTCATTTGGGGGCTGAATATACGATCTTATTACTATGACAAGAACAAAGAGTCAGCGAACCTGATTCCTAAGCCAAGTCCCTTTCACTGTCTTGAGCCTTTAAAAAGATAATGATATCACCCCCCCAGTCACCCTTAGGATGTTGTAGGAAGACGTAGATGACATACTGGGAGGTAAAACTTCAAAAACTCTAATGTGATCCCCAAATATGGGGAATTATCATTTAAAACCACAATCATCTATAGTCCATACATATCTATAATGGACAGAAATATGAGAATGAATAAGCAAAGATACTTATGTACACCAATAATAAAGTAAGAAAGGTAAAAAAATTCATGTAATAAGAAAAAATAACAACCCAGAAATTTAAGAATTAAGTAGTAGTCAAATCTAATTGGAATAACTCACCTATATAAAAAACAAGAGGAAGGAAACTTTATACATAGGTCTGGAAAATATCACAACTATGTTCCCAGAAGAATGTTTATCTCCACAGCATCCAACCTAGTGTCATGCACACAGTTGGGACTCAGCCACTGTTGCCTGATTGATAATGAAGACAGTCACTGTGATCAACCCAACAGTAATTGAACGTTCATTTTTAATAAGGTCAGTGTAAAATCTGTCTACTGCACCCCTGTGATAACAAATGCATAGAAAGCTTAAAACTCCATCTTTAACAAATAATAACAAATTGATGATGTCCACCAATTTCCAAAACAGCAATGAGGTATTTTAATGGGAGGGGGTATGGAGAAAGGAAGGCAGGGTGGTAGATGGAAAATACTACTTAAGCTAATGGTTTGTTCAATTTACTTCTAAAATGCACCCTTTTCTACTTAATAGCCTTAGGTAAAGAAAGTTCCTCTTTCCCCTAAATAAAAATTATTAGGCATTTTGTCTATTAATCTTAGTAGCATGCTTCAACCAGAGTCTCATTAACATTGTGAACTGGGCCAGAAGACACTGTGTCGTGTTATGAGAGCTGATGTCCTTTCATTTCAAGAGCACCTTGACCTTCTCCAGCAGTGGCATCATGTTCTCCTATCACGGTTCTTACTACTTCCCAATGCGGCTGCCTGGTCTCCCTAGAGCCCAAGAGCCATCAGCACAGGGTGGTCCCTGAGGTGGCCTGCACAGGAAGCCCCTGGGTTGGGTTTTAATGTGCTCACTCACACACTCACTCACTCACTCATGATAATTTTAAAAAATTATCATGTATTCAAATCCAAATTAAAAAAAATGTTTGTGCTCAAAAAAAAAATCTGGAGAACTGAGAACCAGAGCCAGTGCTTTAAGTCTCTTGGTGAAGCTACAGCCTAATTACTGCCTGCTGTGTGGCGCAGTTAAACACAATCAGTCAGAAAGCCTTAAAGATACAATATCCCTTTTCACAAACTGTCTGCTTGTCAATTCCAAGTCACCCCCCTGCTTTAAATCAACCAACCACAGAGCTGTTATGAACAGCAACTGATTTTCCATGCAGTGCTGCAAAACAAAATCACACCGTATCCTATTTTTAATGGCCAGTTTTTCAACTGCATAACAAGAGTTAGCTGGCACTGCTGAGCTGAACGGTATCAAAAAAATGGGTTCAAGTAGAAAGAGCTTGGAACCCTTGAAGTGAACAAGTACAGACCCAATTACAAGTGCATTGTGGTGCTCAGTACCAATTACATCCAAATAACAGTGGAGCAAATTTCCCCTTAATAGTTATATTGTAGACATCAACTTCTTTTATTTTCATTCCTGCAGGATACAGCTTGATATTGAAAAGAAAAAAAAAACTGAATCATAAATATTATTTTATTAACACACAGTCTATTTATGCAGAAAGGCTCTTCTTTGATGTCAATGTAGGAACTTGGTAGCCTGGTCACCAGAGAGGGGTGTTCTGCTTCTTTAGAAAGAATCCGTGGTTTGTCAGAAATTTCACTTGGGAAAATCAGATTTTCTTGCTTGTGTATTGCTCGATAGAAGCGATCTTTTCTCAAACAATATGCTTTTTAATTATTTGAGGCTTAGGGACATAAACAGGCAGTTTGATGTTTGTTTGTTTGTTTGTTTGTTTGTTTTAAAGAAATCTTAGCCCTATCTCCAAAGTAATGAGTAAAATTAGTCAGTCAGTGAATTGAGGAAGCTGCCACTTGGGACTCCAGGGGTTGACATTTGACAGGTTTCTTAAGAGCTAGAAGAAGAAAGAAAGAAACAGGTAAACAAATGAGACTGAATGGGAGTGGAGGTGACAGGAAAGAAGGCATGCACAGCAAAGTAATCCTCAAAACCTTGTAGCTACGACATGGGTAAAGAACAGGCCAGGAGGCCAGACTAAACAAAACAGAACCAAGAAAATGCAGCCAATGAATACGGATTGTGTTTTGCTGACTAACATAGAGTCAGAGAAACAAGGGCCTGGCAAAGTCAGCCTGTGTAATCCTGGACCACGCATTATCCCAGTGGCTGCCCTCACTCTGCTGGAATGATCTGCCTCCAATGGCCAGCTTTCATTTCTTCCTTGGGTATTGGCTTCATTTTTAATTTCTTCTAAACCCATACGAGAAAACTAGTAGTTACAAAATGCCACATCTTCCGGAGGCTGACCAATCAGACTGGAGAAATGTTGCAAGAAAAACAAGTTATTTCCAGGGCATTGTCAACATGTTGCCAAGGATGAGAGCACAATCCGAGCAAATAGATCTTTATCTGTCCCTATCTTCTCCCCATTTTCTCTTTATTTGGCACCATGAGGTGAAGCACATGGTCCAGTATTTTCCCCCAGCTTTGATCCTTTGCTTTTTCCTTTTTTCCAACTCAGTGTGAGCTTCATCTTGAAACATAAAACAAAATATGTTATTTAGGTAGAAGATAAAATTCAAAAGTTTTATTTCAAATGAAAAATAAATGGGAGATGCCACTGATTAAAAGTAAAAATTAGAAACTACTAACTTATCCAATCCTCTCATTTTAGAGATGAGGAAACTGAAGCCTGAGAACAACATGAATTCTACAATACATTTACCGTCAGAAGGCAGCGGTGTCAACGGCCACGACGACACCTGGAACTGATTCCAAGACTTGTGGTCACCGTGGGAATGCTATTTATTGTACATAGTGACTCACAAATCTAGGTTATGTGAACTATAAAAAGCCTGACTCAGAACTCCAGAGAGTAAGGAGCTAATACTTTTTGAAATATAGGCCATAGACTGTGATATAACGATGTTTGTAGAGTTATTTCTCAAGGCAGCATTATTCAAAGCAGCATTCGACATAGTCATACATCCATTAATGAATATGTGTCATGACATTAACCAAAATAGCTTCAGATAACAATTAGCATACGTACTTCTGGGCATATTTGGTGAGAGAGAAGGAAGTAGAGGTAGGACTGAGGTTGGAAGTGTGGGAAGGGGGAGGGACTCTAGCAAAGAAAGAAGGGTGGGCGCTGTGGAGGGCCAGTGAGGGAGGGGAACTGAGGCCAGGATCCCCCAGCAGCCCAGGTCTGAGTCATGGGGAGAGGACTGGAGGATCTGGGAGAAGGACCATGAAGCTTTCTTCTGCCCCAGCTCAACTTCGATGTCACCCAAAAATGTTAAGTTTCCCTTCAGGTCCTGCATTTGAATGATTTTAGTTCTTCCTCCCTTACTCCAAATTTCCCCAACATTTATCAATAGCTGACATTCCGTCAGATACTGAGAATTAAGATGACCTAAAACGCAAAGGCTTGGAAAAGACAATGGTCCCTTAGTGGAAATAAAAAATAGAACAAATCCATCAAATGGAAAAGACTGAGGTGTGATCATTTCCTGTTTTGACTAAGGAGAGAATCTGAAAACAGGATACCAGCTACCTCATCTAGGGGAGAAGAAGGAATAAGGTTTTAAAAAGAGGGACATGAAGACACAGAATGAAACCTTCAATAGCATCACCACTCACAGTGGGGCCGTGGAAGGAGCTAAGCACCAAGTGTATCATACTCTGCAGCCAGGAAAGGGAGTTTTACCCTTAAATGATTTATGAAGATTCTGTGGGGGTGTTTTGTAGATGTTATTGGGAGTTTTATTGTTTGCTATTTCTGTTGTTTTTAACATCGCTAGCTTCCTATAAAGAATTTTTCCCCCCAGGGGATTCTATCCCTGTAACTATATTGACTTAATTCTGGAGCACCAGTGCAATTAAAAGACAGTTCTAATTAATAGGCAATAGAATGGTTGTATGTAAAAGATTTCAGCAGTTTATGCTTGGTGCACTAAACGAATCTGAAAAAAGTCACAAAAGGCATCAGAGCTCCATTAGAATTTATCAGCTGAGATGCTTGGAATATTTTTCACACTGGGTAGTCACATCACTCCCTGCAGTTGAGATTGGACTGAAAGAAAAAAAGGTCGACATATTTTTCTGTACCGGTGGCAGTAAAATGGCTTCTCATTTCAACTGAGAAGTACCAACCACCAGAGCAAAAGCACCTTTACAGCAGGAATTCTACTTCTGACCCACCAAGGAAAAACACGATATAATCACTGTCTCTAATTTTCCAGCCAGCAGCCAGACTAACTGGGTCTGACTGTAGGATTTGGGGTCAGACTGCCTGGGTTCCCACCCTGCCTCTGGCCACGAAGAATAAGTAGAATCCTGGACAGATAAACTGAATCTCTCCGCTTTCATGTCCTCATCTGCAAAATGGGATAGTAACAGTGCCTTCCTCCTAGGACTTGGTAAAGATTGCATGAATAACTCACATAATGCATTCAGAATGCTGTTTAGCAGCACAGACAGCACTCGATGAATTTTGTGCTACGATTATTATCCAGGTCCATCATTAGACACTGTGATGGGGTGTAAAGAAACTGTATGATTAAGCACATTCCATACTTCATATCATGATCCAATCTAATAATGCACAGTAGGGGGTGGAGAGGAAGAGGTTCTGAACTCTGAACTTTCAAATAAATGAAGTTCTGCCATGAAACGCTGCACAAACCATGACAATTCCAAGTACTCTTCTATTAATGCCAATGATTTCCAAGCACTTGAACAAAAGAGGATCGTTGGTTATCCACATAGGCTAAACAGTGTAAATCTTTCACATTGTATTGTATTATCACTTATGTACTTCTTGAAAACCATTTTATTGAGGTATGATTGACATACAAAAAGCTGTTCATATTTAACCTATACAACTCAGGGATTTTGGAGATGAGTATATACCCATGAAACTATCACTACTATCTATGCCATAAACCTATCATCTCCAAAACTTCCTTTATTATAATTATTTTTATGATAACAGTACTTAACATAAGATCTACCCTCTTAGAAAATTTTTCAGTATACTATCCAGTATTGTTAAGTACAGGCACTATGCTGTAGATCTCCAGGACTTATTCATCTTGTATAACTTTAAAAAATAACATCCTTGATAGTCTTACTCCTACATGCAGTCTTTCTATAAACTTGCAATAAAAATATTATTAAGAAATTTAAACATTTATTTCCCTACCTATCCCAGGACATCTAGAAAAGCAACACATTTATTGAGAATTTTTGGTCTTTGCATGAGTCTAAGAGTAAGAAAGTATGAATTAAGGTGGTCAAGACATGCTGAGGGTCATTTTGCTAATCTTGTCGGCTTCCCAGGTTCTGAAATCCCTGCCTGTGTTTGGAGAATCCTCCCCTTATTTGGCACAGTGTGCCATTCTCGCAGTCACAGCATTGGCATGAGTCCTAGCCATACCCAGATCTTGAATAGGAAAAATTGGATAGCTGCTCTGCAGCGTCCAGGCAGCAGCAGCTATGACTCTAGGCAAAGCTACAAGTTCCAAGTTCCAAGTTCTGTGGTGTAGGAAGTAAAGCTATGGGACCCAGTGTCCAGTGGCGGTGGTCGCTCCACCAGAATCCCTCTTGAAACTCCATTTGGGGCTCCTTTCCTGATCAAGTAAGCTCTGAGCCTAGTTCTCTGGCCCTGGAGGAGAGGCTGTAACCTACCCAGTATCTTTTTAACAACTTTTTTTTCTCCATGTATCAGTCCCAGTGAGTTTCTGCTACTTACAGCTAAGGACTCTGATTGATACAGTGGCCAAATGGGATCTATTTCAAGCCAGACATTCATTCTCAAAGCCTCGGCAACATTCCCTGGTCATTTCCTGATCAGGGCACATCTTGAAATTGCATTAATCTCTGAGTGCCAGGTTTTGGACAAAATATTGTCAAGCTAGAACTTGATTCCAATGGGGCAAAGCTAGAATAACAGTACTGGAAACAGTACTGATAAGGGAGGTACTGAGAATATTTCTCTAGAGCACTGTTTCCAGGCTGAAATAAAAGAGTAACTGCAAACCTCACTTTCTTCTGATCATACAACATAATCTTCAAAAGATCATCTCCCTGGAGTAAATGTCCTCAGGGATTTCAGCATGGAGTAGCAAGTTAAGTTAGATTACATCTAAGAACCTTCTCATTCTGAAAGGCTATGTGTGCTTTGGAAGACCTAAGTTGCAAAACACCACCTACTCCCCAGTAGAAATTACATTTAATCATCAGTATTACTATCTGCTATAAAGAAGGAAGAATATTTGACAATACAGGTAAATTTTCATGTCCATTTACCTATTTTTCTTAGTTTTTCAAAGTTATGGGTGGACTATAATACATTGAACATCCAGTAGGAACTCAGTCAATACTGTGCTGAACTGAACTGAATCGTGGCCACAGCTCCATTCAGGCAAGGCCATCTTTTCCAATTTCTCAGTTTATCACCCTCACTGGTTCCCTGACTCTCTGTTCACTCTCTTCCTGACCCTAAGTTCACTGGCACCGCTTTAATCACTCAGTCTTCTTGGTCTATCCCCTGCAGACAAGCTCGTTTCAGCTTCCTCCTGACCCTGGATCACCAGCTTTCTTTGCCAACTTTGTTTTCTTCCCTTTCAATTCATCTAGTCCAGTGACCCAGCAGTCTCCTACAGCTGCCCAAGTACCTTTCTTAGGGTAAAGGCTCAGGGACTATTTGTTGAATAAATTAATAATTAACTATCTTATAATGATTTTAACACCCATTAGCTTAAAGCAATTATCATCTTTTGGATATTTTCTATATTTTAATGAATGTAATTTTAAACTCTTCTTGATAAGGGAAAATTTATTAGTTTAAGAGCTTTCAAACATTACATTTGTACTGTTTAATTCTGAGTCAAAGAACGTGCTTAGAAGTCAGGCTTAAAAGGCTGTCTGGGGTAAACATTCTATAAACTTTCAAAATGATAGCTCATTTTTCAATGCCATTGCCTATAAATTTATCATATTCCTAAAATTATGTGATATAATGGTGATAATTAGTATTGCTGCAGACAAAGCTTCTTTTTATAATATAAAATAAATGTAGAGCTCTGCCCCCTTCATTTAATCAAACCAAGGCCACTTTGACCTCTTAAAAAGGTATTGATATTAAATGATCAAATATGGGGCTTTCCCAACTTCATCTGAAGACTGGAAGTACTAGTAAGGTGACGTTAAGTCTTTCACTTTAAACATTCCATCACAACATTTGGGAAAATAATCGTAGTTTCATTTTACTCACAACTGCCCAACTGTTTGATAAGATACAAAGAGCTGGATTCATCAAAGTGATGATAGCAGGTGGTCTTTCAAAATTTTAACCACTAAAAATGCATTTCTATTAATTTTTATCTTCCTCCAAATATTAATGAATAGTTCCAGTGATAATTAGCAATTTTCCCTAATTACATAAAATTGGCACTTCACAAATAACAAACTCTGATATTATCTAGTATTGTGCCAGTTTTCCTATTAATTCGGAAATTCAGCAATTATCACCAGAACCATGTAGGTTAAAGTATGTCAGATTCTGGATAAACAACCTAAAATACCCAGCCATATGAGTTTTGATGTCAGGTAAATTTCAATATTGACATTTGAAGAAAAAAATATATTAGTGACCAACCCTTGCTATTGAAGCACTGTGGGAAAGCTTTCCAAGTTTATTTCAGCCTAGCCCCTGGAGATGACATCAGGTGCAAAACCTGGATAGTTTGTCTCATTGTCAATTTGAAGAAAACAATAAAAAAGTTTAGAAAATTTCTCAAATTCAAAAGCAGCATATATAAAAGTGCTATATGATATCTTAAGTGTACATTGATTTAATTTTCTTCTAAATCCAACAAAATTTAGGAAGACAAAAATCCTTCAGTATCTTTGTCAGTTGAGAAATAATGAACACTTCATGTACTTATCAATTCCTGACATGCAAACATTTTTGCTGAATGTAAACCCATCTATATATAAACTCTGTGTTCTTGAGGTGCAGCTCGATGTTAAGAAGTCAGGAGGTGGAGAAATGCACTATTTCTTTGTTAATTTTGGAGTAGTTTAATGCTGACCAATCAGAATCCTATAATTAACTCTGGACAACACTAGGAATCTTAAGATCAATATTATTTTTTCATTTCAATTGTCATGTAACTCTCAGCACAATGTCACATAGTTTTATTTGGAATGAATCTTCACAAGTTCAACAGTTGAAGGCAAATTCATGATTAGGCCTCTCAGCTTTCAGAAGGCTTTGCTGAACTCAACAGTTCTGAGACCAAAATTTGGACTGATTTTGCGTGCCACTAGAGTAACTGGCTTTTAAAAATGTATACAATTCAGTACAATAAATCAATTTACCAGAAATTGGATCAATTTGACAGATTTCTTAATTAAATTGACATGTAGTATGTGTGTCACCCCTCATCCCAAAAGGAAAGATGAGTTCAGGTGACAAGGGAGCTAAAATTTCTATTAAAATGATAAATAAAACTAGTTTCCAATAAGACCATTCAGAAACTAAGAACAGATTAAAAGTCAAACTATGACTACATTGAAAAATATCACAATTTATTGCCTATTTTCGTGGAGAAAAGACAAGAGAAGAAATGGACTTACATTCTAATAAAATAAATTTAAATCACACCAAAACCAAATCTTCCAATTCTTGAGAGTTAGGTAATAATGAAATGCATTAGACAGAGTGAGATAGTAGAAAATGTTTTTTTTCTCCTGATATTATTTCCTATCCATCAGAATTTAGAAATGAGGGCAATTAGTTTTTGTATCATTCCCCTATGAAAAAAGAAACATTATAATGGTTCTCAATTTTCCTCTGAAACAAGTCCAATCCTATAGCATTGATGCCACCTAACCCATTCGAACATCCCTCCCTATACCCCCTCCACTCTTTCTCTGCCACAGACACTGCATCTATTCCTATCCACTGCAGCTTTAGCTTAGATGGCCCTTTCTTCTTTTCTCTATTTATGCAAATCTCATCATGTTTTAGTAACTCTACCTACTAACATTATATAGAATATATCATATAAACCAATGCTTCTTCCTCCAGTTAGACAGTGCAGTTGAACATATTTCCTCTATCTGAATCCTATCAGTATTTATATTTCCATTTAAAATCCCACCTCTTTCTTGAAACTTTTTCTAAAAACTTAAGCAACAATGACCTCTCCTCCCTGACAGTCTCATAATACCATGCATACTGTAGCATATACTCGACATACAAATTTCATGTTAGAATTTTATTATTTCACTAACTAGTACCATCTTCTAGTTATTTTGAGTACATGAGACTTGTCACCCTAATAGGAGTACAGTGTCATCAAGGGCAAGAACAAATCACACTTTTCTTTTGTGTCATGCAAAAACCCCAGTAAGTACTTGGCAGAAGAGTGTAATGATTTAGAGTAAAGCACAGAGATTTGATCAGATACTATTCTAATCATTTATCACTTACCAGATAGTTTACGTGGTATAAGTTGTTAAATCTCATCTGTAAAAGAGACAGAGTACTTTCTAACCTCATTTATTTGTTGAGGGAATTGAATAAAATAATTCCTGGAAATTTCTAAGTTTAATGTAGTATGGTAAATAGTAGAAAGCTATTATTATTTTGTCATAGCCTGTCTTACATTATAACTTACATTTATATTATAAATATTTGTATTCTAATTTGAAAACCGAGGACTCAACCTGAAGGCTATTTTATTTTTTAAATAAAATACTATAAGCCCTTTTATTCCATGTTTTTAAAAAAATACCACTTGAGTGGTTATTGCCTATAAGCCACCTCATTTCTTCATGTAACTGCTGTTTTTCCTTTTATCTAAGGGGTCTAATCACCCTGGTTTGTCTAGAGTAGTGGGAGATGTCAACATAATAAACAAGTTTGATCTAACTGTATATAACAACTAGAGAATACATACATATTTTCTCAAGAAAATCTGAAGCATTTACAATACTTGATTATTAATAAGATTATAAAGCAACACTCAAAAAAATTTGCAGAATTATTATCAGACTAATCAATATTCTGACCACAATTTTATTAAGTCAATAAATTTTAAAACACTATATATTTGGAAATTAAAAGACAAACAGGCACTTCATTAAATAACTCAGGAGTCAAAGAAGAAATAATGGTGGAAACATAAATTATAATAAATTATAATTAAATTTTATTACTAAAAGGTAATAATAAGAATATGAAAAGTTGTGCCAGATAGTAAAAACAGTATTTACAGGAAAATTTAGAGTTTTAAAATTCTTACTTTGGAAAAGAGAAAAAACTAAAAATTGCTAGGTATCCAATTTTAAAAGTTATAAGGTATAACAACATAAATTCAGACAAATTAAAAAGAGGTACAAATAAAATTAAGGGTGCTAATCTATGAATATTTAAAAAATCCTAGAAAAAATCAATCAAAACAAAAATTTTAAATGCTAATAAAGTAGAAAAAAATGTTAGCTAGATTGTTCAAGGGGAGAAAAGATTTTTATAAATGAATAAAGTAGGCCGGGCACGGTGGCTCATGCCTGTAATCCCAGCACTTTGGGAGGTCAAGGAGGGAAGATCACGAGGTCAGGAGTTTGAGACCAGCCTGTTCAATATGGTGAAACCCTGTCTCTATTAAAAATACAAAAATTAGCCGGGTGTGGTGGTGTGTGCCAGTAGTCCCAGCTACTCGGGAGGCTGAGGCAGAAGAATCACTTGAACTCGGGAGGTGGAGGTTGCAGTGAGTGAGCCGAGATTGCACCAGTGCACTCCAGCCTGGGCGATAGAGTGAGACTCCATCCCAAAAAAAAAAAAAAAAAAAAGAATAAACTATATTAGAACTGAATTGGTGCCAATAAGACAGGAATTGCAAAGATAATAATCCATAAGAAAAAATTGTGATATGCTTTTGCCAGCAAATTTGAACCTTGGATGAAATGGACAAAGACTTAAACGTATATAATGTAAAAAAGACTTAGAAAGAATGAGAAAGCCTCAAAAGTCCTGTAACTATTAAAGAAGTCAAAACAGATGTTTAAAAGCCTCACACAATAAAAATACAGACAGTTGTATAAATTAATTCTACCACATTTTAAGGTAGATACTGTCTTTCATAATGTTATGTTGCTCTTTCAGAAAATAGAAAAAGGGGGAATGCTTCCCAATCCATAAATGATATTCGTATAACCTAACTATCAAGTACACTGCATGAGAAATGCAATTTACCCCCAACCCTACTTACGATGTAGATAGTTTATATGAGTGAAATCTTTATCTCATAGTGGGTCATCACTGGACACTGTAGTACTTTAAAATCAAGAAAGAGAAGAATAACCATGTTATTTAAAATTATGGATATAACCAATAAAACTAACAACAGACACAAAAATGTACCCTCTGGGGAGTAAGAAGAGAGTTGGTGCGCGGGAGAACTTCCTGAGCACATTTGAACTGTTTGACCTACAACCGAATGCTAAAATGCGTATTTTATCAAAAACAAAAGAGAATGTGTGGTTAAGAAATAAAGATTGCAATGGGAATATCATATTTTCAAGAAGAGAAACAAGTCAAGGAGTGTCTGAAAGTTTAGATCTTGTGTTCTTCCTCCATTATGAAGCTTCCTGTTTCATGGTTGTCTGGGACAGGCCTGAACATGGAGCTAGAACTCATATACAAGCATTACGTCAGTCAGGGTTCAGATTTTTAGATCTTTCATCCATTTTTAAAAATAGAGATCCAAGGCATTGCCATAAAATAAGTTGTCTCTCCACTTTGTTTTGCGTTTCTTGAATCACTCCAATTATTTGGATAAAGGTACACTTTTCTTTCATTCGCTATTATCAATAGCCTAATAACATGGTAGACACCCAGTAAATATAACTTTTTGTCTCTCTGTTTGTGCTCTCTAACGCACTTGTTGCTTTTCAGTGGAAGAATTGAGTAGGTAGATAGGATCAAACTGAATTTTGTAGACTATAATTGAGCACTGTCATTTCCTTAAAATACATATTTTTTTATTACTACAGCCCATGACTGGTATTTGCATTCCAGAGTTTTCCTTAATATATAATAAATACTCCATTCTGTTTATATATTCTTAATGAACTAGTATGTTGGAATTATTTCATTGTATAAGATATAATAAAGCATATTAAATCATTTTTGTGGATGCCAGGGTTAAGGAGCACACAAATAGTTATAACCTACCAAGGATCAAAATTACTCAAATTAGTACAATTAGAGAAAACAACATATAGGAGCTCTGAGTTCTTGAATACCTTTGTTCTGTTGCTATTATTGTATGCAATGACAAAAAGAAATCCCTCTTGTGATTCTCACGTTAATAAAACATTACAGACAGCGCTCAATGTCTTTAATTATGTCTATTTCTGAAAATATTGTTATTATTGCTATTTTCCTAGCTATAGACAGCTTTTTCCCAGCTCTTACAGCTAACACAGTTTCTATTTTGCAGGGAATGAGGTAAGTTCAGATGAGTTCTGGGGAAGAAATGATCCCCAAAAATATTTTGTAACATTAGAAAGGTAACTTCCTTGCCCATTAATCTTTAAGGTGCAAAGTCGTGTTAATTTCCTTTAGTTGCCTGAAACAAATTAAAAATAAATGCACCCAAGTAGGCTCAGCCAATGAAGAAAAAAAGCATCATATATTCAAGTATAATACTGCAGTTCAAAATGAAGCAGTGAATTTTGGAGCCAATATCCTTTGGGTCAGATGAATGAGACCTGAAGATCAAGTGATACTCTCCTTTTTTGCTAAACTTTTGTTACTGCAGAATGTTGAGGTGGGATCTTAAACTATTTTCTGTATTTTGTGACTGCTGTATAGCATTCTAGAGCCTCTTATGTAAAGAAAATTCATGAAAATAAAATATGGAGTAAGAAGTGGAGACACTGAACTGCCCCATCTAAGATTATTTGGACCGGCAGCCAGAGAAGAGGCTATACAATGTCTACAGTTCATTACAGGTTTATGAGTCAAAGGATCAAGATGTAAGGACAAAATTCATATGCCTTCAATTACTGAGGTGGTAGCTAATATGCGAACAAGAAATCCAGACACTTGGCTGAATATTTCTCATTTTATCAGGGTTTCCGAAATCATTCAGATGTTGAAATTTTATTCCACTTTCCAAAAATGATAAGTGTGTGCACCTGCTTAAAAAGTTCACTTAAAAGAAATTTGATGAAAGATTTGATGGTTTGATCATATCATATTTCCTCCAGCCTGTGGACATTTGGCAATGCACAGTAAAGTAGGGTCTTCACAGAGCACGAGTCAAGCATCTATACCATTTTTTCATCACCATCTAAAGTCTGAGCCTATTGAACAATAGATATTTATACTAAACTTGTGAGAAAAAGATGAACTCAGTAGTCCATAACCTATAAGTTATTGTGGGGTAGGGAAATAATGACTCTGAGAAATAAAAAAGAAAAGGAAACATACTCCCCAGAGGCATTAGCTCTATTCTTGGTTACCTTCTGTGTCATATGTCATAATTTATAACATGGGATATCTCTGCTTACACAGAGCTATTTCAATAAAGTTGTTGAAATTCAGATAGTAAACCTCACTACACTACCTTATGGAATTTTTATATTTATGCATTCCTCCACACAGGAGCTTTCTCTGTGGATGGGATGAATGCTGCCCATTTGCGAAGTCCCAAATTGGTCTTCTTGTGACAAAGCCTATTATGCTATCACTACATTTCCATGTCTTTGAGTCCTGAAAACTTTCTGTATTCAGAAGTTCCCTATTATATTTGCACCCACAACTCCTCAAGTCTGTGTTTCTAAAATTGCAGTAGATGTACCACCTGGCACATGCAGAATTATGTCAAGGGAATGAGAAACTATATAGTAAATATGACATCTCCTCCTGGAAAATAAATTTTACTTGAAAATTTTGAGGCAGACAGTTAAGTAATTTGAATGATAATTTAAACATGTTTTATATTTAAAAATATATAGTTATATTGTGGAATTGAATGCTAAATGTGTATGAATTGTTAGACTAAAACCAAAAACTTCAAAGAATTTCAAGGACACAGGTTTTGCATTAGTGAATCAATAAGGATTTTGTGTATGTTCATTACAAATGGCAATGTGTGTCCAACGTGGTTTAAACACAAAACGAACAAATTTGCTTATATAAATGAAAAGCCCGTGGGCGGGACTGGCTTTAAGGTATAGCTTGTCTGGACGTTTTTCTTAATCTCATTTTACAATCTTCTCTCCTCCATATTGACTTCATTATTATAAACAAAAGATAGGCGCCAGAGAGCTCTGCTTCAAAATTCAGAGAAAAAAGCAAGAATCATTTTTCCTACAAGTCCCGGGGTAAAAAAAAATGCTTTAAGTCTCACTGGATCCAGTTGTGTCACTGAATTAGTCACTGCGGCTAGCCAAATAATATTCTGATTGGCCAACCTCATGCCCACAGTAGAACTTCAACAAAAGTTTACAAATTGAGAGTGGAAGAATATTCCTCGACCCACAGATAAATTATTGCGTATTTTCCAGAATAAAGGTGAACAGTGCCAGGTGGCATGCTTCACACATGCATGTGCACACATGTACACACACACATGAACACTCATACATGCACACACATGCACACACAGAGCTGTCCACCTGAGACCACTTACTGCATCCCATAAACACCCAGCCCTTCCCAGATTGAGTTCTGTTTATCAGCGTTACATAGATGGAAAAATCTAAGAAGCACGTTTTTAACTTTTCCACTAAAACTTAAAAGCTGGTAGAACCTAGCCAGGCTCCCTGGCAATAGGATAGAAGTAGCTACATGAGAGGCTTCAGGAATGGGCACTGATAACAAGCATAGAAGAGATGCTGATCTATATTCCCTCCCAATTCTTGATTTTGTTTCATGCCTTTCCCACCTGATGAGTTCCTGATTGGAGGAAACCTAGCTGACTTAGTCAGAATAGGCAAAACTGGAGAAATGTTCACAGGACAAGAGGCTTTTCGAACCCATCTTCAAGGTTGGCCAAGACAGTTGCAAACAGTATAATGAACCATAGTAATGACACTGCAGAGACCAATAAAATCCAAGATGATCAATGCTGAGCTCAGAAAGCATCTGATCCTCTGGGTAAACCACACAACTGGGAAATTCCTTGACAATGGGATGAACTTTGTGTCTCTTAAAACTTCAAAAGCATTAAATGCTGTTCCACATGCTATAGCGCTGCACTGTATATTCCCGAGTTTGTTTTTCCCAAAGAGCAGAAATCCTGCTTGGCCTCAAGGGATTATATTGAGAATATATTTTTTGCAATTCATTTGCTAATTTATACTTGTTAAAATTGATTAAGAAATACTCTAGGCTATTGGCATCATTTGGTCAGCAGCTAATTGAGCACAATAGATGTTAGAGAAAAGGCTAACTGCTGGGGTTCCTGGAAAGGGAAAGGAACCCCTGAAAAATTCTGGCCACTAAAAATCTTTGCCACTTTCTCTGCCACTTTCTTTGCCCTGCACAATTAAAGGAAATTTTTTCACTTGATAATTCATTGAAGAGACATTGAGTATCACTTTTGTTTCTTTCCATCTTCTGTAGGCTGAGTGGTATTTCCAGCAATATATTCATTTTATGACAAACATTTTTTTTCTATGTATATGACTTGCCATGTATCTAATTATTGGTGTGAGCATCAATTTTAAAGGTTAGCTGAACTCTTAAATGTTATTTTTTCTTGTAGTTTAATTTTCTTATTTAAACCACTTTAGCTTCAGCTTGTGAAGAAAAAGTCCATAATACTTTAGATCATGATGGCATTCTAAAAACACTTGTACACCTCAACTTCATCCCAAATACTGTATAACCAAAATTATATATTTGTAAGTATAAATTTATAGCAGAGCTGGGTCTCTATTTAAGAGGCTGAGAATGTTAGAATAAGGGGAAAATGCAATGATGCTATATAAATACAAACACATGTGCACATGCACATACAAAGACACACACAAATTTTAATTATAAGCTATTTGCAAAAGGCACACCCAAGAACATAACACCAAAAATTGGAAAATAAAGATGTATTAAATAAGGAAGGCAAGTCTAACATAGTATTTTCTGACAGATAAAATTTGAAGCGACAAGCATCAAACAGGATTAAGATGAATATTTCATATCGCCAAATTGTATCACTGATTATAAAGACATAACAGTTGTAAACCTTTATGTACCTTACAGCAGAGCTTAGAAATACATAAAAGTAAAGCAAAATTACATAAAAGAGTAATAGAAAAACCTACAATAATAGTTAAATATTTTATTACACCTCTTCCAAAACTCAACAAATCAAATAAGGATGTCAATAACTTGAATTATATAATTAATAATGTTATCCATTTTGATATAGGAGAATACAACAAGTATGCAATTATGTTGATGTTCTAAGTTAAAAATTTTAGTGTGTGAAAACAAAGTATAAAGATAAACTCATAGAAAATAGTAAAAAACTATAATGGTAACTTTGAATTGAAAGTAGTATGAAATTGTGACTATTTTCTTTAAACATATGCATTTTCTAGTACTGTCCACTGATGAGGTCTAAAAGCAACAGTAACTCAGTAGCAATGACAGCTCCTATATGAAGACGGTACTCCATAAATACCAAAGTTCTTTAGAGAAGTAGCTGGATACATGCCTGAAGCATAAAATCTAGATTTTCCTGAGACATCTTGTTCCAGAAAACAAGAACACTATCCCACACTAATGGAGTTGTGTCCAAATGACACAAGAACCAACATGGAGGAAGACAGGATACATATTACCAAGAAGATGAAGTCTAATTACTGAAATCTATTGACTGGAAAACTCATGCATTTGAAAGAAAGCACTAATTTATAATTATACTTAATAAGATAAAGTTAAAATCATACAAACACAAATATTGAACATCATTGGAAATAACTATCACAACAGAAGAAATCTAGCAAATAAATGTGGAAGAAAAGATTAAATTTTTAAAACTATCATATTTCAACCCCTAAACACATAATTGACTTAGATAGTGGTCCTCAATAGATAAAACATGAAATAAAACTCGATGGAAAACTTAGCAATGGAAGGATCAGTCTTTCACCACCTAAAACCATTGATCAATTTTAACATCTATAAAGTGGAACAACCACACATTACATACCTTCTGAAGTTATCCAATATAAAATATATGGATCTATCTATGAAATATTCTTGCCCCAAAAAAGTTAAACATGAATCAAATCAAGCTTTTAAGAGTGAATTTCCAATTTATAGAAAATATAGAATATAAAAGAAGATGTTATATGGCATTATGTGGAAGAAATAAGCAAATCCAGAATATTGGACATTTTATATAACAGCTGAGCTTGTTTCTTGAACAAGTTCAATGGCATATTAAAGCAGGGGGTAGGAGAAGATAGACTAGGTTAGAGTAAATAAACTTAGAATACACAACAACTCAATGCAATATGTGGACTTGGAGATCCTAATTAAAATATGTTAATTATAAAAAGGAATTTCTTGAGACAATTGAAGAATTTGACTTGTACCAGGTATTGGGTAAAACAAAAGATTATTGTTGATTTTGTTAAGTGAGAACATGTCATTGTGGTTGTATAAAAAAATCTTTAGAGATATCCCTGAAGTATGTGGGAGTTAAATGAAATGATATATATTATTTGCTTTTAAAAATTCAGCAAAAATAAAATAAAATAAAATAGAAAGAATTAAGGAAATTAAAAAGAAAGAAACAAAACAAGCTTGTTAAAATCTTTATCCAGACTCTTGACTCTAGGTGATGAGTATACATAGTTCATTTTACTAATCTTTTTTGTGTATGACTGAACATGTTCATAATAACATATTGAAAAGAGTGAAGCTTCTCAGATCTAGCAATCATCTTGTGAAAGGTGGCAGTAATAGTCATATGGCTGTATTAGGAAGTCTAGTGTCCAAGAAAATTGGTTGGGACTTGATGCATCTGCTTTTTCTCTATGTAGCCACTTTCCTTCTAATTAGTTAATTCATGATTGGCTAAATATTTTGGAAATGTAATACAATATATGTGGGGAAGGGATCATGTCTTTAATACAATGTATAGTTCATCTAAAATACTGCATAAGAGTAACAAAAGCATTCTACCTGCCATAACTGATTAAATCTGGATGAAATTAAGGTTTTAGATTCTTGACATCAAGAAAGAGCAAAAATAAAGTACTCAATTATGAAACTCAATAATCTAATTTTTAATCAATAAATTAACTCAGAAAAGAAAATATAAATTTTTGCTGGCTTGATCCAAAAATAAATGAAGAGAGAATATAACAGGCAGCATTAAAAAAAAAATGGGACCTAGAGGACACAAAAGAAATGTTCAATTATAAGAAATACTATAAATAGGTAGAAAATTTGAAAGGTTAAAAAAAGTCAGCAATCAAATATTACAAAATTGACATTAGAAGAAATAGAAAGCTAGATTTGCAAAAATATTAAAAAAAGCTACATTTTTTTCAGTCTTTTCAAAAATAAGTTATTATTTTTCATAAATGTATATGTGTTAAAATATAATGCTGTTTTTCTTATTTTTAAATGTAACAATAAACTTTTTCATGTTTTTTAAATTTCTAATAGAGTATCAACAAATAAATATCTATCAATAAATATCTAACTCACATAAATAAAATCATGTTGAGTGTAAAGGGATCGTATGACCAGAAAGTTTGAGAACCACTGGTCTAAACATTCAAATTAAAAGGAAGAGATTGTCAGACTGGATAAAAAAGCAAAACTCAACTCTACCCTGCCTATATGAGATACTTTTAAATACAATGACCTAAATAAGTTAATAATAAAACTATTTTTAAAAGCTATACGTTAAGCATAAATTTAAAAAAAGCTAGAATAGCTATGTCTGTATCAGAAAAAAATAGATTTTAGAACAAGGATTAGTATCACATTTAAAGAGAACATTTTATAATGATAAAAGAGTTGTTTCATCAAGAAGACATTTACAATAATACTAAATGTGTTCATGATGGCAGCAGCAGTCCATCTGGAGTGGCCGTTTGCATGATGCTGGCTGTAGTGGGGGAGGAGCTGTTGGGGCTGTGTGCTCCAGGGAGACGGTGGGAGCTGGGAACAGGCAGAAGTCCCACCCACTTCCAAGTTGGAGGGGCGGGAGCCCCACTGTTCTGGGCACAGCTGCACATGCCCACCCACAGCTCCGGACCTGGAATTTCTGCACTCTCCCAGGCCTGGGAAGTCCCTCTTCCCCCACAGGCTTGGAAATGCATGCTCCCACTGCCTGGCCTCTCCCACTCCTGGCACCTGCTCCAATTTCAGAGCGAAGCTGTGGCTGAGCCTGGGCACTGTCACTACCTGGCCTGCTGTGTGAGTGATTGGGGCAGTGCTGACATGCCAGCTCCCTGCTGCCTTAGTCCCCTGCATACCCACAAGCATGAGACAGAGGCTGAAGAGGGGCTAAGGGTGGCTCACCACGGACCTGCAGACACCCTTCGGCATCAGCAGCCTGGGTGCCATGGGCACCACGGATAGCAGCTTAATGGCAGCAGGAGGCAAATACACTCTGGGTGGAAAGGGGCAGATCCCCAGTGAAACCCCACCTTCAGGCCAGGAACAGCCTGAGGCCAGTGGGATGGGCTGCCAGTTGCCCAGACCAGAGTGATAACTTATGGTGCTTTTTCCAGCCCGCCCATGGCTGTCCATGGAACAATCAGCATGCACTTCCTCCCCTCTGAAACCAGTAACACCCCCCAACTCAGCCAGACTCAGGCAGACAATGGGATAACCTTCCTGCAGAGAGGAGCTTCCCACTGTGGGTCTCCTCTGAGCTGTTCTGTTGCTCAATAAATCACCTCTTCACCTTGCTCACCCTTCACTTGTCTGTGTACCTCATTCTTCCTGGACATGAGACAAGAACACAAGAACCCACCTAATGGTGGGGCTGAAAGAGCTGTAACACAAACAGGTCTGAAACATGCCTCCTGCTTGCCATGTTGCAGGTGACAAGAAGGACAGAAGAGCTGTAGCCCTTCAGGGAGCACAGATTTAGGAGGTCACTGAGCCAGAGCTGTGACACCCTCTTTGAGGCTCTGTGGTTTCTGGCTTCTCCAGGTTTCTGGGTGCCACTGCATTCCCAGTGCCAACCCTGGAAGCTGCTTGCAGTATGCCTTGTCCAGCCACAGCCTCGCAGGGAGCCGGTGCCTGTGCTAGCACCTGGAGCTGCCTTCTCCACAGCTGGCATGACTGGGTTTCTCAGTGGTCAGATCTCGTGCTCACTCACTCATACACCCCTCACCACTCCACACCTGGCTTGCACTTGGCAGTTGTGGGATACAGGCCAGTAGCATGAGCCAAACACAGTCTGCCAGGCTGAGTGGGCAGAACAAGCCCAGTGTGCCCAAGCAAAACTTGGGCAAAGGTGCCACCGGCCACAGAGGTTTCCAGCTGGGAAAATGACACCCTAAGGATCCTGTGACATTTGTATCTAATAATAAGCATCAAAATGTAAGAAGCAAAAACTGGTAGAATTGAAAAATAAAATAGACAAATCCAAACTATCCTTGGAGATTTCCACAGAAAATGCCCAGCAATTGCTAGAATTGTGAAGATCAGAAAAAAATCTAGACACTTGAAAACCTCATCAAACAATGTTGTCTAATGATATTTATAGAGCACTCTACCCAACAATAGAAAACCCACACCTTTCAAATGCACATAAAATATTCTGGGCCATAAAACGAGATTCAATAAATGTAAGGGGGTTACACTCATACAAAGGATGTTCTCTAAATGTAACAGAATTAACCTAGAAATGAGTAACAGCAAAATATATGAAAATTTCTTAAATATTTGAAATTATACAACAGGCTCCAAATAACCTATGCATTACAGAAGAAATCACAAGAGAAATAAAAAAAAATTGAACTAGGTTAAAATCATAATATCACATATCAAAACCTGGTAGATGTAACTGAATAGTTGTATTAGAAAAGAAAAAAAGGCTTTGTATTAATGATTTGAGGTTGTACCTTAAAAGAGCTAGTGAAACAAGAATAAATTAAACCCTAAGTAAGCAGAGGGAGTGAAATAATAAAGACAAGAACATAAATCCATGCAATAGAATAAATGCAACAAAGAAAAAGAGAAAAATCAGAAGACGGCTTATTGAAAAGATGAACAACACTGATACAACTCTAGTGAAACTATCAAGAAAAAAATTGGCAATTTCAGGAATTAAGGAGTGCATAAGTTCTTTTTCACACTGCTGATAAAGACATACCGAAGATAGGGAAGAAAAAGGTTTAATTGGACTTACAGTTCCACATGTCCGGGGAGGCCTCAGAATCATGGCAGGAGGTGAAAGACACTTCTTACATGGTGGCAAGAGAAAATAAGGGAGATACAAAAGTGGAAACCCCTGATAAAACCATCAGATCTCATGAGACTTATTCACCACTATGAGAATAGGAGGGGGGAACCCCCCATGATTCAAATTGTCTCCTACTAGGTCCCTCCCACAGCATGTGGGAATTATGGGAGTATAATTCAAGTTGAGATTTGGGTGGGGACAGAGAGCCAAACCATATCATTCCACCACTGGCCCCTCCAAATCTCATGTACTCATATTTCAAAACCAATCATGCCTTCCCAACAGTCCCCCAAAGTTTTAACTTCTTTCAGCATTAACCCAAAAGTCCATAGTCCAAAGTCTCATCTGAGACAAGGCAAGTCCCTTTTGCCTATGAGCCCGTAAAATCAAAAGAAACCTAGTTACTTGCTAGATACAGTGGGGGTACAGGTATTGAGTAAATACAGCCATTCCAAATGGGAGAAATGGGCCAAAACAAAGGGGTTACAGGCCCCATGCAAGTCCAAAATCCAGTGATGTAGTCAAATTTTAAATCTCCAAAATGATCTCCTTTGACTCCAGGTCTCACATCCGGGTCACACTAATGCAAGAGGTGGGTTCCTGTGGTCTTGGGCAGCTCTGTCCCTGTGGCTTTTCAGGGCACAGCCCCCCTCCTGGTTGCTTTCCTGGCCTGGCGTTGAGTGTCAGTGGCTTTTCCAGGCACACAGTGCAAGCTGCAGGTGGATCTTTCATTCTGAATGTTGGAGGACAGTGGCCCTCTTCTCACAGCTCCACTAGGCAGTGCCCCATTTGGGACTCTGTGTGGGGACTCCAACCTCACATTTCCCTTCTGCACTGCCCTAGCAGAGGTTCTCCATGAGAGCCCTGTCACTGCAGAAAACTTCTGCCTGGGCATCCAGGCATTTCCATACATCTTCTAAAATCTAGGTGGAGGTTCCCAAACCCCAATTCCTGACTTCTGTGAATTGTTAGGTGCAACACCACATGGAAGCTGCCAAGGCTTGAGACTTGCACCCTCTGAAGCCATGGTCCGAGCTCTACATTGCCCCTTTTCAACCACAGCTGGAGTGGCTGCAACACAGGGCACCAAGTCCCTAGGCTGCATGCAGCAAGGGACTCTGGGCCCAGCTCACAAAACCACTTTATTCTCCTAGGCCTCTGGGCCTGTGATGGGAGGAGCTGCTGTAAAGGTCTCTGTCATGCTCTGGAGACATTTTTGCCAGTGTTGTGAGGATTAACATTCGGCTCCTCATTACTTATGCAAATTTCTACAGCCAGCTTGAATTTCTCTTCAGTAAATGTGATTTTCTTTTCTATTGCATTGTCTGGTTGCAAATTTTCCAAACTTTTATGCTCTGCTATCCTTATAAAACTGAATGCCTTTAATAGCACCCAAATCATCTCTTGAATGCTTTGCTGCTTAGAAATTTCTTCTGCCAGTTACCCTAAATCATCTCTCTCAAGTTCAAAATTCCACAAATCTCTAGGGCAGGGGCAAAATGCCGCCAGTCTCTTTGCTAAAACATAACAAGAGCCACCTTTATTCCAGTACACAACAAGTTTTTCATTTACATCTGAAACCACCCAGGCCTGTACTTTATTGTCCATATTACTATCAGAATTTTGGGCAAAGCTATTCAACAAATCTCTCTGGGAAGTTCCAAACCTTCCCACATTTTCCTATCTTCTTCTGAGCCCTCCAAACTGTTCCAACACCTGCTTGTTACCTAGTTCCAGAGTTGCTTCCACATTTTCGGGTATCTGTTCAGCAGTACCCCACTTCTGGTATCAATTTACTGTATTAGTTCATTTTCACACGCTGATAAAGACATCCTAAGGCTGGGAAGAAAAAGAGGTTTAATTGGACTTACAGTTCTACATGGCTGGGGAGGCCTTAAAATCATGACGGGATGTGAAAGGCACTAGTTACATGGCAGTGGCAAGAGAAATGAGGGAGATGCAAAAGTGGAAACCCCTGATAAAATCATCAAATCTCGTGAGGCTTGTTCACTACCACGAGAATAGTGTGTAGGAAACCACCCCCATGATTCAAATTATCTCCCACCAGGTCCCTCCCACAACACATGGGATTTATAGGAGTACAATTCAAGATGAGATTTGGGTGGGGACACAGAGCCAAACCATATGAAGGAGGCAATAATATCACAGATTAATCATATATTAAACAGATAATAAGGAAATATTAAAAATAACTATATAGCAATAAATTTGGCCACTTGAATGAAGTGGACAATTTTTTATAGAAATAAGTTAAAGAAGCTGACTTGAGCAGTAATACATAATTAGTATAGCCTTCTATCTTTTAAAGACATCGAATTTGCAGCTAAAATCTTTTCTACAGTGAAAATGTCACACTCAGAAGACTTCAGTACTGAAGTCTACTAAATATTCAGGGATGGAATAATATCAATTCTAAACCAATACCTCTAAAAAATAGAAAAGGAGCCATATTCTAACATTATACAAAACCAGACAAAAGACTTTTAAAAAAGAAACAACTATAGATTCTTACATTCATAACATATATGCAAATACCTTTAACAAAAATTTTTAAACTTCCATTCAGCTAAATAAATATATAAAGGAGACATATTATAAAATGATACAAAACCAGACAAAAGATTTTTTTGTAGGCAACAATTAGTCTAGTGGTGATTTAATTTTTTTTTATTTCTATACATTTTGGGGGAACAGGTGATATTTGCATACATAAGTTCTTTAGAGGTGATTTCTGAGATTTTGGTGCACCCATCACCCTAGCAGTATACACTGTACCTAATTTGTAATCTTTTATCCTTCATCCCCTCCCACCCTTTCCCCCTAAGTCCTCAAAGTCCATTTTATCATTCCTATGCCTTTGCATCCTCATATATTAGATCCCACTTATGAGTGAGAACATACAATGTTTGGTTTTCCATTCCTGAGTTACTTCACTTAGAATAATGGTCTCCAATTCCATCCATGTCACTGCTAATGCCATTATTTTGATCCTTTTTATGGCTAAGTAGTATTCCATGGTGTGTATATATATATATATATATATACATACAAGATATATATATATCTCACAATTTCATTATCCACTCATTGATTGAAGGGCATTTCAGCTGGTTCCATATTTTTGCAATTGCTGCTATAAACATGCATGTGCAAGTATCTTTTTCGTATAACAACTCTTTTCTTCTGGGTATATACCCAGTAGTAGGATTCCTGGATCAAATGGTAGTTCTATTTGTATTTCCTTAAGGAATCTCCATACTGTTTTTCATGGCAGTTTTACTAGTTTACATTCCCACCAGCAGTGTAAAAGTTTTCCTTTTTCACCACATCCCCATCAACATCTATTTTTTTTAATTTTTTGATTATGGCCATTCTTGCAAGAGCAAGGTTGTATCATACTGTGGTTTTGATTTGCATTTCCCTGATGATTAGTAATGTTGAGCATTTTTTCATATGTTTGTTGGCCATTTGTATATCTTCTTTTGAGAATTGTGTATTCATGTCCTTAGCCCACTTTTTGATGGAACTGTATCGTTTCTTCTTGCTAATTTGTTTGAGTTCCTTGTAGATTCCGGATGTTAGTCCTTTGTCAGATGCACAAAATGTGAAGATTTTCTCCCACTCTGTGGGTTATCTGTTTTCTCTGCTGATTGTTTCTTTTGTTGTGCAGAAGCTTTTTAGTTTAACTAAGTCTCATTTATTTTTATATTTGTCTTTGTTGCATTTGCTTTCGGGTTATTGGTCATGAAGTCTTTGCGTAAGTCAGTGTCTAGAAGTGTTTTTCTGATGTTATCTTCTAGTATGTTTATGGTTCAGGTCTCAGATTTAAGTCCTGGATTCATCTTGAGTTGATTTTTGTATAACGTGAGAGATGAGTATCCAGTTTCCTTCCTCTACATGTGACTTGCCAATTATCCCAGCACCATTTGTTGAATAGAGTGTAATTTTCCTACTTTATGTTTTTGTTTGCTTTGTGGAAGATTAGTTGGCTGTAAGTATTTGCCTTTATTTGTGGGTTCTCTATTCTGTTCCATCGGTCTATGTGCCTATTTTTATACGAGTACCATGCTGTCTTGGTGATTATGGTCTTATAGTATAGTTTGAAGTCAGGTAATGTGATGCCTCTAGATTTTTTCTTTTTGCATGGTCTTGCTTTCACTATGTGGGCTCCTTTTTGGTTCCATATGAATCTTAGGATTTTTTTTTTTTAGTTCTGTGATGAATGATGGTGGTATTTTGATGGGAACTGCATTAAATTTGTAGATTGCTTTTGGCAGTATGGTCATTTTCACAATATTTATTCTACCCATCAATGAGCATAGGATGTGTTTCAGTTTGTTTGTGTCATCTATGATTTCATTCAGCAGTAATAGATTGCAGTTTTCCTTGTAGAGGTCTTTCACCTCCTTGGTTAGGTATATTCCTAAATATTTTATTTTTTTCACCTATTATAAAAGAGTTTGAGTTCTTTATTTGATTATCAGCTTGGTTGCTGTTGATGTATAGCAGAGCTGCTAATTTATGCACATTGATTTTCTATCTTGAAACTTTGCTGCATTTATCAGTTCTAGGAACTTTTTGGAGGAGTCTTTAGGGTTTCTAGGTATACAATCATATCAGCAAACAGCTACAGTTAGACTTCTCTTTACTGGTTTGGATGTCCTTTATTTCTTTATCTTGTCTGATTGCTCTGGCTAGAACTTCCAGTACTATGTTGAATAGAACTGGTGAAAGTGGACATCCTTGTCTTGTTCTAGTTCTCAGGGGGAGTGCTTTCAATTTTTCCCCATTCAGTATTATGTTGGGTTTGTCATAGGTGGCTTTTACTACATTAAGGTAAGTCCCTTCTATGCTGATTTTACTGAGGGCAAAACCAGACAAAAGACTTTTAAATAAGAAACAACTATAGGCTCCTGTACTCATAATATATATGCAAATATTGTCAACAAAAAATTTAAAAATTCCACCTAGTTAAATAAATATATAAAGTATAAAATATCATGATCTTTTTTGGTTTATCCAATTAATGCAAAGTTGGTTTCACATCTAAAAATTAATGTAATTCACTATATGAATATATTAAAACAAAATAAAACAAATCATACAATCCTCTCAATTAGTGCATAAAAAGCATTTAACAAAATTTGATACCCGCTCATGGTAGAAATTCTCAGCAAACCAGGAATAGAAAGGAATTTCCTCAAGCTGACAAAGAATATTTACAAAAATCCTACTACCAACAACAAATTTAATGGTGAAAAATTTAAGGCTTTCCCACTAAGACTAAGATCAAGGCAAGAATATCTCTCACCACCACTGATTTTAAACCAGGTGAAAATATTTTCTAATTTCTCTTGTGGTTTCTTCTTCTTTTTTTTTTTTTTTTGAGACAGAGTCTCTCTCTGTCACCCAGGCTGGAGCGCAATGGCACAATCTTGGCTCACTGCATCCTCCGCCTCCTGGGTTCAAACGATACTTGTGCCTCAGCCTCCCAATTAGCTGAGATTACAGGCTTCTGCCACCACACCCAGCTAATTTTTGTATTTTTAGTAGAGACGGTGTATCACCATGTTGGTCAGGCTGCTCTTGAACTCCTGACCTCAGGTGATCCACCTGTCTTGGCCTCCCAAAGTTCTGGGATTACAGGCATGAGCCACCGTGCCCAATCTTGTGGTTTCTTCCTTAACCATTATACTGGAGGCCCTAAAAAGTATGACAAGGCAAGATAAATAAATAAAATAAATAAAAGACATAGAGATTGGACTGTTTTTATTTTCATACGACATAGTCCTCTATCTAGAAAAATCCTAAGTAACCCTCGAAAAAGCTAGTAGCATGAATTAATTGAAAAGGTGGATGGATAAAGGATCACTATTACAAAAATCATCTCTATTTGCATGGGCTGGTATCAGACAACTGGAAATCAAAATTAAAATACCATTCAAAACAGCATTTAAAGACATGAAATACTTGGGGCAAATTTAACAACAGATACTCAAGAGTTGTACTGAAAACTACATATGATTGCTTCAAAAAATTAAAGAGCTAGCTCAATGGGGAGAAATGGTATATGCATAGATTAGAAGACTCAATATTGTCAAAACCCCCAAATTCATATTGAGATACAACAAAACCTTAACCAAAATCCCAGCAGACGTTTGGAATAAAATTTATAAATTAATTTTAAAATTTATGGAATTGCAAGAGAAGTAGAATATCAAGAAGGATTCTAAAGCAAAACAAAGTTGGATGATTTATACTACCTGATTTCAGGATTTAGAATAAAGCTACTGTTTTAAAGCAGTGTGGAGTTGGCAAAAGAATAAACATTGAATCAATGAAATAGAAACCAGAATTAGACACCCACAAAATCAATCGATTTTCTACAGTGTGCCAAGATAATTCAGGTAATCCAATGGGTATAAAATAATCATCTACATAAATTGTGCTAGAGAAGTTAGATTATACATGTGGAAAAAAAACCTCAACTCTTGCTCAACATCAAATCCATAAATTTTCTCAAAATAGATTATAAAACAAATTATAAGAGGCAAACTGTAAAATGTCTGAAAGCAAACATAGAGGCACTCTTTGTGACTTTGCGACACAAACTGTAAAAAATCAAAATGCTGTTAAATACTGATGAATTAAATTTTATCAAAATTAAAAATGTTCCTCAAAATAAATGTAAAATAAATTAAAAGGCAGCCACAGAATGGGAGAAAATGTTTGAAAACCATATATCTCATGAAGAACTTATAACCAGAACATATAAAATATTTGAAAATATATAGTGAATATTTATGAAGACAACCAATTGTTTAAAATGGGCTTAATAGTTAACAAATATTTCAACAAAGAAGATATATGAATAGCAAATAGGCACATGTCAAAAATGTTGAACCTTATGAATTAGAGAATTGTAAGTTAATACCACAATGAGATACCACTGCATTCCTACTGCAATAGCTAAAAATTTAATATACTGACGATATCAAGTGTTGGAAGGGATGCAGAACAACAGGAACTCTCATACGTTGCCAGTAGGAATGAGAAATGCTGCAGCCATTTTAGAAATCTATTTGGTAATTATTATAAAATTAAACCTACACTTATCATTCAATCTAGAAATTCCACTGCTAAGCATTTAAAGAATAAAAATAAAAACATATGTCCACAAACACTTGCCAAATGTCCATCAACTAATGAAGGAATATATAATTGTCATACTGTATATCCATACAAGGGAATACTCTCTAGCTATAACAAAATGAATTATGGATACATGCAATTATATGAATGAACATCAAAAGCATTATTCTAAGTGAAAAAAACAGATAAAAAAGACTACATATATTACACTATCATTTATATGACATTCTATGACAGTTACACTTGCTCCTCAAGCACATTTTCCTGTCTTGAGATGAAATGCACTTTTCCTCTTTACCTGGAAAATTCAACTTATTATTCAAAGTACATCCCTCCTCCAAAATATATCAATCATTTGTTTCTCATGAAACTTGTTGGAAGCTTCAGTTATAGAAATTACATTGTTTTTGAGGGTTTTTTTCCCCTCTGCATTCACTAGTTAATATGAATTTTTCAAAGACAGGGACCCTGTCTCCTTTGTATCTCTAGTGTTTGACAATGACTGATACATGATGGTAAAACCTCAATACATGTTGAACTGAATGTGTTTAGTTTTCTGTGTTTGAGATCCCCTCTGGCCAGCATTTCTACAATGAAAAACAATTGAACTACAATTAAGGCGTTTCTGTTTTAATTTATTAGTATTGTCTAAGTAAATAGAATATTACAGAGAACCAGAGAATGTCTTATCTTAAGGATGCTTACTAGAGTTTTGATATAAACAAATTTTATTTTTCCTATACAGGATGTGAAAATTGATCATACAAAGTGGGTCATTCTAATCATACCCAAGTAAAACAGAGTGGAAAAGCCAGGGATTGAAAGCAGTCAGGCAAATAACATTGCTCCAAGAATGTAATTCTCTGCCAGCCTGGCTGCTGAAACTGCCTGCTATAACTTGAAACTAGTTTTATTTCATGGCTTCTGAAACAACGTGCTACAATTCTAAGACTAGTTTTACCTACCATTCTCATTTACCAGTCAGAGCTTTCTAGCTCCCCAAAACTTTGCTAGTGATAATGAACTTTCTTGAAAAACAGTACGTAACATTTCTCCTTTTTATAAAACCTCCAACCTTCTCTTTGTTCTTTGGATGTACCAATCAGTCTGCATGTATGCCCCAAATTACAATTATTGTATCCTAAATAAGACGTTAAATTTAGAGATTTGTCTACATATTTTATTTGGCTTTGTCAAATAATATAGTTTTTAGTAAATTTTCCTCTTGGTCATTCGATAGAAAAAATCAACAGACTTTTCTTATTTCCCTTCCTTCCTTCCTTCCTTCCTTCCTTCCTTCTTTCCTTCTTTCTTTCCTTCCTTCCTTGCCAGTATCTGCAGCTGAAGGAAATGAGATCATATTTAAATAGGTACAGGAAAGATACAGAAATCTATTTAATGAACACCAAGATTCTGAGAGTTACTATGTGATGAGGTTTGTGATAGTTATATTTACACAAACACGTTTACCATTGATATTTAAGCAAAATACACTGAAAGGAAATGCTTATAGAAACATGGCATTTCATTTCCATTTTCAAGCAAATTCCAAATTCCAAACACTTCTTCAGAAAAAACCAACATGAATTCCCATTCATTTGTTAGATTTGATTGCTTTTGAGAAAATGGCTAAAGGTTTTTGTTTTGTTTTAGTTTGTTAAGATGTAAACATGTGTCTACTTATACAGGTATAATTAAGAGAAGTATGCATAATTAAAATGACTTTTATAGCTTAATAAAAGATACTTTAATTTAAGTGCCTTAAGATAGAAGTACGATAGAATATAAAGCTAATGACAACTTTTGAAATGACCAAGACCAAGAAAAAGAAAACAAAAAGAAATCATAGAAATATTTTACACACACACACACACAATCATCATCATCATCCTTTCAGAAGAAATTTATTTTAAAGGAAAACTTTTTAATATTGTGCACATTTAACGAAATTAAGTTTTCAGGATAAGAATAAGCAAGAAAATTTTAAAATATGGGCTCTCCACAAACTTTACTTTGCTAAAACTACTCTTCACACAACCCCTGTGTAGTATAGTCTTGGACCAGTCTCATGGGGAGAGTGGTGAGACCATTTTGAAAGGAAAAAGAGAGTAACACACCCCAATACTCACGGTCCAAAGCAATCAAAAATTCCTTTCACTGCTCCTACCTGCCCCAATTCCTCTCATGGGATGCCTCCTCTTGCCTCCTATGACCTCAGGAACCTCTCCAGGGAGTGCTCCAGAAGCCCCCAGCTCCAGCTTGTCAGTTCAGCATCGCTATCCTTTTGCCTGGCTTCTCCTTGCTCTCAAGGACCCACAGCTTCACATCGTTCTTCTCCCCCTGTCCCCACTCACATCTAGAATACCACTGAATTTTCTCTCTATGCTCCATAATGGGCCAGCTTTACCCATTCTACACAACTCAGTTCAAATTCCTGGAACCCAGTGTGGGAAAGTCTTGAAGGGCAGGAAGACCCGATCTGCAGCCTGTTTTATGTTACAAGAGCAAGTCTTTGCATTTCTCTAGCAAGTAGGAAGGGCCCTTCACCTACCTGATTTGCCTCAGCTTCCTCAGGAAAGAACGCAAAGGTACTAAGAATCAGCACATTGGAGTTCTAGATGTAGGCTGAGGAAGGTAAAACAAATGTCAAACATAACTGCAAGGAAAAGATCCAAAAGAGGAATAAATACTGGCAGAGAAGGTCACAGACATCCATGTAACTCCTAGAACATTCTCTTTCTCCACCTGAGCTTTCTGCAAAATAAAATATTCCTAGGTGTGAAAAAATGTCAAGGTAGCCAGAAGGGCCCTTGAGATGTTTTGGTTTTTAAGAGGTGTTAACTCCAAAAGCTTGAAGAAGCTTCAATTCCTGATGCTTCTGCATTTCCTGAGACCATTGGGTTAAAGGGAGGGGGAGGCTTTTCTATGGCACTGAGCTCAAGAAATATACTACATCCCAGAAAAGCAGCAGCTGGGACAAATGGTTAGAATTGACTCCAGTAAAAGTATAGTTAATGTTTGAATTCCTTTTTGTGCTGCCCCTGCTTATCAGGAGGCAGGATTTCAAGGCAAAAGTCGTATCTATAAATTAAGAAGATGAATTTTTCAGGAACATTTACTGTGCTGCATCTCTTGGGGCCTCACCTTGTGACATGGACAGTGCTCAGAGCAGTGAGGCCCTTTAATAGTCTCCATGCAAAACGTTTGCAGGAGGAAATTATCTCCACCACAAATTATGAAAATGCATAACCTGAGTCCTTCTATGGCCCAGGGGAGAGATAGAGTGACAAACTTACAATTCATCAAGTCCCCCCAAAATGTCATAAAGTGTGGGAATAAATAAGTTTATAGTACAAACAAAGTCACCCCAATACAATACAGAATATTAATTAGTGGCCATTAATCTGGTACCTCTTTGAACTCTTGGACAACCAGCCTCCCAAATGTACAGCTCTCTCTGCAAAATACAGCACTTAGAGTTAGAATCCTCATAAACGAGCATGAGAGTGACCCAAAAACTTCTTCTAAAATTTAGATGAGATAATACAGTGCCTGGCACATAGGAAATGCTAAATAAATTGTTTTTTTCTGTTAATACCTATTTCCCATCATCCTGACGTTTTCTTTTCACACATGCTGCCGTAAAGGTCCCCAAACTCAAATTTACACGACCTCAATCCCCCAAATTCCTGATTCCATCACATACCGTGTCAGAAAGACCCATCACTGGTTTATTAAAGATAATGACTTCTACACCACCCTTGACACTGTGGATATGGGAGATATGAATCAGCTACAGTTATATTTTAATAGAAATGGAGATGCAAAACACAGATGTAACAGATGTAATAGCAAGTCAAGGAATGTCTACCTCAGCAGCCATTAAATTACATATACCAAAAACTATAATAGTATAGCACCTATCCATCTAGGAAACATTCCTTTACTTGCTGTTTGAAAGTAATGATTTCTATAGTTGACTTGTGTACAATTACTTCTTCAGTGACTGCAGGTCTGCTTAAAGTCATTTAAGAGCTCAGAAATGTCCCATTGAAGTGACCATAAGGCAGAGATTGCAGTTAGAATATTGTAAAATTGCCTCTAGAATTCAAGTTAGCAACATTTAACAAATTTCTTTTATTTAACAAATTTCCTAGCACCCTGTGCTAGGACAATAAAGACCAATAAGACAGGACAGAGCTTGCATCCAAGGAGCTGTGAAAGACAAACAAGCCAATAACTTCAACACAATGTTAAATCGAGTGTTAGGACAGAGACGGAACACTAGATCCAGCCATCACTGGAGTGAGGATCTGGAGATGTGACTGCTTGTAAGAAGCAGTGTATGAGAAGGGTCCTAGACAGTGAGTGACACTAACCAAGCAAGAATGTGGAGCAGAGTCAAGTGCCTGAGGTGGGATGGGAGGAAGAGAGGAGCAATCAGCAGGAGGCAGAAAGAGCTGGTCCCAGGGCATGGAGAACCTTGCTTTCTATATCCTATGAAAGAGCTTAGAGTGCATGCTATTATGGTGGGTAGAGAGCTGCTGGGAAGCTTAGGCAAAGGAATCACAGTTAAAGTTGTCACCTGGGTAGATGATTCTAGTAATCCATTTAAACAGATGTGCTCCTATAGTTAGGAAGTCATTAGAGCAGCACCAAAAGAGGGTAATAAAGGTCCAATTTAGGATAGAAGCTGTAGGTTTGGAGGAGAGAAGATACGCTGAAAATATATTGGAAGTAGAAAACACGGTACTGGGCTATTCATTGTATATAGAAGGTAAGGGAGAGAATGAATCCAGGGTGCTCTGCTGGAGTGAAGAGCAATGCCAACAAACATGACAGGAATACAGAGTCATTGTCTTAACTGATTTGCTGCCACAGAACATCAGGGAAATTACAGAATATTGATGAAAAGCATGAGATTTTGAGTCAAACTGGCTGAGCTCAAGTTCCACCTCCATAGCCTATTTAGAACATAAGTTAACTTGGGCATGTTCCTCAATCCTTGTATGCCAATTTGCTCATCTATAAAAAGGAGGCGATAATGGTAGTGCCCATTTTGTGTATTTGCTATGATGATTAAGTAAGTAAATATGTTTGATATACTTAGAATAGTTTCTGGGAAACAGCAAGCAATAAATAACAACATATATATTTTCAACAATGTAAATGAGAAGCACTCAAAGTGAGAAGATATAAGTGGTACAAAACCCAATCCCCAGGGAACACCGACATTCAAGGACACAGAGAGGAAGTGGGGCACGAGGCAGATCAAGGAGAGAAGGAAGACAAGCTGAGAGGTATCAGAAAGTCCAAAGGAGAAAGGAGGAGAGCGTTCCAGGGAGGAGGAGTGAGCAAGTGTCACGTGCAGTTGCAAGATTAAGTAAAATACAAATAGTAAAGGATTTTAAAGGTAGGAGGTAGGTATACAGTAAAATATAACTTCTCACACTCTTTTTTCAGATGAGGCACTGTTGTATTTTAAAATTAAAAATTATGACTACTACTCTCTAAATTATTATCAGTTCCATTTCTCCAAACCAGTAAAAGGCAAGAGAGCAAATGTGAGTTGGGACAATTGGCTAACTCTTTATGGAAAATAAAACAACTAAACTGAATCCTAATCACTCTTCATATCAAATTAAACCTCAGATGTATAAAAGATTGATATATAAATATGAGGCAAAAATATATAACAATAAGTGCAGGAACATTTTTGCAATCTAGGAGTAAAAAGGCACTTTCTCTAAACATGACAAAATGTTCAGACACTGTAAAGACAATGATTTCAACTTCTCTATACAAAAAATCTTCATAAAGAAACTTAAAAAATACGCTAGAACTGGAAATAAATTCGTGCTAAGACTTGCGATCATATGCCTAAGATCTCTAATATGGGAAAAAATTAACAAATTCATAAGAAAAATCCAAATGTCAGTAGAAAAAATGGACAAAGAACATGAGTGAGCAATTCACAAAAATGAAAGACAAATAAATAATAAATCTGAAAATATTTCCAATGTAAATTGAATTAATAAAGCAATTCTATCCATTACCATCTAGATAGGCAAAGATTAGCAAGAGAAAACTATCTTCTAAAGTCAAGGCTATTAGAAAAAATAGTCACTAACATTCACTAGTATTAGATGTATATATTATTTAAACATTTTAGGGATCATTTATCAATGACAATTAAATTTAATTGCAAATATCAGTTAACCCATCTCACAAAATACCTGACCACTATGCTTTAGAAATGCCAAGGTAATGGGAAATTAGTAAGGAGTGAAAACTAGCTGCAGACCAGAAAATCAAAGGAATTGTGACAACTAAATACAATTTAGTAACCTGGATTGGATTCTGGAACAACAGCAACAAAATGCATTAATAGAAGAAACATTCTACTGAAATCCAGAGCTTCATTAATAGTAATGTACCAATACTGGTTTCTTAGTTTGGCAACTATGCATAGTTTATTATATTATCTTGCTAATATAAGATGTTGATATTAGAAGAAACTGGGTGAAGGGTGTATTATCTTTGCAACTTTTCTGTATATCTAAAATAGTCTCCAAATTAAACCTTTGTTTAAAAAATAAATTAACCACTAATTCCCTTTCTGAAAAATGTATCCAATAGAAATATTTTAACAAGTATGAAAATATATATACAAAAATACATACTATACAGTAATTGTAATTTGAAGAAATCCAAATATTGTAGAAAAGGGTATTAAATAATTAAGTGAGGCTGCAGCTATAAAATGGAACATTATGCATCCATTAGAAAAGATGTATACTAGAATTATAAATACTAGCAAGAAAGTTATCTATGGTGTTTTGTTAAAAGAAAAAAGCAAGTTAGTATACAGAGAGATTGGAAGATTGATAGATAGATAGATACTTATTAATAGATTAGATAATGACATAGTTTGGGTCTGTGTCCCGCCCAATTCTGTAGTGGAATTGCAATCCCCAGTGTTGAAGGTGGGGCCTAGTAGGAGGTGACTGGATCATGGGAGTGGAGTTCTCGCGAATGGGTTGGCTCCATCCCCTGTGTGCTAATAGTGAGTGCGTTATCATGAGATCTGGTCATTTAAATGTCTGTAGCCCCTCCTCGCTCTGTCTCTTGCTCTTGCTCTTGCTCCTGCTCCTGTCATGTAAGATGCCTGCTCCCGCTCTGCCTTCTGCCATGAGCAAAAGCTCCCTGAGGCCTCCCCAGAAGCAGATGCTGCTATGCTTCCTGTACAGCCTGTGGAACTGTGGGCAAATTAAACCTTTTTTTTAAATAAATTACTAGTCTCAGGTATTTCTTTATAACAGTGCAAGAGCTGACTAATACAGATAGATAGATAGATAGATAGATAGGTAGATAGATAGATATAAACTTATTTATCACTAAAACATATGCGCATATATGTATTACATATATGTATTATATGAAAAATCTGGAAACATACATAAAATTTTTTTAAGAGGTAGGAAAATGGATGACTTTCATTTTCCAAGGTTTTCAGTATCTATTATTTGAATTTTTTCCATTGAACAGTATCCTTTAGTTATCAGATTGTACAACCGTACATGTTTCTTTTTAAAATTGGTTTTGTAATGAAAAAAATAATGAACAATTAAAAATTGAAGCATGTTTGAGAATCCCAGTTTGGGCATTGGCTAGCTATATATGTTTGTGCATGTGGCTTAATTTTTCTGGCCCCAATAACAGGAGGAAGTGGGATTTGATTACTTCTTAAGATGTTTCCCATATGTAAAATTCTATTAGTCTATGGTTTTGAAGATTAGGTGATTCTTCCACTCTAACTGCAGAAATTTATGTATTTGCTCTCACAGTATCTTTGTGAGGGGGTTATAAATGTTATCTTTTAGCAGACAGAGCAGGAGGTATGGAATATAAACAGGATCTATTAACTCATCTACTCAAGGAAGTTCATGAAAGCAACTTGAGACTCTTATATTCAATTCATAATGTACATAGCAGGTTTGCTGGAAACACCTTAGGTTACTTGAAACATTTATCTTTTAAAAAATAATTTAACCAAATGACTGGACAACATCAGCCTGAGAGACTCCATATACTCTCAGTGGTTAATGGACATTTCCAAGGCATCATGATTCAAACTTTCTTTAAACTCTTTTATGCACTTTAATGAGTTGTTCCTAGTCAACATTGAGCACACTCATTACCAAGGAGAATTCAAACACGTTCTTTCCATTCCTAACAATTATATATTTTTCTAAAATCTATTCAGTTATTGTAGGCAGTGTAGGTTTATCAATTACCTCTCCAAGCTGTCCATTATCTATTTTGAGAGTATAATTTGTTTCCCGCATAGAATATGTGTTAGCAGCATGATGCGTTTTACATTTGTAATTAATTTTGAACTGACAAAGAAGGTAGGAAAAATTCTCCCATAAATAAAAGTAATGAATGCAAGTGTTTAAACAAAAGGTCCTAGTAATTTCCAGCGACTTAAAAAGAAAGAAAAAAACTCAATCTGCTCTATCTTTTAAACTAAAAATACCAAGATATCTTTTGTTCCTTCTTCATGACACATTGGAGATTTTGAAATTCTAATACTAAAAAGGATAGTAAATGACAGGTAGGCATACTACATTGATTCTGTGAATAAGAAACTCTTTACTTCTCAATAAAATTAATAATACCAGTTTAACTATACATGACTAATTGGCTAGTTTGCACAAAGTTTTATCAGAAAATCATTTTTGTAGACATAAATTCCTACCCATGATGAAACTAAATATTTTGCTACTCGTAGCACTTTAAAATGATAGAGAGCTTGAAATTAAATTACACTAAATGCCTTTATATTTATTCAGCATTAAACCTTATTTTCCTTACTGTCATTCTGCCAGCGTGATATCATCGGAGTTGAAGAGGGATGCTAATGCTATTTATATTACACTGCACTGTCCTCTAATTGACCTTGTTTGTGCAATGGAATGGCTGCTTTTCTCAAGCTGCCAGCCCTTTATTGCAGCATTTTGACCATGCACTAGTGGCTCTTTGTGCTGCTGCTGAGTTCAAGAATCAATACTGGATTCCCCACAGCCAATAAAGGCAGCTGACAGCATGAATTAACTGAGTGTGGCCAGTTGCATGGAGGGCCATTGTCTTTAAGGAAAATCTGGACGTGATTACCAGCCTCCATCTCTGAGTGAAGGTTTTAATGCAAAGTGCGAGGTTGCTGTAATTTAATTTTGGCCTGCTGCTCTGACACACTCCCCTTTGCCACTGCTTCATGGTATCCAAGCTATTAATGGCTGCAAACCAAAACACATATGGAGACAAAGGCAAATACTCACAGTCATACAATAGCAGCGGTTTCACCTGACTTGACCATTCTTTCCTGATAGTATTCTTATAGCAGATTCTGTTTCTTCAAGGCAGTCTTCCTGCTATAGGAATAAGTCATACCAATGTTAAAAATTAAATGTGCTATGACCTATACATAACTGAAGCTTTCTATGTGGCAGAGTTGAAAAATCTGCACAAAGAACTCATTGCCTTTGATTAGACTGTCAAAATTATGGAAAAATGCATTTACACTTCCTTATCTCCCACACTTTGCAAGATGATTTCCACCCCCTCTACTCCACGGAACATATTTTCCCCTGAAACAAAATCCAATTGATTCTATTCAGTCTTTATCTTCTCAATAGCATTTGATACTGAACACTTTCTTCTTCACAAAACATTCACATTTCTTGGGTTCTGGTTCCTGTGATCCTGTCTCCTCAGTGTTGGTGTTCCTTGCATTTTATCCTAGGCCTTCTTTTTGTCTCACTTTAATTTGCCCTCCTCCATGTAAAACCTCATTCTTTTTCTTACCTGCAATTATTATTATTATTATTTTTTTTTTTTTTGAGATGGAGTCTCGCTCTGTTACCCAGGCTGGAGTGCAGTGGCATGATCTCTGCTCACTGCAAACTCTGCCTCCTGGGTTCACGCCATTCTCCTGCCTCAGCCTCCCTGGTAGCTGGGATTACAGGAGCCCGCTACCACGCCTGGCTAATTTTTTTGTGTATTTTTAGTAGAGATGGGGTTTCACCGTGTTAGCCAGGATGGTCTCGATCTCCTGACCTCGTGATCCGCCCACCTCGGCCTCCCAAAGTGCTGGGATTACAGGTGTGAGCCACCGCGCCCGGCCCATACCTGCAATTATTTTTAATTGCCATATATTGACTCCCAAATCTTTATCTCCAGCTCAGATCCACTAATAAGTTTGGCTGTCCCATCAGTGTTTTGAGCTCCACATACCTCAAACTGAATGCATCATCTCCTGTTGTGTTTTCCACTTCAGTAAATTGCCATCTGTTGCATATGCAGGAACATGGACCTTACCTTTGAATCATCTCTTTTCTTTACTCTCCATACCCATCACTTATCAAGTCTTGTTAATCTAACTCCTTAGTCTCTCCGTTTATCCATCCACTAATCTCCATCATTTCTCCTGCCCTAACACTAGTCAGGAACTCCATGTCTTCTTGCCTTCAAGGCCTTCATAACCAGATCCCAGCTTTGGCCCTGCCTCCACCACTGAAATCTCCACCCTGAAACTAACCTTGTCTTTCTAAAAATAAAATCTATTCACTTTCCTTTTCTGCTTACAACATTTCAACTACTTCACACTATGACTTTACCTCTTCAGCTTTACATTTTACAGTGTTTTCTCTTTTCCTCCTTCCCGATGACATACATATTTGTTCTGCTGCCACTAACTGAGTGATAGTGATTTTAATACAAGGACATGGACCACAGCAGAGACTTAGTTTGTAACTGGAACAAAGGAAAGCACCTATCAGACACTTGACTGCAATCATGACGCTCTGTGAGGTGCAGCTACTGCCTAAGCTTCCACAAGTATGTTAGACAAAAGAAAAATCCACAGAATAACAAAGTGGGATTTATGTAAGCCTTTAAAAGGGGAAATGACATGTCATTTCTTTCTTTATCAAAAGACCTATATTTCTGAGAGAATTTTGGTATTGAAAACATCAGTTCTGTTTATAACAAGCAATGTTCTTCGTCGAAATTAATTCAAGCAGAGTTATTCAAGGGACAGTGTATTATATACAAACCATTTAACTTGAGCTTTAAAACGATTTTTCATGTCTGAGAATTATCAAGAAGATACCAGTTTGGATCAACACTTTCCATAAACTGGAACAAAACCTGTGGTTTTAAAGGCTCTTATCTTAAATGCAAGCAATCTGGGAGACTCTTAAAGGCACATTGTCTGATCTATTCCTATTCTCACATTTTGTTGCTACCATTAATTTTTTAGAAATATTTTATTATATTTTCATTGTTCCCAAAATGAACATCAGGGCCATAAAAACAAGAATTAAAATATATAATTATTACATTCCCACTTCTGGAAAGGCTGAAATGATGATAGTCATGCTACAGCTACCTCAGCTGATTCCTTGATGTGTAGACATAAGCCAAGACATAGGTGTGTTCAGCTTCAAATCATCATGTGGTGGTCCTCCTTGGATCCCTGAAGCAAAGATGTGTGTTGCTCTCCTATCTTTTCTCCCTACCAGTTCTCTCCTTTTTCATAGCTTCCCTGGCCAGAGAATCTTCAACGATTTATAGCTTGGCAGCTCATCATCATTTGAGTGGTCTGCTGAGAGTAAAAGAGAGAGGTAAAAAGGAAGCACACACAATTCCCTGTCCTTCTGCCTGCATCGCAAAGTCATAGCTTGGAGGAAGATTCTGAGGCTACCCCCATAGAGCTGAGGTTGCTGCTCATTATAATGTATGACGAGACGTTGAGCAGGGGTGGGAGGGCCACTTGGCAATGCACAGATACATTCACTTTGCCATCAGTAGACGAGGAAACCAGCCCAAGGAGGAATCACCAAGTACATATGCAACAAGCCACATCCTAAGCCCACCCTCGCCTATGCTGTTTGGAGCCTGGGGGTATTGAAGTGTGGCAACTAGCTCCTGACAACAGCACTGAGAAAAGAACATGGACATGAAGGAGACAAGGTCTTTCCCTCTCCATACTCAGAAAGACAGATTTGTGTGGCCATCCTCAAGACTTCAAAGTGATTAAACCAATTAAGTATCTTTGCCATTGATCTATCTTACCTAAAACAATTCTTCTGAGTAGCAAGATAATTTTTACCTAGTTTCCTTCATCAAAAGCGACATTCTCCAGATAAGATCTGCCTAAAAATATATTTCGTATGGTCAGCATATGTTCTACCTTCCTGAAATAACCCTACATTTTTAATAATTGTGGTGGCCTGGTGTCCCAGCCTACTAAAAGAGCAATAGCACCTCACTTCCTTAACACTACAGGTTTGGATGGGTCGTGGGAGAAGTGGTGAGCCATTCATCAAAGTCCTCACTATGGGCATGCCTTCAAGACTTGCTGTATACCCAAACCTGAAACTATGTCTCCCCGTTCTCTTTTTGGCAATATGCAAAAGTCCTGTTTCATTATTTGTTTATCTGTTCCCCACCCTTGTCCCCACCCTAAAAGTGATGTTTCTATTAGTACACCAATTTCACTGCTTTTTATCTTTCAGTCCAAGCCTCCGAGTCAATCATCTGGCCACAGCAAAAGACCAGGGAGCCTTCTGGATGTTCTTGATATATGAGAAGCCTACATGGCATCAGCTGGGAAAACTGCAGTCAACATTGGAATAATCAAAAGTGACCACATGCAATAATAGTCTGTGTGACAGTGAAGGGGGGACACCAGGAAGCAGGTGTTCTATATGACAGAGGATCAATACTCCTGTTGAGGAGATAAGATAGATTCCAAATGGAAAATAAACTCATGGAGAATACGAACAGGAAGACAAGAGAAGGGGAGGGAAAGTGAGACAAGCCTGCAGGAAACAACACAACAAAGGGAGTGTGGGGGAGTGTGCAAGGCCCACAGCTGACTGGCTGATGAAAACTGACTGCATGAGAGTGTGGGATAGGACAGTCAATACGAATTTGCTTCCATGACAAGGAAAGGGGACAATGCACACATTTAGAAGCTTGAGCTATACAAATTAGCTAGGATCTTCTACATTCTAATTTAACAGGCTTGCAGAAAAATTTCATCATTTGTAACGTGTTGACGGCCTCAAAAACTTGATTTTGTTTAGCAAGGCCTAGTTTTTAGTAAGAAAACAAGGACAACCCATATTTCATTTCTTTTGAAAATATATTTCAATGAAAAGGGAGATGGATAGAGGTAAACCTAATTTGCATTATTTAGTTCAAAAGAAAGGTTGCTTTGATGCCACTGTGTATATTTGCAGCGCTTCCTTTCTCCCTTGGGAGCTGGTGTGTATTAACATTCCATTCCTCTTTTTCATTATTGCTATCACATAAATTAAAACACACACACACACACACAGGATTATCTGATAAAGCCATAACAGCAACCTTCAATATGAGAACTTCCTCCAAAAATTCAATGCTACACATAAATAAAACTACACAGGCAAATGTTAAATAAAATTTCATTCCATTAAAAAAAGAGAAAACATTGGAATTTCCTTATTCTCTGTTTCTATTGTGGGTTGCGTGAATCTGTGTTTTCAAGGTGTCACACTATTCTGTAGTCAGGCCTGGGGATATTTCAGACCTCATGCAAACGATGAAACACTGTGTTATCTACAGCATCATCTTGACTCTGTCCTTTTATTCTTTATAAGTGAACGTCTCAATGCTTTGTTGTTCCTATGCCAGGGGAGTAGTGGAGCATTTCATTTTCCAACGGCTTGTGAAAACACAGGGGGAGGATTTTTCTCCCAACCCCTGAAAGCCTAGGTGGATATTAGAAGTCAAGGGCTGTGATCTTCCTAAAGAAACAGCTTTATAAACCTCTAGCTATTCCTGCAATGCAGCAGATGTGTGGGCTGCTGCCAAGCTCCAGCTCACTCTGGAAAATGCTGACATGAGGGCTGCAACTCTGCAAGGAACGAAGGAATGTTTACACAGAGCCCTCAGGGTCGATCAGATGTTCTCCTTGGAGCGCCCTTCCAGCGTATATCTTCCTCCCTGCACCTCCACGTTGCTTACATGCTCTCGCTTTCCTGATCTTGCTTTCTCTGCCTTGATTATGAACTCCATGAGGGCAGGTCTGTGTGTGCCTCTCACAGTGATCACAGAGCTGGGCACAAAGACGGAACTCTACAACTATTTGCTGGGTGAATAAATGGAATAAATAACCTTGAAGAAGCCTCTTAAAGGAAAATCACTTCCTGAATGTGCCAGGTAGCCCTGTGTCCCTAAAGGAGGACATAAAATTGAGAACGGCCACTTTCCCATCTGCCTAGAATGGAAGAAAAGTCAGTGTGCTCATGTTCCCCTGATGCCGGGCTCCTTCATGGCTTCCTGCGAACCATTTGGAGCACTCAGCCTGTGTTTCTCAACATAGATCTCAGTTGCATGCTGCCCTGTGCTGGTCTTTGTTTCCTGACCAGAATTCCTTTGCTGCTAAGGATAAATCTTAGCAGTCGTGTGAGCAGCTTGTACATCTCTCATCCTAACCAGTGAGTGCAATGCTGCTTACCAAGCTGAAATCACAGTTGAGCTTTTTCCTCTTGACCCTGTTATTTTAATATTTGGTGTGTAATCAAAAGTACAGACGATACCTGGATTATTACAGCTCCCCTCACTCCAGGCCTGATATAAATGGCTTGGGGAGACTGTGTGCCCCTCCTACTATTCCCTTCCTCCTGCTTCCCCAGTGACCGCCTGCCCAGCTGAAAATGTGACAATGCTTGATTCATGGCTGAGTCGTTCTAACGAATAGGGCTTTTGCTGTGGTCTGCACATCTGCTGTATCCTAAGAAGAGCCCATGTTTTATCAAGTCTTTCCCTTAGGAAGATCACAAACCACTTTATGCACAATCATCTCTTCATTCAGCCCTGTCACTTGGGAAGTGAAGACCACAGGGAGCCTTAGATGAAGAGGCTGTAATAACTAACTAAAAATCTGGCTGGTACATTGAGGGTTACTCCGTCCTCCAACAGAACATGCCATATGCTCCTCTGTAAGCACAAGCGACTGAATCCTTGAATTTATTCTTTATCTGAAAGATAGTTAAAATGAGTTGTCAAACACTTTTGGTTCAGTATCATAGTCAAGACTCCTTTTCTTTTTTTCAAATGCCGTTTGGGTAATTAGGACATTCTTAAGTATCTTTAATCTACTTATCTATTGAATAATTTTCAAATTTAACTGTCAGAGCCAATCAAGGAAGATATCCAATATAGAAATGCCTTCAATCATTAAACTATGCATTTAATCCCCAGAGCATTTTAGATAAACGTTTTTGTGTGGGGCAGGTGAACAATGATGACAGTTCTCCCTACGTGAACAAACATGTGAACATGTACGCACATACACTGATGTGCACACATGTGCATGCACACAAAAATACTTCTAACTTTCTGAAAATTGCTGCAAACTGTTATTTTATGTCACAGGCTACAGTGTATGTAAACTGAGAATAACATTCTTTGTGGTTTAATAATGAATTAAATGAAAAGAATCAGTTTTCTTTTTGCCCAAACTCCAGCCTCTGTTTGTTCATCCAGTGTGGGTTTGCAGTGACCCCTGCTTCCCAAAGTCTTAATTATGTAATCTCATTCTCTGTGAACCACCTGTGAGGACCTCACCATGGGGACGCTAAGACTTTGTGGGAAGTGTCAAGCGTGTTTAAAAAGGAAAATTATTTTTCACTCCTTTAAGGCTATCAAAGATAGAAAAGGAGTGCTTTCCTGTGTTTTAATGTATGATCCTGGAGATAATTCACTTAGCCAAATAAGGAAGCTTTTCTGATTTGACTTCTGTGTGTGCTTGTTGTTCACTTGAACCCAACCACCTGCTGTCATATACAAATTAGTTACATGGGATTTTTTGTTCTGTTCCTTAATTCATCAAATCCCATCATGATTCCTGAAAAAATAAATATTCTAAGAAAAAATTTGGAAAATGTCTGCTTACCTCTCTTTTATTGAATAGAGAACAACAAAAGACTTGGCATGAACAAGGGACTTGCAAATGAAAATGTGGCTTTATAATAAGTTATTCACAATCTGGGTAACAAAGTGCACCCCAGATGAAATTTATTGTTTAGAAAAGTGGATATTTTAATTGATGCTTTGAACTCAAATTACATAAGCATTTCCAGGCACTTTATCTAGACACCTGGAAAGGCTTTTGGAGTCCATAAAATTTATTTTCCTTCACTTCTAAACATCATTTATTTTTCTCATCTATACCTTTAAAGAGAAAAGGAAACAAATAAACAAAAATAAAAATTACTAAAGGACGAACGTAACAAATGAGTCCCTGAACAGGAATGACTATGGAAAGCAAACTTTCACAGTTACTTACTTTCTTTTCTTGTGTGAAAAACAAAAACAAGTTGAAGACATTTTCACTTGAATGCTACAAAATGACTTGTATTCTCAAAATTATCAGAATGATTTTGTGTTCTCAGAAGTATCAAACAATTCATAGAAAAATTAGAACTACTAACCTGCTGGTAATGATTATCTTAAAGAGTGAAAAAGAGACAACTGAGGAGAAAACTGTTCTGATTAAAAATGTCAGCGTCGAAGAACCAGGAGACCAAAATGGCCCGTATGTCTTACAGCCAGATTTTTTAAATAATAATTTAGCAACCTTGATCTCTAGAGTTTTGCCTTTTTATTCTAAATGCATTGTATGTATTTTCATTGAATCTTCCTTTTTCGTAAGGTTTAAATTAAATTTTCTTATATAAAGCTACCGAACTGTACAAATGACATTTGTTTGGTTAACGTCTCTCACAGGCAGGGACTCTGTGACCTCTGCATATTTCTGTCAGGTATCATTTAGGTTACAGTTAAATTTGGATTAGGATCAAGGAGAGACTCGATTTCACTGTGACGATGAGTCCCATTTGCAGATAATTAGTGTGAACTAATTTTTTTATAGGTATGGGATGCCATGATAAGAAGGGGAGAAAGAACCACAGAAGTGACTACACAGAGCAGATTTTATTTCTAAAATAAAATAAAGTACATTTTCAATAATTCTCTGTCATACTCACCTATTTGACATTTATTTATTTCATTATTTACCATATTGTATGTTTTCAGTTACCCATATTAAACCAATTTAGATTATTGTTGGAGAAAACTGGGTTGATAATTTAGATTACCACAATTATTATTTCCCAAATATAATATATTCAATTAGTAGCTAATATAGACAGTTATAGTAAGATTATAGTTATAATCTCTACTTATTAGGAATGTATTTAGCTGCAAGTAACAAAGCATTCAACTACATTCAACTATAATATTTTAACGAAATAGTTTTGTTCCACACAAAAATACAGAAGTCAAAAGATAGGCCTTTTTTGTGTGTGTCTTCAGCAGCTCCGTGGTGCCAGGCCCAACATCTCTGTTCATCAACTTACAGTCACAAAACAGCTGCACAGCTCCAGGTACTACATCTGCATTTAAAACAGGAAAAGAGGTGGAAAGTGATAGCCAGACATACCTGGGTGTTTTAATCAGAAAGAGAAAAGCTTTTCTGGAAACAATGTTAGCAGACTCCTTAAATTCCATTGGCAGTCCTTATGCCATAAAGACTGAGAAGGCAAAGAAAACAATTATCACCACTGGCTTTGACAATTGTGATCCAAATCAGATCCAGGGTGGCAAAGTACATTATCACTTTGAACAAATGTGAGGCTCTGTTAGAAAAGAAGAAGGGAGAAAGGATGTTGAGCAAGCAATAAAATTGCCTGTCCTACATTCATAAATAGAAATCAATGATTCACTCACTCATTGCCAAAATCTGCAACCTGGCATGCAGGCTCCAATCTTCAAATTCAAAGTACTTATCACACTGACAAGTCAAGCACATCATCTTGGCATGGAAAGAAGAGTGCTTCCTACCGATTTCCATGGGGTCCTTAATATTTATCATAAGAACTGAGACTACATGACAGCAAAACTTAACCGATGTAAAGTTTTCTTATTGTTCTGCCATCATTTGTAAAGAGCAATAAGGTGTAAAACAACAAGGTGCAGATTATTTGCTTTGCCGTATAGTGCCCAGGTCATTGTCAATGGCTGTTAATCGAGTTGACAGTACTTAATGGGAAATTCATAGACACTGCATAAGACAAATCTGGGCTTGCATCTAATTTCTTCTCTTCCTTTCTACCTGATTGTTGGTAGGTTACTCATCCTCTTTCTTCCTCATTTTTCTTGCCTGTGCATGAGCATAATCATCCCTAACTTGTACCAAAGCCTTGAGGATGGAATGGATAAGGTAGATGAGCATTCAGGATGCATCCTGGTGTACGCTTCTGTTTCTCTCCCTCAAAATGGAACTTACCATGTGAGCCAACCAAGAACTAAGGAGAACTCCTGTCTCTCATGGGATTTCAGTGCTGGTTTTCAATCTTTTCTGTAAGCATACAGATAAATCCCTTCATTTCCAATGTTACAAAAACACTTTTCTTTTACTGAGATAAAGAATTGATTGAGACCCTTCCAAGTTTAAATCCATAGTCCTCAAAAGTAGAAAACAGCCTTGACAATTCTTATAATTTAGAGTTTGGAAGTTTATAAAAACATATATCTCAGTCGCCAGAGATGAAGGAGGGGAAGTGAGTTACTGTAAAGGAGAAGGTGAGCAGGTTCTTAAATTGCAGTCATCTTTCCAGGCTGTGTAAGATCCTTCTGTTCTGACATTTTCAGCCCTCATTAAAGCCGCCAATCTCTCCCTTCTCTCATCTCTTTCTTTCTCTGAGCTTATTTTATATCCAATCTAACTTATCAGTTTTTAAATGCTTTTATATATGTTATTTGCTTTCTCCGCTTCAAAAATGGGTACTAACAACACCTTTTTCAGTGGAATTCTGTGGAGCAGAGAGGGGAATAAATGAGATAATGCTGGTAAAAGTGCCTAGCACAGTGCTGGACTCATTTTCAGTCCTTCATAAGTATGTGTGTGTGCGTGCGTGTGTGTGTGTGTGTGTGTGTTTGCTGACTACTTACTCATCAGAACTTTTCAGAGTAATTTTCATCATTCTTTGAATAGTTTTTGGGTTGCTATAAATTTCCAACTTTTTCCATTTTATTCATTATAGTCTTTCAGAAATCTTCCCGAGGGATATAAGGTACCAACAGATGCTCTGCCTACACTGAATAAACATTTCTAAACCATTACATTTATTTTTAAAATCTTTTTTTATCTATCTGTAAAATTTTGTCTACAACAAAGACTGCTAAAGTTAAATCAATGGGGAATAGACTTGATGTGACTTTTGTCTGGAAATACCTCCTAAAAACAGCAAAATCCACTTCTCTACAGGAAAGTTGTGATGAAAAGACTTGCAGGGCAGAACTGATTCTCATATTAAAAAACTAACACCCTGCATGCACCAGTAATTCCTTCCCAAACATTCATTTTATGATGGGTAGACACAGTCTTAATGGCAAGTTAAAACTGTATTTGAGGGATTGTTTTTGAAAATTGGAGGCACATTAGGCATGAATCTCATTTATGTAGAACTAGAAAGAAGAGCTATGCTACTTACAAAGCATTAGAACAAAATGCGTATCATAAATAAAATAAAAAGTCAGACTTAGGGTTTTATGGCTAAATTGATTATGCTGATTTGGGTACCTTTTCTTTCCTGTTCTGAAAAATATTTAAGTAATAAAGTTTTAATTGCTATGTGTACCAATTAAGAGTTCTAGGCAAAATCTTTCCAAGCAAATAATAAATGATTCAAAGCTATAAATAAAATGAAAATAGGCTAAAATAGCAATGATAGACTGTACATACAAATGAGCACACTGGGGGCTTCCCTGAAGAAGAAAAGAAAAACCCCCCTTTTTTTTACCATCATCACTTTTTAATGCAGCGAGGGAAAAGGCAGCGTTAGCAAACAAAAATTGCTTTTCACTTTGCCAACAAGATAAATAGAATGAAATTTCAATGAAAATGACTGGAAAAATGCATGATTGATGCTAAATTTGCAAAAATTCCAAAGATATGGGTACAGTTTGTCATAAAAATGATGTCAAAATCTTTTTGTTTTGTCAGAAAAATTATGCAAAGAAAAAAAATTGCCAATTTTCCTCCTCCAGCTCTAGTCCTTGCCTATTCTAGAATCTGTTTGCTTTTTGAAGAAAAGAGACAGGAATATTTTTACTTTCAAATCTTTTATTTTACTAATCACTAAGAACATGTAGCAGATATGTTTCTGTGGGAGCTTTCATGAAGATAATGGGCCTGCAGCTGTCCCTCACCGCATCAGGGGTACACCAAGGGGAAAACTGCACATGAAAGCCCTTTGCAAACTTCAAAATGGCCCCAGAATGTTCGTTATCCTTATTAGCTCAGCGTTGAGTTAGATACATTCAAATACTGTTTGTGGGATGGAAAATTGGATTCTAAACTCTGAATCAAAGGGAAATTAGATATCCTCAGAAGTGAGGATGAAAGATAAGAAAAACAAACATGATTTGACTAAGATTTGTAGATTAGGTCTATACTCAGTCCTTATCTGTTATAACAACAGTAACTAACTATTTTTTTAATAAATCAAAAGACCATAGACTGTAGTATGCCTGAAACTTCTCTAAATGCCCAGCCCTTAAAATGTAGAAAATCTAGCATAGGAAGTCTATAAATACATTTTCAATAAATGAATGACTGTCTACTAACGAAACAGGCGTAAGACTGGATTCTTTACTTGCAGTATCTTATTTAATCCTTACTTTAAGATATAAAATAAGCTTGATGCTCAATTTTTTATTTAAAAAAACCTGAAACTTGAAAAGGTGCTGGATAATGTGCCAGGCACTGTTCTAATTATTTCACATAATTGTATCATTTAACTTTCACTGCAATTCCATGGGGTAAACTCTAATATTCTCATTAAATGACAAGAAAACTGACACAGAAAGAAGTAAAACTACTTGCCCAACAAAGAGGCTCACTAAACAAGATTTTAATCCCAGCAGTCTGCCCTTAGAGACCTTACCCCTAACATTAATACTATGCTGCTTGCCCTGTTGCACACACAGCAAGAATGTGGTAGAAACAGGATGCTGTGTTATATACAACCTTGCTTGACTCCAAAGCATGATTTCTTTCCATCCCATCTCCAGAAGAGCACTTCAAAAAATTCCTCAAAAAGAATGTTGGAGCAAAAGAAAGTTGCAGGATTGGGAGATCTCTGTAGAAAAAAAACTGAAGTTCATAAGCTCAGGGGTCAGTTTTATTAAAGGTGCCAGGGAGCCAAACAGGCAAACAGGGTTGACATGAAGGAAGTTTACCAGGCCCAGAAGAGGGTCTTCATTCCATTATTTAGGAGCAGATGACATTGAACTCATTAATGCAATTGGTCCTTAAGAGAAAATCAAGTATAAGGGCAAAACAAATGTTTTACAACCCAATTTCTATACCAATGTAAGCTAGATATATGAAGCTAGAAAGATGTCACTGTTAGAGAAGGCAGTGTGGTTTAATTCTGGTATAGGAACTATTAGCTATATTTGAAAATCATATATAGCATGTCTTGTTTGGCAGGAAAGAGCATGTGATGTTCAGTTTTGTTTAACTTAAAGGCCCTTCTGGAAATCAACTATAATCTTCAGTTGGGCCATAGTGTTGCCTTCTGTTAAAAAATTAAATAAATACAGCTTGCACTAGAGCAAAGGTCATTAAAAATTCAATCATTTTGTTTTCAAATTAGACATAAAGTTCTTCTTTGAAGAATCAAAAAATCATAACAATGATTTTTTCATAACAATGAAAGGGACTTCAGAGACACAATTAACTCAACCCAGTGTCTTTAAACCCTATTTCCTCTAAACTTCTTTGAACTAGTTCCACTGAAAACTCCTTCAGTCAACTAGTCCATTGCATATTCATTGTAACAATAATATTTGTGAATAATACTATGTGCCAGGTACAGCATTACTTGAAATGAAAATAAGAGGAGTACAAAACCACATGTATACTTTTTACATGATTCACATATCCTTAAAATTTTACCCAAATGCTTCATTTTCTGTGTGACAGATAGATGGATATAGATAGATAGATAGATAGACAGATAGATAGATAGATAGATAGATAGATAGATAGATAGATAGATGATAGATAGATAGATGACAGTAGGTAAGTAGGTAGATAGGTAGGTAGGTAGGTAGGTAGGTAGGTAGGTAGCTGGATTTCCACCACCTTTCTTTGTCTGTTATGACATTGACAAACTTGAAGAAAATCATCTCTTTTTTTCCCCATTGAGACATTCTTCATTTTGGGTTTGCCTGATGTTTCCTCACGAATAACTTCAGTTACATAATGATACATAAGTGATGTTGTGTCCTTCTCAAGTGTTCATACCTGGAGGCCCATGAAGTCACATTACCTTCATTGGTGATATAATTTTGTATCACACAGTCAAGATTTGTACTATTTCACCACTATATAATTACTATTAGGTAAAAACTATGTTGAATAGAATTACAAAGAAGTATGTAATTTATATGGCTATATTATAAAAACTATGTGCAAAGTCTATAATTATATATAACTATCATATTCTATATATACCAACCACATAGTTACTATTATATCAGTACTACTTTTTATCTTACAACTATAAGAAATCTGTGGGGACACACTTTAATGCCATGCAAATATCTTGCTCTTCATCAAAATTTCTCTCTGGATTGATGTTTCTTTTTGAATCTAATCCTTAGTATGAGGTTGCAAAATGTTGATTTTCTAATTGCAGTACTTTCTCCATATTTACCAGCAGGCACTTGGGATTCTACTGTAGGCAAGAGATCTCCCTTTTTTCCCACTTATTTATTTATCTCTATTTTTGGCAAGGATTCACAAATTTTTATTTTTTCAATAATTTATTACTCTATCTAATTGTCTTGGTGCTCAGATTGTCTTAGATGTGGCCAGTGGGAACCCCTTCAAGCTGTTTCTGTGTCTGTGTCTGTGTAATATGTCTCATGTCTCATTCTTTTTTTTTTTTTTTTTAGCATTTTCTCACTTTCTGGAACAACAAGGTATTCCCAGCTCACCTTGTGTCTACACTGCTTCAGCCACGGAATCAGCATTTTGTTGAGGAGTCCTAATTCCTTTCTGTAGGGAATAGTATTAGAGAACAGGATCTAGTTGCGAGTATGATAAACTTTATTTTCAGTCGTTTATCATTCCTTAATGTAGAATTAAAAAAAAAATAGAGCTGTCAGGAGTCTTCCACCAATTAGACCATGAACTCTTTCCCATGTGTGTGGGATTTTAGTGAGACCTTGAAGAAGCTATAGGAGGGTAAAGGAAGAGGAAGTAATGGAGATGAGAAAATAATAAAGAGCTCTCTGAATCCCATTCCTGACTTTTTCAGGAAAAATCTCACCTCTAAACATCAAGAAGTCACTTTATAAGTCCTAAGCTAAATGTTTTATGAAGAAATTTCATCCCAGTTTGCTTTCATTCTATAATTTTTATTATCATTTCTTAATGTTTACTCAGTGAAAACTAGTTCTATAAGATCCACTTTATAAAAATAAAAAAAAGCATTATGGTCAAATAAGTTTTGGCAATGATGCTTACCAAAATCCCCTACATAAATTCACAGTACACATTAGCGAGTTTTAAAGGCACTGATAAATCCTGCATTAGAGACACAAGTGGTTAACTTTAATCCAATATTTCCACTCTTACTTGAATCTCCCTAATAACATCTGTCATCATCCTTCAGAGCATTATTTGGAAATGCTAATTTGGATATTTGAAGGTAGTAGTAAGTTGCCTTTAAGGTAATTCTTTTCCATCATTTAATCTTACACAACCCTCAGAGCATCTCTCTATTATAGCTTTTAGTAAATTGTTTTGTAACCAGTTATTTGCTTATCAAACAGTTGTATTTGGCAGAAACATCCTAAAAAACAGAAATTTGTTATTTGCCTTTTTGTTTTTTTTAGAAGAGTCTCACTCCGTCACCCAGGCAGGAGTGCAGTGGTGCAATCTTGGCTCACCACAGTCTCAACCTCCCAGGCTCAGGTGATCCTCCCTCCTCAGCCTCTAAGTAGCTGGAACTACAGGTGTGCACCACTATGCCTGGCTACATTTTTTGTATTTTTTTGTTGAGGCAGGGTTTTGCCATCTTTCCCAGGCTTGTCTCAAACCCTGAGCTCAAACAATCCATCCTCCTTGGCCTCCCAAAGTGCTGGGATTACAGGAGTGAGCCACCACGCCCAGCCTTATTTGCCATTTCTGCTACAGTATTTGGTATTTAGCAGGCATTCAAAAAATGTGGTTAAATTAAAATATTACATGTCCTAAAAGATAACAAATTCTTTTGAAATTTTACCCTAGTTCAGGGGTTGCTCTTCCCCTACCTCTATCCTCCTGGAACAACCACAGTTACTCTCCTTCATCCTTAAAGAATAGATGCCCATTTTGGAAAGCAAAGCAAAATAAAAAATTTAGTATTGAGAGTTGATCTGGCCACTTGGAACAATGACATTTTAAGTGATAGGCATGGCCTCCACCTCCATGTGGCCCATGACTACATCGAACCCAATGTACAGAGCAATTTGTTCATCACTCCCTGTGTCCTTCCATGCCCTTCTAGATGCTGCAGTTTCAGTGGTAAATAAGAGAGACAGGATTCCTTCTCTCATGGAGCTAACATTCTAGTGGGTGAAAACAAAAAGGAAATGAGTAAAGAAACAAACCAGAAAAACCTACAGAGCCCTAAGCACTTTGAAGACAATAAAACAACCTAATAAGCTAATGAGTAGAGTAAGTGGGGCTAAAGCTTCGAGGATGAGAAGAAGCCAACATTTTGAAAATCTGGGAGCTGAGAATCTCAAGAAAAGAGGCCGGTAAGTTCAAAGGCCCTGAGGCAGGAAGTGAGTGGAGAGAAGAGCGCCATAAGTGGCCAATGAATCACAGGCATCATATGATATTCCATCACTGTGCTGCGGGGAGAGGCTATTCTTAGCAGCAACCTGTGAGAGAGGCATGGGATGAGAGAGTAAATGATAAAGATCTAAGAGCTATGAACAGCCGTAAATAAATTCGGCAAGGTTTTAAAGGCACGTGATGGGTGATAATGTAGAGGACCTAAGCGAGCGATGCAGTGGGAAAACTGCCACTGCCTCAGCTGCTCGAGGCTCTAAATCTCCTTGCGCCTCTCCTTTCACTTTTCTCTTTGTGTCTGTGTCTCCTATGAATGCCCTTCCTTCTGGGTTTGCCTCCTCCAACCCACCAGCTGGCCGGGTCTCTCTTTTCTATTTTTGTTCTCTCTTCTCTCTTTGCCTTTGCTTATTTTTTCTGTGGGTCTCAGCTTCCCTGATAACTTGGCTTTTTCACTCATGTTAATTTATTTGACAAATCTTCACTAAATCACTTCTATAGACAGTCACTCTTCTGAGTACCTGAAGAAGATGCTAAGATGAATTAGCTTTAGTGGGCCCTGCCTTCAAGGAACTTGTTGGTTTCTATGAGAGACAGATTAGCACGATTGCAATGCAGTCTGTGCTATATAGAGGCATATATTCACTGTTGGCTTCTTACCACCATAGCTCTCTCTCTCTTTGCCTTAAGCAATCGTAATATAGCAAGAGTCACTTGATAGTCCTGCTTTTAGCTCTCTGCCCTGAAATCTATTTTACATACTGTCTTAAAATCAATCTCCCTGAAACACTGCTGTTGTAATTTTCTAAGTCAAAGTATGCCTCCAAAAATAAAAAGTAAAGGCAATGTGGGATCCTGGATAAGATCCTGGAACAGAAAAAGAGTATATCAGTAAAAAGAAAGGAAAAGAAAAGAAAAGAAAGAAAGAAAGAAAGGAAAGAGAGAGAGAAAGGAAAGAAAAGAAAGAAAAAAGAAAGAAAGAAAGAGAAAGAAAGAAAGAAGAAAGAAAGAAAGAAAGAAAGAAAGAAGGAAAGAAAGAAAAGAAAGAAAGAGAGAGAAAGAAAATGTGAAAATCAAAGTGGTCTGAAGATTAGTGAATGATATTGAACCAATGTTCACTTCCTAGCCTTCATTGATTGTCCTATGATTTCATAACATGTTAACATAAGGAGAAGCAAGGTCAGAAGTATGCAAGAACAGTCTGCATAATTTTTGCAACTTTTCCATATATCTAATATTTATTGAAAATATTAAATATTAGTTAACATTGGATTTTAAAATAAGAAAGAACACCTATCATTTTAAAATGTTCAGGGACAGAAGAAAACATATTGTTTCTAGGGGCATTATTCTTATAGCAGAAAACATAAAAGAACTCAAAGGTCAAACAAAAATGTCAACCAAAAAAGTATTCATACAATAGAATTCAGTGCAGCAGTGAAAATGAGTGGCCTGCACTTTCACCCATCAACGCAGATGGATCTCATCGATGAGCTTAGAGCCAAAGAAGCAAACCAGGGAAATGCATATGGTGTGAGCTCCTTTATCTTAAGTCCAAGACCAGGCAAAACTACATAAAATACCATGTAGAGACATGTCCATGAGTGGTAGAAATATGAGGAAAAGCCCAGGGTAATGACCACAGAAGTCAGTCTGGGCTACCTCTGGTGAAGAAAAGTGGACACACAAAACAGAAGGAGCTCTAAGATTCAGGCCATCCTCTTGACCTGGTGGTGCACATATGTGTATCTGTTCATTATCATTCTTCCTTGTATATATGTATTTTATTATCCTTCTGAATTCGTATTGTGCCTAATGGTATAAAGTAAATACATAAATCATGTATCATTCAAATATAAACGCATGCTCCAATACTAGCAAGCTGTGTGACTCTGAGCAAGTTACTTTTCTTGCTTATTTCTCACTGATTGTCATGAAGATTAAATAAAATAATGTGTAAAAACACTTAGTAATGCTTGGTCCATAGTGAACACTCAATAAATGCTAGTGTTAAATTTTTTTTCTTTTGATAATAATAATAATAATAAAGAAATAAGAAAGGGTCTTCTCAAGCCATAGTAAACCATTTTTTAAAACTTATTCTTACTATTATTGTTATTATGGTGTTGAAGTAATAATGGCTAACATTTATTGAGCCAACACTATGTTTCAGCAGCTGTGCTAATTCTAAAGGGGCCCAGGAATTTGGATATTTAATTATTTAGGTGATTCCACTACAGGTGGTCAGTGGATCACATTTAGAGAAACAGGTCTCTAAAACAGCATTGTCCCCCAGATACAGGATACAAGTGTTTTTAAATGTAGGGTTTTTTATTATTCAAGTATGGTAAAGCCAACAGATCAGAAGACAACTGCCATTGAAAAGACAACTTGTCATACTCACAGATCCCACGAGGAGAGGCCACACAGGGAAGAGTGAGGCACTCAGGAGGCAGAGGGAGCGACGGGAAAGTGTGAGCAAGAACCTTTACTGTGGTTTCTGCAGGAAGGAACAGTGAGGCAGAGTAAGAGGCTTTGGACTGGCTACTCTGAATAATTATAGCAGGTTCTGGGGCACAGGGACTGTCACCAGCTTCCTAGTACCTGCCCCTGGGATGATTAGGACAGAAGGATAGAGGCCCAGAGTGTAAGAGCCCAATAAAGAGATGGCTGTGGCTATAGTAGATTGATTGCTATGCACATGAAAGGTGTCTTGGAAGTGAGTCCTTTACTATCTCTAGGAATTTGCTAGTCCCAGGAGGGGCAGGCCCCTCAAGGTCAGTGTGGCCCCAGGATGAAAAAGCATCAAACACAGAAACTAGAAAATATGGTTATTAAAGCCAGTCATTGATGTAATTTTTAATTTTCTAGGAGCCATTGTATTAAAGTGAAAAATAATTTTAATGAACTGTTTTAAGACCATATATGCAAGATATTATCCTTTCAACATGTAATTGATATTAAAATTATTGAGATATTTTCTGTTTAAAAAATACTTTTTAACACTACACCTTTGAAATCCAGTGTGTATTTTACCCTTAAAGCACATGTCAATTTGGACTAGATGTGTGTGGCTAGTGCTACTGTTTTGGGACAGTGTAGAACTAGAGAGCCATGGAAAAATTCATTGGGGTTGATGGAGACTTAAGAGAAATCTGAGCATCTGTTTGGTGGTGGCAGCCATGTGGCTCATTAAAGTAATCTCTGTCCTCTCACCTTCTGACCTCTCCCCAGCATATCATCAGCACTGCTCTTGTCTTTTCCTAGGCCCCTCCCCCTTCCCCTCCCCTCATTACCATGTCCCCATTTCCCTGTCATCTCCTCAGTCCCTGTGTCTCCCTGTTGTCGTCTTTCCTGGGTTAGACAAAGGAAAGATGTTACTATGGCTTTTCTCCAGTTGCTATCATAGAAATCACTATTGCTTGGGAAGGGGCTGCAGACTGACCTTGGTTGAGAGAGGGGTGCTGCAGGAACTTCCTGGACTGGCTTAAGGTGACAAAAAACAAAAGTAAAAATATGTAATCATGAGTCCTTGTATCTAGTGATGTAAGCACAGGCAATACCCACCCAACAATAGAGCTTCTTGGTGATGTGGATATAAAGAAGGAAAACAGATTTGTTTTTGTTGTTGGTATTGCAATATATACATCAGATAAATAAAGGATCACAATGTCAATTTATATTATATTAAAGGGAAAAACAAAAAAAATAAGTAGCTCGCTAGTCTGAAGAAATAATAACTTCAAATAATGGGATCATGTCTGCTCTTTGTTTTAATGTGATACGTTTTTGCCTCCAAACATTTGCAAGTTTTACCAGCTCTCTTGGTGAGATTTAAGACAATTCAAGCAGTTTTAATGCCCAAATCAACAATGCCCAAGCCAGATGCCACATGACAAGCTAAGTTCCCCATATAGTGTTCCCTTGGTTCCAAGCTCGCTCGTCCTTGATCTCTATTTTTAAGGTGTAAATCTGGCACACAGAAAAGTGAGAAATATGTAGCTTTGTCCTGAGCCAGGAATCCTGTGAATATATCCCAGGCCAGAGAATCCACAGAGCTCAGCACAGACCCTGTGACCTGAGAGATGCTCCTGTCTTCACTGTGTTTCCTATAAATAGTTGTTGACTACTGAACTTCACAGAAAATGCTAGCAACAGCAACATTTTCCAGGACTAAGAATTTAGGCCTACCTCTTAAAGTCTTATAAAAGATTAATAAAAATCTGGCAACGTATGGTAATTGACAATGTAACTTGGGTAGCAGGTGGAAAAAAAAAATCTGGTTTCCATTCTTATTTTCAGTCAAGTTACCCCTCATGAATACCTCTTGTAAAATTCCCTGAAAGGACAGGATGAACTTGAACTTTAAATGATCTTGAGAATAATGCATTGCTTTTCTTGTAAAGTTTGGCTTAAACACACACATTGGCTGTGTTAAAATGGAAAGCAAAAAATATGGCTGAGTTCTCTTTCTCAATTACTCAAGTGACAGAGAACAGGATTCTTCAAAAGATTTCTCAGAAATGGTCCACCTTCATAATTTCAAGTGAAATTGCTAGCCTATCTTCAGAACACAAGTTTGCACTAGCAGAATATCTCCCTGATAAAAGGACACAACCCAGTACTAGGTAATCATTAGGGAGACATTATTATTATTTTGCTAATTAGTAAAAAATCATTGGATTTCCCGTGGCTTCTTCCTGCTGAGCAATCATTTGATCTTTCTTATGTTGACAAACATGCACGTCACGAATTCTGCCTCATTTATCATTTGACAGGGACAGTGTTTGCTTCTTCGTGTGTGAAGAAAGGAAAATTTAGGGAGAGCAAACAGGCAACAGGAATCAAGCAATAACTCAAACTCATTTTCCTTCTTAAAAATAAATAAATAGAGAGCTAGGTAAATGAATGAAATTGGTGCAATACCTTATTTTTTTAAACAAACTGACTTTTATGTGCTTTGGCCAATGCTAACATAGATGTCACATTGTTTAAGAAAAAAATAAATCAGAAAGTGAGGAATTTTTGTGTCTTTAATATCGAAACAGAAAGCATTTGATAACCTAACAAAAGCCTAAAAAATCTGATTAAATAGTCAAAATTTTTGGATGTTCTTCTTTCTGTTTGAATTAATAATATTGAACATGCATTTGGCTAGAAAAAAGATAAAAAGGACCTTCTCCTTGCTTCTCCTTGGTTAAAATATAAGAAAAATGTTACATTCTGTGTAAAACAGACTTTCAAATTCAGTGTGACGATCATTTGAAATTCCAATCAGGCTGCTTAGATTCTGTTGCTAAAAAAAAAAAAAAAAAAAAAAATCAGTAACTAAAATAAGGTGTCTAATAACTACTTTGGGAAAGATACATTAGCTTCCATTGCTTCTGTAGAAGAATACATCAGATGGATTTGGCAAAGTTTTGTGGTTTGGGCAGCCCTGGCTAGTTAAGAGGAGCAAATGCTTGGTTGACTGGTTATGGAGAAATCATCATTATGATAAGATAAAAAAGTCAGTTGAAGGGTTTCAAGTAAGAGGGCATTTGTATGTGAACAAAGTGGCAAGTTGAGACAAGAGTGGGGAGAGTGGGGAGCCATGTATGTTCCAGCTTAGAATAAACTGGGGAGATTAGCCAAATATTTAAAGTGAAGAGCTGGATTGAGAGCCTAATGTTCCCAAATAGCCTATTGGTTCTATGTTCTCTGTAATCTAGGGTGGATTAAAACTTTACTTTCTTTATCTGCAAAATAAAATCGCCTTGCCATTTCACCCAGATATGGAGATTTAGCTTTAGATGGACCCAAAATTCTTAACAATGCCAGTGTAGTGGCTCCTCCATGAATAGTGAAAACAATCTTAGATGAAAGATGGAATAGCTCCTGAGGTGTGAGAAACACAAGTCAAGGGAAATTCCCTGTGTCTTTAAGTTCATTGTATTGGTTCAGTGATATCAATACAATAAATCTCCCTTTATGTAAATGCCTTCTAATTTTACTAATTTTACTAAAGTTTGTTCATGAATTTCACTTGTGAGTATACTTTAGTATTGAGGAAACAGGACCAAACTGCATTTTAAAACAACTTCCCGCCTGCTCTAATATTAATATTTTACAGCTTATTTATGCTATGAGATTAAGTATGAAGCATTCAGCATTCAATAATTTCAACTTTCTTGAATGGCATCCCAACAAATATTAGATTTTTCATGAAACAAGAATAAACAATAAAAGAAAAAAATAACAGTTCACAGATAATTTGCATGGCAGTTTTCTAAAGGTTGAATGCGCTACTGCCCTTTTACATAGGAATTCTAAAAGGTGAGATATTTTTCTAATTCATGTGATATTGATATCTGTGGAATCCAGGTGGCCTGGATGTCATGCTTTAAGTTAGAAAATAGCTATTAGCTAAAAAGAAAAAAAAGTTAAATTATGGTGCTATGTAAACTTCATTTAAAGTGCTTTTTAAGCCATTTTAATAAACGAAAGCAAATTTACCATAATGAAAGATTAAGCACAAACAAAAAAAATCCTTTCTTTTATTTACATAATTATATCTCCAGAAGATGCTGAGTATACATCGTTTAGGTACCACTTAAGTGCCATCTCAAATGCTTTTAATTTTTGTTAAATGATCGGGATGAGCTTACCACAGTATTTGTACATGACTTTATTTCTACCCCAAAATTTTGCAAGAAAAACAAAGTGCCAGAGTCCTTATCCCCCTAGGTGCCTCTGTGGGACACGTTTTTTAGCTCATGTTTTTACAGATAAGATCAACTCCTTAAGAATAAGATGCTTTCTTCAGAATGTTTGACAGGTTTACAGAGAAAAATCCCTATTTTATTCACTATTTGCCAAAACCAAAAAATACTTGTTCTCATTTTAAATGGATGCATGATATTAGCAAACAGAACATTCAAGGCTTAACTCAAATGATTAAAAACTGTAGCTGTCTCATTAATATAGGATTTTAAGGTAATGGCACAACGGCTCATTGGTTCTTTGTGTGAATAATGTGATCAAATGAAAGGGGGAGGGGAGGAAGGCTAAAAGACTATGGAATCATGAGAGCTTATTTCCATTGCCCAAGAGGAAAATATATAGAATAGATTCCCCCCACCCCCCGCTTTCTGTTCTCCATGACAATGATTTTGAAATGTTGAAATATACCTTTCCAGGCTAGTGTTTGTCAATATCGATGGCTAAAATGTACCTGGAGGAAAAAGCAAACAAACAATATGCCTCTTAACTTGGATTATTAACAAGAGACCACCTAATTCTTTTCCACTTGAAATTATAATGGTTATTTTGATTTTGATTACAACTGGTGTATGAGTCTCCAGGTATGATGAGAAAAGGAACACACATACACACACACACACACACACACACACTTCTGACCTACTGCCTTTATTTGTTATCTATCAACACATAATTTCATGTTTCCCCATTTGAATAGTATCTTTGCTCCAAACCTAGGAAATTATTTCACAAACAATACCAATTAGTTCCCATCACAATCATTCTCCTACTAGGAAATATCCCATTTTCCAGATCCAAAAGTGAAATCACAGGGAAAAATTATTTTCCAAACAAGAACTAAAAGTGATTTTTAAAATATAACTCCTTACTCATTTTTTCTCAAGTTTTTACATCATTTCTTATCGCTCTCAAAAATCTACACGCATGCAATTGAGCCTTTAAATCATGTTATATGACCATTGAGTTTGCTACGTAAGAAGAAAGAAACACACCACTTTTAAATTATTACTTTAAATAAACAAAATTATTTAAAGTAATAATGTCATGCTTTGTCAGCATGTCATGTACTATCAAAATTATGGACAAATACCCAGATTAATTTGTTCAACAGTAGGGTATCACTGCTTACAATATAAGGTTATGGAGGGTTTTTTTTTCCTTTTTTTATTCCAAATCCTATAAAATAGAGCAAAAATAAACAAAAGAAATACATGAGATATATACACATAGTGTGTAATCTGTGTTTTTAAAGAGGCAGTTTATCACATAAACATAACAAGTGTTTTCTAGAAATATTAACTCAAAGAAAACCCAAGTCAGTTTTAAGTAGACAATGGAAAAATTAAAAGGCATCATGGCTGACTATATCTCTCACACTGCAGATGTATTTTTAGGGTTAAGTGGGCAGCTAGTGAGCCTCCTGCAATCTCAGCAATCTGGAAGGCAGTGTACTCCAGGCCTTGGGTGCTTCTCCCCACGCTTGGTCTCTGCCATTGCTTTGCCCTGCCTCCCTGTGTCCAATGTCAAAATCACATGCAGGCAGCAAGAAGAAAGCCCTCTGCTTCAGCAGTCTTTGTGAGTGATGGTAACACACCAGGACCATGGCAAAAGTGCCGGGGAAAGGGTACTACCTCCCATCACTGGCACTTATCAGAGAGGCACCCTGAATTCTGTGCTCAATCCCAGGCTCTTGGAGGGAGCTGCTCTGGAGAACAGGGAACAATTTCATCTTGAGATCTCTATACTATGCATTTTTAGCCTTCTTTTCATGAGGACTAGAAAAATACCATCTCATATTTATTTCTAGTGAATGTCACAAATGTGTTCTCAGACTAAAAAATATTCTTTTCAAGAAAGGATGCAAAAATCCCAAAGCTGACAGCTAATATTTCTGTTCCATTTTAATTAAATGCCTGAAACCCTAAAGGCATCCACAGTATTCATTCCAAGAGTTATTTATCTAGATAAACTGTGTATTAGTGTAGGTGAGAGATTATCATTTTATCACATTTTATAAATTATATGTGGCTACATCCCTGCATATCAGAATCTCCATTACCAGCAGACATGGTAGTTGTTAAAGAACAAAGGACAGCACTTTATTTTTTATAAAACTGTTTTTAGAAATATGCAGTGCCACACTTTATTTACAATACAGGTCAGGTACATAATTCTGCTGTGTAGAGGTATAGCTGGATAATGATGCTATATCTAACATACCTAAATAGGTTTACCATTGCAAAAAGAGGGCTTATGCTTAAATTTCATGATAAGGAATTAGATATATTTTCACACCCTGCATACGTTTCTAAAGGCAGATAGTGCTGTGGCCTCCCCCATAAGCAATGCAGCAGGTGTCTGCATATCTGCATAAGATGCTGCAGTGTGGTGAAGTGCTTGAATCATTTCCAGAACGAGGGAGCATTCATGATTGGTCCAGTTGAACACTGCCATTGCTTGATATTACATAAAAGGCTGGTGTTGAAGCATATGGATTGGATAATAATCAGAGTTGTTCTGACATGGTCTATTTAATAATTCAAAAAGGAAAATTTGAAAATGATTCTGCACAAATCTGCAGCACCCAGTCGACACTTTATTTATATCAATGCTCTTTGTGTAGTTTTTGAGCTGTGCAGATTGCCTGTTTGATGTAGCTATTTTTCTAAAACATCAATATTCCAAATCACCATCAGCAAGCAAGCATCACCTGTCACTATGGAAAAGTTAAAATGTTCAGCTTCTTTATACACTAATGTAGCGAAAACCAACCTATAGGGAAACCACCATTTATGAATATATCCAAAATGCAACATAGGATAGAGATAAAAGCTGTGTGAACTTGCTTAGTTAACTTAAAAAAAGTGCTTATTAGTAACATTCAGATGTGTTCAGAATGTTTCTATTTAATAGATCCTTCATACTGACTCACTTGAAAAATACAGGGAAAAACAACAGCAACAACAAAACAACAACAACTGTAGTTGGATTAGCGATGCTAACCTCCGCTCAGGTGAGCACCAAGTAAGGCTGTTTCAATTACTTTGAAATAAGAGCCAGATGTTCATGGTTCCCTAAGATAAGTCCAAACCCTTAAATAGACTCCGAGTACAATGAGACTGGAGCAGGCAGGTGTCCTCGTTTCCAACTGGTAGCTCTCTCAACCATGCTTAGGACTTTTATTGGATAGGGTGCTCGATGGTCACCCTTTTGACTCCCATAATGCCACTGTTCTCTCACCGTCTGTGGACCCCATTTCCCACACCTATGACATGGAAACACTGCTGCAATATAGCATAAACTTCCTGTCTGACTACTCTAACCAAAGAGATGATTCAGATGCCCCTGGGGAATTTTTAAAATATGCTTTGTAAATACTAAATAGTATCAATAATTTATCAAAAGCAAAGCCTATCATTATTGAAGGGCAGAAAAAATATTATTCTCTTATATTAAACTTGCATACTTATGTTTTTAGTCCTAAAAATTAATCACAACCTACAGCACATTCACACACAAGCAAGTTCACAACACATAAAAGCAAATAAGGTTTTGATACAGTAAACTAGTGGAGACCACATCCTGCAATAACCACATGTCATTTTATATGCTGAATTCACTTCCTAATGTTTTTTCTCATTAAAAAATTATCTGAAAGATTTTAAATCTTGGAGAAAAGCTGCAATCTTTAGTATGTCTTGTATTCCTTTTTACTTCATCCTGTAAGAATTGATGCATGAAATGCTGATATATAGCTAGTCCCAGAATGAACTTGTTTCAATAGACACAGCCCTTACCTCTTGGCTGCAACATCAAAATGTACTCATCAAACATCTGGCTATCAAAGGTAATGTTTTTCAAAATACAAAATAATTTTAAGATCATTTTCTCTTTTCTGTAAATGAATGTAAGCAAGATAGATGACAATCAGCATACAAGGGACTTCTAAACTCAAAATAAAACAAGTGAGTTGATACAAAGACAGTAAAGCTAGGCTCACACACACTCTAACAGTCTACTTTTCCGGGCCTAAAAGTTCTTGATTCCAATACCCAAACTACTCATAACTCATAGCTAACGTTATCTGCTACAAGCAATATTTGAGATGAGTCAGTATGAGGTGGAATGCCATTTAACATTTTCCAAAGTTATCCTCATTGGAAACAATGAATAAATGTATCTAGTTTACATACAGCATGAGTAAGTGTCAAAGCACCCAAAGAGCTCTCAGGGAAAAGAAGTTAAATCCTGACTTCTGAATAAAAACCAACACTTTTTCTTACAAGTTCTTCCCACTGTGATAAAGCAGTTCCAGGAGGCTCCATTATTTCAATGCAAAGTTGGACTTCGATTTTCCGAAGAACACTCTGGGTGGATTTAATGAATAAGAAAGTTAGGGACACACAGCATTAAGATCAATTAAGGAGGCCTGGGACCTAAAATCATATGTTCTACCTTTCCTTTCTGATCAAAACGTTTAACTTCTGCAAAAGAGAATGTAATCAAGTGGCAACATGACAGTTCCTAAGCCAGGAAAAGACCGCGACACCCATATGCAGGAGACCTTTATTCTAGGATCTCGGTCCAAGTATCTGGATGCTGACAGGAGTGACTGATAACATTCTTCACCCTAATCCGTACTATTCCCTGGCCACATTGAGATCACCTTTAATTTGATCTGTTCATCTCCCAAATGAATAAAACAAAGGCATAAAGGCCTGCACTGGCTTTTTTCATATATGCAATCTAATTTCATCCCAACAAGTACTTTATGAGTTAAGTGTCATTAATCCCATTTTATCGATGATGAGCCTGAACCCTAGAAAAGTTAAATAACCTACCCAGGGTCAGGTGTCTGCTAAAGTGGCGAAGCTGAGTTTTAAACCTTAGGCTTTAGAATTCAAATTTGTTGACTTGTACCCGAACTAAACCATAGATAATAAAGGAGCAATGCACATGTCATAAACCTGGCTAACCAGCACCCTCTGGTTATATACAGGATAGTCCACTCAGTTATCTATAATTATTGATTTTAATAATGATTAATAAGGACAATCATACTGTCAATTGTGATTCATAGAATTGAGCCCATGACATAAAATATTAATCACAGGAATATGATGGAAGAGGTGGGGAGTTGGTCAAAGGCTTTTTAACCAACCTCCCCCAAGACAAAAGTCAAAAACATGGAGATTATTTAATGACAACCCAGTATTTTTCTGTTGGAGCCTATTTCAGGGGTGGGGCTATTTTTCCTTTTCCCTAGAATACTTGTACTATTTTTAGCCTGGCTTCTAAAGGGAGAAATTCAGATTTTTTTTTCCTCCTATAAAGATTTATCTCATCTCTTACTACTTCCAGGCCAAGGAGAAGCTTATGCGCAGCCTGTGTGAAATACTTTTCAATCCTCTAGCAACAATGGCACACAGCCTCTCAAAGTAAACCTCAATGTATTCAATACATACATCCTGGAAATTTCAATAAAATATGCTTTTTTTAAAAACTAAGCAATTTTATGTTTATTGGAATATATGACTAAAGAAAAATCATTGGTGAATGCTTTCACAACTTCAAGCACTATTTTACAAAAGTTAGTGGAAAGGACACAGTTTAGAGTGAGAAGGCCTGGATTCAGGGTCTGCTTTTGCCACTTACTACGTATTAGCCTTTGGCAAGCCATTGTCAATGGTCTCATCTTTACTATGAGAATGACACCTTTTTCACAGGATTGCTTTGAGGATTTATTAAGACAATTCACGTGAAAGTACATTGTAAACTAAAACTATACTATGCAATGTACATTATTATCAGTATTTCCTAACTTAACATTTTGTAAACTCAGACATTTTTGTAACTATTTCCCCACAGAAAGATCCAATACCTTTTAAAAATGAAATCAAGTACCCTCAAGATCACAAATAAAATAAAATGAAGTGGTGTTGTCTGACATCACTTTCCACCTCAATCTAAATTAGAACCCTGTTATACTTCCTGCAGTTTATCTCTACAGTACTTATTGAAGACTCTTTAAAAAAAAAATGTATGAACTACTGGCTTGAGCCTCCAAATTCCCAGCCTGTGAGAATCCAGAGTATTCCCCATACTTTCTACTAATCCCAGATCAAACAAACATCACAGCCTGCCAGTTCCTCTGTGCCATCTTGCTTTAATCTCCCACTGACCTGGGCACAAAAGACAACTCTGTTCTAGTTTCTCCATAGAAGATTCACTCTACCAAGGTTTTCCTAATTTTGAAGGATCACAGAGCCCCTTTTTTTGGTTCTGCCACCAAGTCCCTTCTCCCTCTTTCCATATGAGACAATTGGTGAAACCCTTTTTTAGTTTTCAATGAATGGATCCACACATACTCAGCACCTTCAGTAGCTCCATCCCCACACCTCCCCAAAGTTCTTTTCAGTATTTTTCCAAATAAGTATGATTCCATTCATAGAATAATTCATATTGTCAGTTATTAATATGACCTTTTCTCTTCTTGTTACATTGATATTTATTTGTGTAATTATTTGTTGACTGTCTCTCCATCCAGACTCCAGTTCCATGAAGGATCATGTCTGTTTTGCTCATCACCAAATTTCTAGCACCTATATCTAAATGTTCAGTAAACACATGTTGTTTGAAATTAATAAGTAAGAATGAATAGTATCTACAGGGGAAATAGGAAAGCAGAACATAATGCAGATAATTGTATATTTACACAGATTTTCAATGACATTTTCTTTAGGTGCCTAGGCTTTAAAAGTTGTTTTCTGCCCATTTTCCACCCTACTTGAAAAAGAAGAAGAAAGAAAAGGAGGAAGAAGAGGGAGAGGAGAAACAAACAAAATAATGGTCAATATTTTCATCAGATTAAATCTGTTAATGACATATCTACTATTTTCTATTACTAAATAGCATTTCTAGTTAGTGTATTTCACTAGAGAGTCAATGAATAGACATCTTGTTTGATATACATTAGTAACAAAAAACGGTAAAAAAAAATAAAACAATTTTTAATGTGCTGGAAATTCTGAAAATATATTCAGATACTTTTATCATTTTGTGTTAAGCTTTAACAAATAGGAATGCTATTTATTGCACTGAATGTGGAATTCAATAAAATCCCTTCTGATCCCTGTTATGTTTTAAAGAACTTCTCAATTCCTGTTTGGAATTAAATCAAAATCCAGATCGGATGGTATATGTCCTTTTTCTATATACAATAAAGAAACATACCAAATGGCACAATAGACTTTAATATTAAGGGGAAACGCATCTGCCATTTGGTCTACTTTCATTCTGATGAAATGGTTTGGGGTCAGCGCACAGTTGCAGCTCCTAAATGCAAATCACTACATGATCCCAGCACATGGAATTACATCAGCGCTTTTGATGAGAGAACAGAATCAATACAGAGGTCAAAAGTGCACAATTGGGAGGAGAGCGGCAATCAGGCACAGGGATTCCCCAAGATTACAATTCCCCTGACGAGACGGCACAGTTGCAAGAGCTTTCTTAATGTAGAAGGGCTACCTACCCACCACGCAAAGGACTCGCCCGCGGAGGGTTTATCTCTACCCACACTCATCTCTGCGCTGATTTGACTGGATTATGTTGCAAAGTTTGCCAACAAAATGCTGACATGTAAGACAAAACTTTCCGAAAATCAATACCAAATAATTGCCCAGGCCATGCTAAGAGATAAACTTATCCTGCATATTATGTACCTTCAGTTCTAGAGTGGGTTAGCCACGGAGTCCGGAGAACTAAGCTGTTCTTACTGTGCATAATATACCTTTAAATATCAGCAGGCAGCACAAATCATTTCCTTCCCTGCTGCTCAATACCCAGTGATTCCATCTCTTCTATATTCATTTTTTTTGTACCAGACTGATGCCTTTAAATGCTATGCTGCTGTCAGTTCTTGGATATTCCTTACCTGGCAGCCAAAGGGAGTGCTTACGAATGACTCTCTTGTCCCCACAGTAAATGTCTCTTAGTGTTGGTGTAGTTAGATAAGTTTAAGAAATAGACCACAATATCTACCATACTGTATTTTACATAAAGTTTTGTCCTACAGAATGCACTCTTCAATTTATTTTTATACTGAATGGAACAGTGATGAGGAGAAACAGATACCAGAGGCCCTTTGTTATTGCAATGTTTCAGTAAAATGATTTCTGTATCAAGCAATAATAAAAAGCAAGATATCAAACCAATTATAAATATAACATGTATGTTTTCTTATATTTCATATTTCAGTGGCCAGACTTGTTCTATTACATTAATTCAAGTAAAAACTATAAAATCCCTCACACTCCTAAATATAATTTTCCCATCCCCCATTAAGAAGGAAAAAAAATTATCTTTTGGATCATAGCTGTGTGTCTTCTGTATTATTGGTTCCAAGAAGTGATTTCAAGCTTAGACAACAAAGCAATGACCTAGGAAAAAGCGATTCAGTTGCCAAATGTATGAACTCGTAATTCTTACTCCACGCACAGTCTTTGTTATTATTGTGTTAAGAAAAATAGATAGCTGAGAATATTTCAAGAAAAATAACAGACATGCCTGTTCAAAACTATTCTGATGCTAAATTCTTGCCGACCTTGTTAATCTCAAAGATATCATATTCCCATTTATAGAAAAATTTACCATATAATATAATTTGAAGATGCAGGTATAGAATGGGGGCTGGGGGGAAGCCAGGAATAAAGAAAATATGTCAGAGTGTTTTAGCATGAAATTGGCTTGAACAAGAAAAAAGGTTGGGGGTTATAATAACTGATAGTGAAATGCATATTCTCCTCCTTAAGAATATATTAATTTTACATAATTGTTTCTTTTGCACTTTATGACAGAAACAAAGACCCTGTTAACAGTAGTCCAGCTTCATCTTTAATCACATTAATTCGGTAACGTGTTGTAATTGGAAGATGAAAGCCTACTGCTTTACTTACATAAATATAAGCAATAAATGAATGAGCAATTCTTGAATTGGACCAAATCAATACACACTGTATTGTCACGTTGACCTCACTAGTATTGAGGTCAATAAATGTGAGAATCCACAGAATAATATTCCATCAAAACCAGAGTCAAATCTCCAAGACTCCAGGGATGTTTCCACCACTTTTTTATCTACTAGTCTGAGGCTAGCTGATGAATGACTGACAATGTGGGATAGATGGAATGCAGTATTTGGAATGGAGAAAGAAAGATCAGCCTTGGTGATACTTTTGGCTGATATCTAGCATATATTGTTGGATACAGCTGATTAGGGTTAGTTAAGATGCTCTTATTCACCAAGTAAGTGAACCACAAATGGAAACACTCACTGACTTTTCAGCTTAGCATATTGATGTGAAGACCAAGAATATAATTTATTAACAGCTAGAAAACTGGCACAGTTAAAGACACAGTATCTAAAGCAACTAATTGGAATTTTCCTTTTGCCACCAAATTGTGCTTTTCTGCCACGATATAGCAAACTTGTGAAGAATACGTGTGTTTCTTGTCCTTGTTAATAACTCACGATGCAATCAATTACTTAACATTATCTTGAACTGCGTTGAGAAATTGGACCAGCCTAAGGTTATAGAGAGACAAAAACTACAACAAATCTAGCAGCTTATTGAAAAAGAAAGGCAAGATTACTCTTATATAACCAAATCAGGATTACTTTTATATAGCAAATCATAAACTGCTATCAAAACTATGCTAACCACAATAACCAAATTAAAATAAAATAAAATAAACAAATACATATAGACTATCTACAAATTCAGACTATTCATTAGAATAGAGTTTCAGGATCATTTACTCTTTGAAGGCAATTTATCATCTGATGGCAGATTAACAAAATGAGAATACTGGGCGGGTTGAAAAGATTCATGGGAAAACAACCCCCCCAAAAAAGAAAATGCATTAGACAGGACTGTTTTGCTATCTTATCCCTGAGGCAACTTGAAAAGAGTTCACCTTTGAAAGATAAAAAATTATCCAAGTTAAGGGAAAAAAATGGTCTCCATTTCTAACTACATGGAAGCTAAGAATTAAAGTTTAGTTTCAAAACAAGATGGCATGTGGAAGAGTGTTCAAGGAAAAGTGTTTTACATGAAGAATTTTTTAAAATATACATTCTGAATATACACTTTTAAATGTACAATGGATATGTAAAATATTTAAAAATTACAGTTAATTTTTAGATGGGATACAGAATTATGATTGCTTTTATTTTTTAGAGTATACATTACAATTATAGAGAAAAGCATGATGTCTGGAATTTGCTTTGAAAGAATCCAGACAGAGAGAAAAATGAGAAGCTGTGTTTATGAAACAAGATTAACCATGAGATGACTGTTAAGGCTGGTTGATGGAGCCTTGGGGGGAATTCATCATACTCTTCTCTCTACTTTTGTACATACTTGAAATTTTGTATAATATCATTTGTATATGTACATGCATGTATGTTTTAAATATGTATAAATCATAGGTACATATGTATATATGTTAGTCTGTGATTTTTATACATGTGTGTATACATTTGTTTATATGTATATAATACATATTCATATTGGTAAGACGTTGAGGTAAGTTTCTCTCTACCCAACACTGGACTTCAACTTTTTCTGATGAAAGTCTTAATGTCTGTCATCCTTGCTGAGATGTTTTCATGAGTGATTCATTCTATACCCACCATATGTCAGACCCCATGTTAGGGGATCACTGATGAGGTTGCTGCCTTCATGGAGCTTACATTCTAGAGGAGGAGCCAGACATTTATCAAGCACACGAATGAATAAGCAAGATAAGCCCAGAATGTGATCAATGCTTTGAGGAAAATAAACAGAGAAATCAGATAGAGATAAATTGCAGAAAGCACTCGAAGGAAGGTAGCCAGAGTTTCTCTTTATGAAGGTGACACTGGAGCCAAGCCCTGAAGAATGAAAATGAGACACCATGAAGATGTTGGGAAATACGTAAGGCAGCTGGATGAGCTTAAGCCAGGATCCCAAGATGGGAATAAACATATGTTCTGAACCAAAGAAAGTCAGTTTTGTTAGAACATAGGACTGGACTGACCACAACTGGTGATAGATTACATATAAAGCATGAGGGAAATAGCATGAAGTTTCATCTTTATTTGACAAATATATCTTTATATTAGTGCTTCATAGGTAGATATAGATATATTAATATATTACTTAATACAAATATATCTTTCACATACTAAACATGAAATAGATATTATTTTATTTTTAAAATACATTTTTAATGCTCAACATCACCAATCATTAGAAAATGTAATTCAAAACCACAATGAGATACCACCTCACACCACTCAGAATGTCTATTTTTAAAAAGTCAAAAAATAATAGAATTCAGCAAGGCTGCAGAGAAAAGGGAAGGCTTATAATACACTGTTGTTAGGAATGTAAATTAGTTCAGCCAGTGTGGAAAGCAGGTTGGAGATTTCTCAAAGGACTTAAAACAGAACACCATTCAACCCAAGAATCCCATTCCTAGTTACATAACCAAAGGAAAATAAATAATACTACCAGAAAGATACATGCACTTGTATGTTTATTGCAGTACTATTCATAATAGCAAAGACATGCAATCAACCTAGGTGCTTGTTCATGGTGGATTGGATGAAGAAATTACAGTACATATACACCATGGAATACTATGCAGTCATAAAAAAGAATAGTCCTGTTCTTTGCAGCAACACGGATACAGCCAGAGATCATTATTCTAAACAAATTAACTAGAGAAAACCAAATACTGCATACTTCTACTCATAAGTGGGAGCTAAACCTTGAGTACACATGGACACAAAGATAAGAACAATAGACAATGGGGACTACTAGACTGGGGAGGAAGGGATGGGGGCAGGAGCTGAAAGTCTACATATTAGGTACTATGCTCAGTACCTGGTGATGAGATCACTGATACCCCAAACTTCAGAATCATGCAAAATACCAGCGTAACAAACCAGCACATGTAAAACTTGAACCTAAAAGTTAAATAAAATAAAACATATTTTTATTTTTACAAAGGCAATACAAGTTCATGGAAGAAAAGTTAGAAAGTAAGCAAAGAAAATTAACGTGAAACATCCCTCTTTGCAGATGACATGATTGTATGTTTAGAAAACCCCATCGTCTCAGCCCAAAATCTCCTTAAGCTGATAAGCAAACTCAGCAAAGTCTCGGGATACAAAATCAATGTGCAAAAATCACAAGCATTCCTATACACCAATAACAGACTGAGAGCCAAATCATGAGTGAACTCCCATTCACAATTGCTTCAAAGAGAATGAAACACTTAGGAATCCAACTTACAAGGGATGTGAAGGACCTCTTCAAGGAGAACTACAAACCACTGCTCAATGAAACAAAAGAGGATACAAACAAATGGAAGAACATTCCATGCTCATGGGTAGGAAGAATCAATATCGTGAAAATGGCCATACTGCCCAAGGTAATTTATAGAATCAATGCCATCCCCATCAAGCTACCAGTGACTTTCTTCACAGAATTGGAAAACACTACTTTAAAGTTCATATGCAACCAAAAAAGAGCCCACATCGCCAAGTCAATCCTAAGCCAAAAGAACAAAGCTGGAGGCATCACGCTACCTGACTTCAAACTATACTACAAGGCTATAGTAACCAAAACAGCATGGTACTGGTACCAAAACAGAGATATAGATCAATGGAACAGAACAGAGCCCTTGGAAATAACGCCGCATACCTACAACTATCTGATCTTTGACAAACCTGACAAAAACAAGCAATGGGGAAAGGATTCCCTATTTAATAAATGGTGCTGGGAAAACTGGCTAGCCATATGTAGAAAGCTGAAACTGGATCCCTCCCTTACACCTTATACAAAAATTAATTCAAGATGGATTAAAGACTTAAATGTTAGACCTAAAACCATAAAAACCCTAGAAGAAAACCTAAGCATTACCATTCAGGACACAGGCATGGGCAAGGACTTCATGTCTAAAACACCAAAAGCAATGGCAACAAAAGCCAAAATTGACAAATGGGATCTAATTAAACTAAAGAGCTTCTGTACAGCAAAAGAAACTACCATCAGAGTGAACAGGCAACCTACAAAATGGGAGAAAATTTTCACAACCTACTCATCTGACAAAGGGCTAATATCCAGAATCTACAATGAACTCAAACAAATTTGCAAGAAAAAAACAAACAACCCCATCAAAAAGTGGGCGAATGACATGAACAGACACTTCTCAAAAGAAGACATTTATGCAGCCAAAAAACACATAAAAAAATGCTCACCATCACTGGCCATCAGAGAAATGCAAATCAAAACCACAATGAGATACCATCTCACACCAGTTAGAATGGCAATCATTAAAAAGTCAGGAAACAACAGGTGCTGGAGAGGATGTGGAGAAATAGGAACACTTTTACACTGTTGGTGGGACTGTAAACTAGTTCAACCATTGTGGAACTTGGTGTGGCGATTCCTCAGGGATCTAGAACTAGAAATACCATTTGACCCAGCCATCCCAGTCCTGGGTATATACCCAAAGGATGATAAATCATGCTGCTATAAAGATACATGCACACGTATGTTTATTGCGGCACTATTCACAATAGCAAAGACTTGGAACCAATCCAAATGTCCAACAACGATAGACTGGATTAAGAAAATGTGGCACATATACACCATGGAATACTATGCAGCCATAAAAAATGATGAGTTCATGTCCTTTGTAGGGACGTGGGTGAAACTGGAAATCATCATTCTCAGTAAACTATCACAAAGACAAAAAACCAAACACCGCATGTTCTCACTCATAGGTGGGAATCGAACGATGAAAACACATGGACACAGGAAGGGGAACATCACACTCTGGGGACTGTTGTGGGGTGGGGGGAGGGGGGAGGGATAGCATTAGGAGATATACCTAATGCTAAATGACGAGTTAATGGGTGCAGCACAGCAGCATGGCACCTGTATACATATGTAACTAATCTGCACATTGTGCACATGTACCCTAAAACTTAAAGTATAATAATAATCAATAAAAAAGAAAAATATTGGTTAAATAAGAAAAAAAAAAGAAAATTTGGCACATACATATCATGGAATACTATGCAGCCATAAAAAGGATGAGTTCATGTCCTTTGTAGGGACACAGATGAAGCTGGAAACCATCATTCTCAGCAAGCTATTGCAAGGACAAAAAACCAAACACTGCTTGTTCTCACTCATAGGTGGGAATTGAACAATGAGAATACTTGGACACAGGAAGGGGAACATCTCACACACTGGGGCCTGTCGTGGGGTGGGAGGAGGGGGGAGGGATAGCATTAGGAGATATACCTAATGTAAATGACGAGTTAATGGGTGCAGCACACCAACATGGCACATGTATGCATATGTAACAAACCTGCATGTTGTGCACATGTACCCTAGAACTTAAAGTATAATAATAAAAAAAGAAACATCCCTAATCTCATTACCTAAAGAAAGTCATAATTACCATATTATTCTTTCAATACTTTTCTCCCATAGTTATGCTTAGCCTGCATGTATATATATATGCATTCTAATTTGATTTATTTCACTTAACAATATGGTGTGAATAGCTTTCCATTTAAACTATTCATTACACATTCCATTGTTTAGATAATTTATTTAACACATTCTCCAACATTTGGCTTGTAGATTATTTACATTTTCACTATTATAAATAACACTGAGATGAACACTTACAGAAAACTCTGCATATCCTTAACCACTTCTTTGGTATACAATCCTTAAAGCGAAATGGCTGAACCAAAACACATATGTATTGTTCAAGGCAAGTGCTTACTTTTGCTGGAGGAAATATGCTTTGCTAGAAAGGTAATTGTCTCCAGATTCCTCCAAACTCCTTCCTATTATATTTCATTCTAGATCTTTCAACTTCTACTGTCTGCTGGCTTGTCTTCATATAAAATTAATTTCCCCAAAATGGTATTTAAGTACAAATTCACAGAAACGGACCTTGATATTTCTTTTAATAAGATGTACTGAACTCATCCTTCACCTAAAGTAAAAAAGGGGGAGAGGCAGAAGGTATTTGTTTTTGTTTCTTTCACTTAGGGGCTATATTTAACCTAAGTGATAAACCCTAAGTTAACTTAGTCTCTAACAATTAGAATTGGAAGATACTTAGAAATTTCTTCATCTTATCTTTCTCTGTTCAATGGAATTTGTCAATGTTCCAGTTAAAATATAGTACTCAGAAATGGACATGATGTTATTTCCCATTATCTGAATATTATATTTCTGAATACTAATACTGCAGGAAGTTGGAATTGTATTTCATCTTTCCTTCATAAGATGAAAAATAGATTTTCTTTGCTAGTTTTCATTCATTTTTCTCCTAATAACTTCAAGATTATCTGGTCATGATTTCTGTATCTGGGTCTACAGTACACACACCCTGAGCTCGTTGCCTCAACTATTTTTGAGACGTTTCTGAATTTTTCTACGTTTAAGCCATTGCTCCTCTTCTTTTTTCTTGCTGTTTCCGTTTCTGCAGCTACTCTCTTTCTTCTGTTAAATGGATGTATTCAGGGCCATGCTTTTCCGGAAAGGTGAAATAGATATGAAACTGTGCAAGAAAATAGTGGGCTATCCACTCCCAAGTTTTGACCCAGGACAAGCCCAGAGGAACTTGCCCTTGTCCACCTTAGATGAAGCAGCCTTAGTATCTACTTAAAAGCAGGGTACACAATGACTTTTAAAAGAAAATGGAACATTTAACCAGGACTAAACCATCTTAATGTTTGTCACTGGGAACAAAGCTAATGGAACTCCTCAGGCATGGGTGAAAGATTGTAAGTATTTATTTACATATCCCACACTCGCAATAGACTATGAGTTCCTCAAAATCAGGGGCTTTGTTTTATTGATCCTTTTTTCCCCAGAACTCTTAAAACTGCCTGGCACAAAGGATTACTAGAAATATTTGTTGAATGGGTGATTAATAAGTAAATGGATGACTAGATTTTGTGGTACAAATCCTTTTTGTATTTGTAGAGTATAAGGATTGATTTTTAAATATGGGATTTCAGTTAAATTAATATATGTAAAAACCATTTGTCTCTACTTCTATCACAGTGAGCACAAGATTCAGCAACATATATAAACCCTCCACAATTATTTTTCTTTTTAACTCTTTAAATGTACTAACCTATGCTTCTTCTTTTGTGCTTATCTAAGTGTTCGCTATAAAAATATTAATCATTGTTATACAAAGTTAACATGTCCACAATTGCTGTTCTATTGCTTCAACAATTTATTTTGAAATTGAAAAACACTTTCTCAAATGTCATTTGCTATAAACCATTTGACCTGTTAAGCAGAAAGTAATTCTTTCTTAATTTCAAGTTGAAGTTTTTTAAATAAGTAAGGTTGAAAGAATTCTCTAATATTACTTTTTCTCAAAACTTCAGGTCATGTTCACAATGAGAATGAAAGCAAATAGTCCAGATTACTTTTGGAATTATTGATACAGACTGTTTTTTTAAGACTTTTAATTATTTGTGTAGACTTTTCCTCATTATTTGATGGTTTCTTAAGTAAAATTGGTATCTTGTTCAAAGGAAGATCATCCGGACTTCAGAGCAGTGGTTTTGGTTTGTTTTGCTTTGGTAGTTTCTTCATCTGCTTTCTGATCTTAAGTCCATATGAATAAACTTCATTTCTTATCAATTTATACTAACCTATTAATCTCCTCCACCCTTCTCAGTTTATGAAAAGTGCCCCCCAAAATGTCTTCACTTAGAATGGAGTGCAATATTACCTTCTTTTGGGAATCTTTGTTCTCAACCCAGAACTACCCTATTTTCCAACTGTGAAAGCTACTTTGGTTTGCGATTTCAAAGTCAATGCATTTCTCTGTCCCCCATTTTTAAATTATGAATGCCATCTCCTTTGTAATTCATGTCTCCAAAGTTTCTCGGCCCAAAGCTGAAGGATGCAAAAGGGCATACCATATCACTCCACTCTTTGTAGTTGAAGGTACAATTTTATTATTATGTTTATAAATGTGGCTAACCTTTGAAGTTTGGCCTTCTGTCTTTTCCATAGTTAGCTCCAGATGGTAGATTTAGAGTTCAGTCCCACCACCATCACCAAGAATGTTCATGGCTGTAAATATTGCCGTATGACCTTAGGGAAAACCTGTCCAGCCTCTCCTTTCCAGCTCACCAGGAAGGCTTCTTTGACTCCTGAAAGAAATGGCAGTAACCCGTTGTTTGTGCTGTAGGGGCAGCCATCTCTGAGGCTTGCTGATCTTGATAGCACTGCTGCTTTTCCATGATGACATCGCCTTTGGAGGAGCATCCCCTTCACCCGCTTCCACTCCACATGCTCCTCCAAAGGGGACGTCTTCATAGAATTTATATCGCTGGAACTTACACCACTCCTTCAGCAGCTCCCGATACAGGCCTGAGGAATTGGCATATTCCATTCCCGTGGCCTTGGTTATTGGTTCAGGAAAGGTATAAGATCTACAACAAGGCCAACATAAATTATTTCAGGGACTTTTACTGGAACTGATGAGAAAAATATGTTTTCTTTTACTGAGGTTGCTAAATGGAAAATGATAACATCCTGGAACTTCTGGAGGATTTGCTATAATGAGTGGTCACTTGATCAAGAAGCCAAGGCAGAGGAAAGATGAACTGAAAGGGAGAAACAGAGATGAAGAGCTGGAGTAGGAGACACAGGAAGACAGAGAGGCAGAGAGAGACCAGAAGCTGACTTGCTTCACTGCCTGAATCCTGTTACACTTCTCTACTCACACTGCCAGTGTTATCTGTAAGCAGGTCCATATCGTACACGGTACTATGAGCTCCTCAAGGGTATCACTCATGCTCAATGAGGTTTTGGATTTTTTTTCACACATCTCTCAACAGGGTCCCCTCTATGAACCACAAAATACATACGCAGTGATTTTATAGCTATTTTTAAAATTCGTCCAGGATGGTATATAGCTAATATCATTCTAGATATATAGGAATAAAATTAATTCACTACACATAATGGATGCCAAAGGACATTCAGCCTTCATTTGCTCACAGAACTTCCTCCTTTGAAAAAGTTTTAATTCTTTGCTATGGTTTCTAATGAGTTTTGTACTTTCACACATAAAATATTTTCATTTTCCCCATATTACCCAGATCTCATTTCTATACTCTAGACGCTGGTAGATATATCCAATTGGTTCATCAAATCCTATGTGTACAAACATGAACTCAACATACTTTTACCTGAAAGTGTTCCTCTCTGGATTTCCCAGCCCAGGCAATGTTATCAGAAAGTAGGCAGTCATTCTAAACTACTTCCTTATCCTAAACACCTTAATGGTACTTATTCTTTCAAACTTCCCTAATGTTTCTTAAATATATACTTCCAATTCAATGTCTATTGCCCTTGCCTAAGTTGAGCTAATTATTTCATGTATAAACTATTTCAAACATCTTCTAAATGTAAATGTTTTTCCTGCTTCCCACCTCTATTCCTCCACACCCATTCTTCATAGCACTACAAAGACCATCTCTCTAAAATACAACTCTTAACTTGCATTCTTTTCTCCTCCAACTCTGTCTGAGCCACAGTTAAAATTCAAACCAGGTTTGCCTGTTCCAAAACCTACCTACCTCTATGTACCATGCTACAACTCTTGAGTATATTTAGAGCAAAAATTTTCAAACTTTTTTTTCAGCTGTGGAGTCTTGCTTTAAAAAAAAAAAAGAAAAGAAAAATCATGGGCAAGTCAAAATGGAAAACGCAAATTAGAGTCAATATAGCTAAAGCCTGGGGAGAAAAGCCTAGAAACCATGACTGTCAGCCTCTTTATGACATCCCTACACCTGCACAAGCTGTTGTTTGCAAATCACTGACCCATGTTACAGATGAGAAAACTGAGGCCTGTCAAGATTCAGTGCCCTGCCCTGTCATCATTGCTCTCCTCTTGTGGTTCAGTTAGCTCGCCGCTCTATCAATCTGCCTCCCTGAAAGATCATACATAAACTATGATTTTGAAAAACTTATATGAAGTGTTCATAAACAAGGGGAACTATTTTTTAATTGGAACTGCTGAAAATCTTTTAATAAAGCAGATCTAATTTCATATATTCACCCCTTTGATTCATGTGTTTCAGAAGTTTCATTGGCACTTACCAAATTTTTCTATAGCCTATATTTCACTATCACTTGATCTATCTAGAACCTGCTGCTACATCACACCTCTCTGTGACAGCCTGCCTATTTGTGATGAGCTTATTTGGCCTCTATTTTATTTCTTATGGGTAAGTATCATTGAAAAAGCAGAATTTGTTGGTAGCCCTTACCTCTGTCTCCTTTGAATAAGTGTGATTATTTTTATGACTTTCCAGAGCTTTACCCAAACTCAACTAATTCTACTAAGCAGGCTGTATTTCATTGCATAAACCTAAAATGACCAAAAGTTTGAGTAAACTACAGTTCCCCATAAGATTTGAAATAAATTATCTGTGTGTATATAGATTTCCCTCTCTGTCTCCTCGCCATTTGAAATTCATTCTATATGCAGAGCTGTTCCATGTTGAAAATGATTTCTGTGCAGTAAATGGTGATGATGGTGCATGAGATATATAATGCAAATGCTGGGCAATTGTGTTTCATGTGGAGTAGAAATGAGTGGAGGAGAACCTACCAGAAACACAGGACCTGGAACAAAAAAAAGTAAGTGAGGACTGATAAGCCAGGAATATTAGGAACAGGCTGCTTAGGAGGCAGGAATAATGTCCAGGAACCTCAGACCTAGAGAGGGCATGAGTGAGGAAGAAGTTCAAGGTGTGAGGCTGGGTTAGGTTAATAATGTGAGAGAAATACCTTGGCAATGAAGATGTGACTGAGACCTGTCTTTGATATGTAGCACCCCATGGGTTGCCAGTGCAGGTTTTGGTCAACATGGATGGCTAGGCATGTTTCCTCACCTTCCTTACTCCTCCAGGGCCATGCCCCTGAAGCTGTGGCCTGGGTCAGATGGGACCATTCACTCAGACTTGGCTATGACTGCAAAGTCACAACATTCTTAGGTGAAATTACATTTCTAAATGATATTTTTTTTCATTAAAATAATGTTTCATTCCAACCTTGGGTTCTGAAGAAATTTTCCAAAGTTCTTTTCCTTACCCCACCACACTCAAAAGCAATTTGGTATACATTCTGTATTCATTTAAAATGTTATATATCCCAGTATCATTTTTCCCTAAAATTGCCTCTAGTGAAAGATATCTATCTTCTTTCTTATACTGTTAGTTGGAAGATAATTGTAACATATTTTTCCCCATTACCAATGTTAGCATAATACCCCTGAAGTTAAGCACATAGAACGTGCTGGAATAAACAATTCAAGACCATCTGCAGTTCAGTGTCTTTGGTGTCAGTAACTCCCAAGCAGGAAGCTGCAAGCTGAGAGTCTGATTTTGTGGCAGCTTTTTCACAACCCTCAGAAATGGGTGGTCACTGAAGCTATTTCAAAACTCAATGGGTCGGTGAGGTTTAATTTAGTCTGTGTATTCAGGATAGCCCTTGATAATACACTGCTCCATATTTCTTATACAAAATGCTCTCATGCCCAGAATTAAACTAAAAACCTACTGAAGGAAAGAAATCCCTTCCCAGTGTTAGCAAGACACAGGAAATCAATATATATTCCTCGAATCAAGATTTAAATTAATTCATCTTGTTTTTTAAGATCTACCAAAATTAAATGAGAGAGAAATCCAAGCTATAATTTAATCCAAGAGGAAATCTTCAACTTTTTTTAACCAACAAAAAGAGCATTTCAGAGAGAGGCTTGTTACTAATTATATTTTGCTGACATATGCCAATTATATTCAGCAATATTGTTCCCCCAGCCTGTTGGGTCACGTAACAGCCTGAGAGAACAATGATGCTGAATTAACGATTGCAATGAAAGCTTTCAAGAATCTCTTACTCAATTAGATGCCGACAAATCTACCTGTAAGTCATAAAAAGTTTATGAAATTTAAATAGTTTTATAAAGTATGTACTTCACACAGTTAACACAGCCCTGAGAGATGAAGGCCATGTTTTTACATTTATAATGTTCCTTTCTTTATTTCAGTGACTTAGTAATTGACTTTTAGTCATTTCATCACATAATGTATATACTCAGTCATCTCTGCAAGTTATTTTAAACTGATGTAGAAAATATAATTTAACAATTAAATGGCCTTCCAGTGGTGTCCAGTTATTTTATGATGGTAGGCAAATTGTTTAACCTTCAGATGTCTTGTGGTGATAGATGCTGAATTAACCACAAATATTGCAATTAAGCCAAAAGGTAAATGTTTTTAAGCATTCATGACATTTATGATGGAAAAATAGGAGAATGTCTTCATAACCATTGAGCATACAGAAAAGTAGAGATACAGGGCTGGGATTCATGATAAAGGTATCACATAGAAAGCCTTACATACACAAAAAAGGGCTGCAAGAATTTCTCTGGATTTGATGTTGAACTTCCTCTTCCAGTAATAAGTTCAAAGAGCACTCAAACCTTGAGAACACCAAGTGACAAAAATCTTAAAGAATATAAGATCACGATCTTAAATCCCTATGTTGTACTCCTTTGGTTGATTGAATAAATATTATATATGTATGTCTTTATATGCAAATATAAATGGTAAACTCCTTGAAAACAAGAATTGGATTTAGTATGCTTAAGTTACCAACAGCAAAACCTATTATCTTGATTTAAAGTGTGCTTTAGTAATTCCATGTGAAAAAAATTAAGGTAGATTTCTGTTCCTTGGTCTATGTGGTCTAACTTTACATACCATAAAAATCATGTTTGATCAAGCCAGATTCTTATCTCCCTTAAAATTTTACCTTTTAATTATTTTTATTTTAATGTTATCAAAATTAACCACCTTTCAAATAATATTTTATGTAACAAGATATATGTCTTAGACAAGAATTATTAGAGTCATATTTTATTTAAAGTATTCAAAATAGTGTGGGATTCCTTTCTAATGCACTCTTGGGTGGCACCAGGAGGAAATGATACTTTAATATGAAGTTTGGGAAAGTCCAAGATAGTGAGATTGTTTTCCTTTAAAATAAGAATTTCTACATACTTCCCAGTTTGACAAGCTCTTGTAAGTTGTCCTTTATACTTCGTATTTTAAAAAATGTATCAAAACTCAAGACCAACTGAGATTTTCTTTCTATAACCGTTTCCTAAAACAGAGATTCCGGTTACCAGTTCAGAAGTTAATTAGAACGTTTATGTGGGTTTTGGGTACCCTACACTTGGTGTCATTTACATGATCTGTATTTGACACCGGTAGATAGGAATAACTTATGGAACTTCACTTGATTTTGCATTGTGACCTTGACCTCTAAGGTTTTAGAAAAGCGCTTCTCGCTTGTGCAAAGCAGCCATTGTTCCAGCAGCTCTTTCTTTTGGCTTGAGAAGACATAAGGTCCTGAGATATGGTTCCTTCTCTGATCCAGTATCTTTGGCTTTTTCTCCTGAAATTAGCTTGTGCTGACTTCCATATTTGCAATATCATTCACTCTTTTTTGCTCTTTCCTCTCTCGTTCCCTCCCTCTTCCTCTTACATGCACATACACACACACGCACAAACACACACACAGAGAAAAATCTATATGTGTCAGACATTCAGCAAGGGAAAGACAAAGGCACTGAGTTAATTACCCATCATTTACTGCTGCTGAGAAGAGCAGATGGCAGCAGACGATATGTAAATGGCAAGGGGCAGTGAATTATTCGATTTTTTTAGATTAATCGTCGATGACAAAGGAAGTGATTACAGGCTGTGACATTTATACAAATGTATAAAGTACATCACACAAAAAAATAGAGCTTAATATTATTATGAGGATGTCAGGCATATGAACACTATTGTCACAATACAAAGCAATAAATTTTACAATAACCCAAAAATCTGCTATCTCTTTACCTTAAAACTTTAGTGAGCCCCAGAATCTGAAAAAAGGATGAACCTAGGTCTATATATCATGGAATAGTCTCCCCAAACCTAACCAAGTCTATTAAGGTACAAAATACAGGAGATACACCATACAGTAGAATAGTGTTTATTGGAACATGAAACAAAACCGTATTGTTTGCTTACAACAGATCTGGTGCCATATCAGTGAGTAGACTGTAAAACAGAAAAGGTGCTAATAAAATACAGGCCAGAAATAGAAGTTAAAATTAAAAGTGATGTTTGGCTGTGGCTCATTTAGTGTGGAGGAAGGAAAAATTAAAAGGGAAAAGAGAAAGGATTGTGCTCCTACTACATCGAAATATTACTCTACCAGACACACACAGAAAATCTCCCAGCGACTTCAAGGTCAAAATGAAGAAATTTCTGACCAAGCTTCCCTTCTAAGTAATATACAGATATGTATAAACATGAGCCCAAGAGCACAGACATGTGACACACACACACTCACACACACACACCCATCACCCTTTTGCAGGAGGGAAGCACAGTAGCTTGTATTTTCAGTTGCTTTAATAATTAATTGGTACATGAGCAAATCAGATGCTTTCCCTGGCAGATCACAGAAACTGCCCCATCATCAAAATGTTTTCAACCACCCCGTTATTAAATCTATATGGTGCTAATATTACTAAAAAGAGAGGGAGCCATTGAGCCACGCATTTATTCCCTGAAAGCATTCCAGCCACTGCAGTTCTGAGGCGCCCTTCTAATGAGAGCTTAGCTCCAAATATCAGCCTAGAGAAAGGGGGAGAGTTTAGGGCACATTTATTTATACTCTTCAGAAATACTTTCAAAACAGGCAAGGGAAAACATCACCAAAATTACTGCTGAGTACTTCACCATTATGAATTCTTTGTTGACAATAGGGCCACTGGTGCCTGAGAGAGAGAGAGAAAGAGAGAGAGGAGAAATCACCGGAGTATGATGGGGTGGGAGCTGGAGTGGGGGAGGGGCATTATTAGTCAGCAGCAGCAGCGGCAGCAGCAGCACTAGATAGAGCATTTAAGTATGGCAATCCATTTTGAATGAACGTGGGTTCAGGAATAAAGTGCAGGCAGAACCAATCTGCCCTGAAGAAAGGAAAAGCATAAAATATTGCACAAAGACAGGAGAATTTCCAGGGTGGCTTTAATAGCAACCCAAACTGGCAGGTGCACAAAGCAAACCATTACCTTTGTGTGCTGATTTTAAGAAATATTATTGGTTTTTTTCTCTTTTTTTTCATATAACCATAAAAGCAATACTCAAAGATGTAAATAATGCTGATTTGTGCCTTGGTGTAAATTTGATGGGGTGTAGTACTGATGACTATTTTTTTAAAAAAATTACCTATAGATACATGTTATTGACATTATATAATAGTGGGCTTTGATATAGATAATTGTTACTTTTAATCAAAATTGAGTCCCAAATGTGTCTACATTATCCTTACTCAGCATTTAACATGGCGTTAAATGTAATCATCTCTTAAATTAAAAAATTAAAATATTGATGAAGGTTAACCTCCACCTGGATAAAGTTATGAAAATATCTGGAGCCCATGACAAAAAAAGGGACAATCATTTTAGCAAAAGATACTGTCTATATGTGTTTCATATGCATTCTGTCCTCTGCACTTTCAGTTCCTGGCCAAAAGGCGCAGTGCTATGTCTTTAAGTTCATTGTTGATGAGTTAAAAACAAATCAAATAAAATAATTCTCTGTACTTGTAAAGAGGAAAATATTCTGGAAGAATTTACAAGTAAGAATTCCAGAAATACATGTAAAATCTTACAATATGAAAATAGCAGCCCTATGAAGCCAAAGTTGTTTGCTGCTACTGCATCTTTATTAGGAAATCCATCAAAAGTCATAATTCATGCTCCAGATAGTTTAAACAAAATGAAACGAAAATTAGAAAAGATATTTTTCCTCAGTAAAACTATGTCAAAAAACAACCTTTATGTATGTTTAAAAATAACTGGTAGAACTGTAAATGTTTGGGTTTGAATCTTCTTTGGATCTTATTAGAGATCTCTCTTTCATAATTCATTTAAAAAGAAAACAAAAGACAAATGGAAATATATAAGAACTGCTAATCACACTCCATATGAATACTCAGGCTGCAATTGTGTTTAAAGTATCCTGTCTGTGTTAAATGTTTTCCAAATTTAAAAAAATCATTGAAAATGATTTTATAGAATATCAAACCAAATTTTATCTGCTTGATAACAAATCATAGTAGATCTTGTTTATATGTTATAAACATACTATTCAAAATGAACAAGAAATTTGTTGATTAACATTGTCATATTGAAGAATCATATTTGATAAAAGCAAAATTTTAGGAGGTGAAAGCCACTATATCAAAAATAACTATATATTTATTGGAAAATATGGATTATAAATACCAAATGAACTAATATAGTATTAGATAAATACATACAAAAATAATGTACTTGAATATAAATATATACACAAAGTACATTTACTAGTATTATGTATTATCAATATATACATTACATGTTTATATACTAATGGTTTATCCAGAATAATAAATTATAATCTTCATTTGTATTCAAGAATATCTATAAGCAAACATTCTGGTTGTAAACACAGGCATTTATTAAGATGCCAGTGTTTCTAAATGACACTTAGAGAGTATTTTAAAGGGATAATTCTGGAATTTTAGATAAGTATATTTTAGAAAATATGTCCAGACTTCAAAAACATTTATTTAAATAATAGAATATTAGTTGTGCCATTAAAGCATCTCTACACCAAATGAAATAAACATTTTCAAGTAGACATAATAAGATGGGTTAAAAATTTAAAAAGCTGTCTGTTTATCGAATGCTTTGAGCCCATGCATTTCAAAGAACACTGAAAAAGATCAGATATAATAAAGCATTTCTTAAAATCAGAAGACAAAGCTCCAGAGTCCAAAAGTAATTTATTGCTTTTGTTTATTATTTATTTTGCTTGAATGTATATATTGTAAACCTTTACAATCTGAAAATAGAATTAAAAAGCTAGGCCTAACATTTTGAAAAAGTCAGCTTCGTGGCAGGCATAGGTAACAAAATATATTGCACTTTAGCTTTTCTTATGCTTTTGTTCTTTACCTTTTAAGTAGTATCACTTCTTTTTGTAAAATATTTTAGTAACATTTTGCATTGTGCATGTATGCAAACATATATTTTGTGTATTCAATATTTACAATGCATTTTATGTACATAATACATCTGCTTATACCAACACTAAATTATTTGCCAACAGCAAAGATAAAATGTCTCCAAGAAGAGAATGAATGCAGTAGCTCCTTTTTTCCTTTTAAATGTAACTGAATGAGGTAATATTAATAGTACTTTAAAGCATGGATTATCTCTCATTTGCCTACTTTCTTATTTATAGATGGTAAAATATATTTTGTCTTTCGAAAAGAACATCAATTCAAAGAATTATGAAATTCTGTCTTGTGAGAGTAGATCTTACATTTCATCTTTGGATGATTCTTCCAGTTCAACTCAACTGACTCCATTTTTATCAGTTCTATTTTTAAGTATAATACAGAATTTACTATAGCAACCTAAACCCAAGCAGTTTTCTCTCACTTTCTTTCTTGTTCTAAATCAAACCCATAGAGCCCTCTGTTGGAAGGATTTCAGATTGCATTGTATTGTTATTATGTGCTGCACAAAAAACGTTTGAATGCTAACTTTTCTTTATTTTAGAAGGCAAAGGACACCAGGTTACATGTGGCTTCCCAACACAGCAGAAAAAATTTCATGCCAAAATAATAAAATATATAAGCACATGATACCATGGATCCAGAAACTCCAATCCATGCATTAGTTCAGAGAATGATATTAAACTGGCAAATTTTATTGCACTGCATCCTTCAATCAGTAAAACACTGGATGCTGTTTTCACAGAATGGAATTCATACAGTCATCTTTTGCTTTAACCTGTAAGAGTGATCTAGAGACAAGAAATATACTCATTTGACAAGTAATCATTTAAATGGGTTCTAGGAGCTTTTAAAGTGTTAAAATATTTATATATTCATTTGCACCAACAATATTTTCTTGTATTTAAAAGCTAAGTCATCTAAAAAAGAAAGATTTCTGAACTTTTAAGAGTTATTTGCAAAAATTATGAAGCTGTTTTAACACATTTTTAATATCAAATTGAGAAGGAAGACTGTTGGCATACCAGGGAGCCACCTTTCTTGGACAGCTCCTTCTTCCCTTATGTTGCAAACATCCTTCTAGGTCTCCTGCAGTTTTCTTCAAAGTATCCAGACTCCTATTTGGTCTCACCAGTGGCAGGATTCTTAACACTTCCCACCATCCTTATGGCTGCCTACCCTAAGCTTCGGCTTCATCTCCTCAGAGAACCATCTTCACTGACCCCAACATAGCACTGCTTCCACAAACAAAAACATGATGTGTTTAACTTCATCTTTGATAAAAATCAGTGTTGTTCTACATGCTAATGGCCATTACTTGTATGCATAATATAGCTGAGTTCTTGGCTGGGTAAAGAAGCATCTTCGTTCACATTGAGTAAGTAGTGAAGAATACATTTTCTTCATGAATGTTCTCTCTCGGTTCATGTAGCAGATTGCCAGATTTGGAAAACTCTAAAAGATTACCCAACAATTTATAGACTTCTCCATCAGATGAAAATGCATATTTCAATCATATTTTTGGCAAGTTTTGATGGGTCATCCATCCAAAAAACAGGAAAAGAAAAAAGTATGTGCATGCCAGCTTCTCTTCTCCCAAAGATTCTTAGCTTATATGATATAGATTTTAAAAGTCAAACTAATTCACCTCCAAAAAGGCTTTTTGCTAGCCCCAGGCAAAGGGCATCAGGTCTATTTTTAAAAAGATACAGTTATCCCATATTATGTAAGAAGATATCAGAAAGTAGGCCTTAGAAACCTTCTCTACATGAAAGGAAATGCTGATCTTCTTCTAAGCCAAACTAAAGCTTTTCTTTAGTACTTATCCCAGCATACCTAGTCTTCAATAAACCTAGCTGAAAATTTATATAATGCATATTTTGAGGGACCGAAAGAGGAAACGTAAGCCGGGGAAACAAAACTTAGGCAGTGATGAAATAAGCAACAGCCCACAAGTCAAAATGAGAACAGAATTTGGGAATAAGTTCAAAAAACCAAAATCTTGCTACTTCTGCTTCTGTGCTTTCTTTTTGCCTTAGCTTTATGGAAATCTATACTGGAGTAAGTCTTGTGTTTATTTGCTACAGGGATTTATGTATATTATCTCATTCTGAAAAGGGAAGGAGAAAAGGTCACTGGATAACTGTCGAAGGAGGATTTGACTGGTGAATATGGGCAAAGCTAATCCAACGTGTTTGAGACAATGAACTAGGGGTAAAGAAGGTCAAAACAGTGAAAGACATTTTAACAGTAATTCCAAGATGAAACTATTGAATTTGGCACAACATTTGGAAAGAAAGTAATTTCCCTAAATTTGAATTCATTTTCATGATCCTTAAGTATTTTCTTCAGTAGCTGCAAGCTAAGGATTCTGGCTATACAGAGAATGGTACAATTCCAACCGAAGATCAATAGCTTCAACCCAAATGAACTCAAGTGGTTAGTACATAAACATATCTATCAGCTGATTCTGACCACTTAATCTCAAGTTCCTGGGCTCAGAGCACAAAGACTGCAAAAGGTGCATGACCTGGATGAGCAGATTTACCCCTGCTGTCCCCTTGGTGATGAGAGCAGCATAGCCCTGACCAGTATTCAGCATACGCAGGTTACTGGAGCAGTTCAACTTCCATCAGAATCTTGACAGACTTGGATGTCATTGGCGATCTAGGCCTTGCATTCTGAACTGGTGGACCTTCTAGATTAGTCCTCTAGAATGAGTCTCTGGATGTTCTGCATAGGGTGTTTTACTGATTGGGTTTCTTTGGTTGACTTTTAGCATAAGAATCAAATGGAGATAACTTTCTATAATCTTTGCACCTGAATGTCCTCATTTCATAAAACAATATCACCTTTAGGAGATTGAATGGTAAAAGAATGTCTCTTTGGTGTTACATATTTACGTTTATGTGTAAGAAAGCATCGCATGCTAGAAATAATTTGCCTCCCACCACTCCACACTCCTGATTCTAAAAAGTAAAGCATGCTTATCAACTAAAATGAGTCACCTGTGCTTCTAAAGAAGGTTGTTGCCAGGTATATGCACCTAGTGTTCTCATTAAAATGTTTTGAGAATAAGAGCTCAGCTGTCTGTAGTGTCAGAGCATCTGATATTAATTTCTACCTGTCTTTGCACCAAACGACAAATGTGAACACTTGGACCAGCTATATTATTAATAGAATTCTGCAAATATTCATTTTAACTTATTTTATTAATGGAAAAAGAAAAATATTTTCATACATTCCAGTATTTTCTAAAATTAATTTCAGAATTGTAATAATTGCCTAGTTCTCTTTCAGTGAAAATATTTAATAAAATCACTTGAGGAAATAATCAAAAGCATCAACAAGATGTATAATACTGTGAGTTTTCAACAGGCTGAATTTCAGCCAATTAGATGCAATTTGATAAATTTGATAAAATTAGATAAAAAGAGAGAAAAAACTCTTCTGAAAATTGTGTTAAAAACATAACCTTAGAGATTCCTTTATCTAGAAAAAAAGATTTTTTTATGCTGTTGAGAGAGTAAAAAGGCATTCAATATGAAAACCTAACTTTAATTGGCAACCAGATAAATCTCTAAAAATGAATAAAAGGCATGTCCCAGTGTTATCTAAGTTTGTTTAAGAACATTACTATTTAAACTTCTTCCTTATCTTTGTGAGCTCTAAATTAAAACAAAGCAACAATATTTCAGGAACCATGCCCCTCACTAAGATTCACTGATGGAAGAACTCTGCAAAGAGCTATAGGTGTTCCCCCTCCACTGGTGATAGATGATGGGTTCCTGATGCCAGCTCTTCATGGGTTATATTAATAGTCCTTGGTGCCTGGATTAATGTTCATTTGAAGCACAACCATGTAGGCACTAAGCTTTTATCCAGCATCCTTACATTCCATAATTCTCTAAGTCATGGAAAGAACAAATATATCTTTGTCTAGTAAGCTATCAGGAGAATTCTCTCTCTATATATGTGAGGCCAGGGGTTTAAATGAGGGTAGAATACACCAGAGCCAATCTTCCTGCCTCTAAACTCTCTCTCCCAGCCATTCTGGTATTTTGTCAAGTTGACTCAAGTTTATTCTTCAGTTTACTCCTCTCTTTAAAATTCTCGGTGACTCAAGGTCAAGGACATAATCCTTGACTTGGTATATAAGATCAGACAAAATGCCAGGTAAAGTGCAAGATGGCCAGATAAATTTGAATTTCAGATAAAAGACAATTTTATTTAGTGTAAGTGTGACCCATGCAGCATTTGGGAACATAGACTAAAATATTATTTGTTGTTCATCTGAAATTTACGTTTAACTGAGCATCTGAATTTTTAGTTGATAACTCTGACACAGACTCCCAGTCCCAACATCTCTTGTCAGCTTCCTCTCCCACTGTTGCAGAACAAACCCTCTGCTCTAGCCACAACTGCGGCCTCCAAGTTCCTCACACTCCTGCACTTTCGTGACTCCACAGTGTTATTTCAGTGTTCTTCTGTCCAGGAGGTCCTCCTTTCTTCGTTCTATTAAAACTCTACTCGGGAGGCCAAGGCGGGCAGATCACGAGATCAGGAGATCGAGACCATCCTGGCTAACATGGTGAAACCCCGTCTCTACTAAAAATACAAAAAATTAGCCGGGCATGGTGGCGGGCGCCTGTAGTCCCAGCTACTCGGGAGGCTGAGGCAGGAGAATGGCGTGAACCCAGGGGGCGGAGCTTGCAGTGAGCCGAGATCGTGCCACTGCACTCCAGCCTGGGCGACAGAGCGAGATTCTGTCTCAAAAAAAAAAAAAAAACAACAGCTCTGCTCATCTTGAAGATTGAATTCAAACTGCATCATTTCTATTTTTTTTTTAATCATTCCATAGTCAATTCCTATAACACATTGTTTTTCACATAAATACAATTGTTTCCTGCCTTCTGGCTTATCACCCATAGTTAGTCTTCAAATTTTGTTTAAATCCTGGAGTAGGTTTTACCTTTTCTCATACTTAGGTCTCACATCCCCATATAGTCTATAAGCCCCATGTGGTAGGGTTGCTATTTATCTTGTACGCTTGCAAACTGACCACAGAAAGCAGAGTATAGTTTCAGAAAGAGAAGCAGAGGCGAAAACTGATGTTAGGAAAGGCCTACAATATGCTGGAAGTTTTACATGGTATTTTTTTCATCCTTATAGCAAACTAACAATATCTTCACTTTACAGCTGAAGAAAACATAGCTCAGAAAAGTTAAGCAACTCACCTAAGATAACGGTAACAGAGGCAGAATTTGAACCCAGGTCTGACTTGAGTAAACACCATGCCACCCTCTCCATTAATGCCATTGTCAGCTATTGCTGCAGCAGTCACCATTAAGTTTTTAATGTTGGTGTGAAGTCTCAGGAAATGAAAAATCTAGGCCAGGCAGCTGAGGTCAAGTAGGCAACTAAGGAAGTTTGTAGGAAGCACGATTGCAGCTGGGGCATACTCTGCCACCTTGGGAAAAGCAAGAACAGCTGGGGCAGCAGAAGAGACAAACCCACTGCATGGGGTGAAGAAAATTAACTGGAGTAGGAATGGAGCTGACTCCACATTTCCTGATAACTGAATGTTTGCAAGCAAACAGCAGTATAGAGCCAGCCCAGGCAGAGAGGCTGGCCCCACGCTTTCCCTGTGGTCTGAGGCAATCAGGGTCTTGCTGCAGAACATGGTTGCTTGGAGAAAGGAGGAAAGGAGAAAAGCAGCAAGCAAAAGCTGAAAGTTGAATTCCCAGCAGAAGCTAGGCATTTATGTGCAGTAATTGCCGGTAGGTCAGCAGATTCTTAAACAGCATGAAGGCTCCCAAAAGGTCAGTGAACATTTTAAAAATTTCAGTGCACATTTGTGCACCACTGCATGCTTTGCTGTTTTCCAGCTCCAAGCTCCACAAGGAATAAATGTGGTTATTTTAAGGTCTGGAAGCCTCATCCTACCCTATGGAAAATACCATCTACTAGAGAAACACACTTTCTTTCACCTTTCTAGTCTTTTGGAAGACTTCTCTAGTGATAAATTTTATTTATGCCTCCCTACTGTTCAGAGACCTCTGCAGTCAGCAGGGGTGAGATAGCATAGAGGAGCTGGATTTTCTCCCTCTCACATTTGTGGGTTTATGGCATGAAGGCCTATTATTTTAACATATTCTGTGTAAAGTGTGAAACACTTGGAAGAGAAAACATTCCAGAGAACATTTCACCTGCCCATTTAATAGCATCAGTAGCTAAGACTAAAAGCAAACTGTGGTCGTCAGGATAAGCAATGATCCCCCCCAGTGCCAAAGATATTATAAACTCAGGATCAATAGAAATTACAAAGCAGTGTTGCTTTTATTTTTAGCTTTAACCTTCGAGAAAATCAAGGCTTCAGAATATTGAATTGGATCAGCACATCAGTGATTGCAGACACAGATACAATTAGGGAATCTGGATGCAGCCAAACAATTATAAATCTTCTTAGTAAAGTGCCTTGGTTTCCTCTCCACTGTGGATATTCCCACAAATAAAGCATCCCATTGTACAGAGCTTCTTTTGTTTTAATGTATATCAAAGTGCATTTCCAGCTCACGGTTACAGAATACTCTATTTTACATATAAAAAAATTAAAATCAAGCAGTTTATAAACCCTAGATGCTGATTGACATATTAGTTGTTTAGCCAAGGTGAGTGGCTAAAATGGAATTAAATGCATGAGATATTACTCATGTCACAAGATGTAAAATGTGTAAAATTTCAGCTAACTAAAATACCCTCTACAATCAACAAATGCTTGGTGCATTAGGGACCCCTGTTCAGCCATAAGGCTGCAATATCCCTTCTAAGGACCATTTGCTTTCTGAAGCACCTGCCATCTGTACTCTATGATCTTGAATCCTTTCCTTCTGAGGTTGCTTTTCTGCTTACTTGTCATTATTTCCAATAGCCCAAAAATTAAAACTTGAAGGATGGATATAGGATATTTTGGAGGCAGGACAAAAGTGAATAGCGTGATAGGAAGCCAAGCTCCTTGGATAAAGACCCAGCTTATTATCTATTTTAGAAGCAAGACAAATGCTTCAGACATTTCAAGGGCACACAGATATACTGAAATATGGAATCTTGCTAATAAATGAAAGCAGCTGAATGACCATGCTGGCTGGCAAGCAACCACCAGAGGTAAAGTGATTTTCTTTGAGCTAAATTGTGAGTCAGGTGCTCTTGCTCTCTGTCAGCTTACACACAGACACAGACACACACACACAGAGATGCACAATACACAGACACACACAAACACACAGACCACACAAATGTGCACTCTTGGAGTACGCACACTAAGATCAGATCAAATAATCTAAGTTAGAAGAAATTCATTCTTTTGCTTCTTATAAGTAAATATATGGTTGTGAATTATAAATATTATAAAACGTTACATCTGTGGGACTCAGGGGAAAGAAGGCCCACAGAAGACCATACTTACTTAATATGCCATCTTCATACGCATGAAGAGGTAAAAGTAGGGCCTTTAAGTGAAGATGAAAGGCAGCAGTATTGTTTATCCTACAGAAGAGCAGGTTAAGAGGTGATCTGATTACCAGTTTCAAGTACACAGAGGGCATTTTTATGAAGGTGATGGTGATTGGTTGCTCTCCATATTGGCAGAGGACCTGACAGGAAGAAATGAGCCTAAAGATAGAGTTCAGTTAAACATAAAGATAAATGTATTCAACTTCAAGTTGATAAAACACAAAAATGGCTGGCAGAGAGTGTGAAGAGTTCATTCCTGGAGCTCTTTAGAAGAAAATAAGTAGTTATTTTCCTGGTGTCTAAAATGAGATGCCTGCTTAAAAGAACCTGCCCAATGACCACTTACTTGTTTTAGGTTGATGGATAGAAAATGAGAATGGAATGTGGAAATGAAATGCTATGCAAATTATATTATAATGCCTCCAGTATTTATGATGTAGTTGGTACTCATTTACAAAACAATTCCTAGGAGTGTCAACACTGAACTCAATTTTGTTCCTTGCCCTATCAGCTGCATTTGACGCAGCTTATCACCCCTCCTACTTGAAATTTACCCTTCACTGGACTGCTGGGATGCCACTTCTGTGGTTCTCATTTTACTGCATAGGCACTCCTTTTCTATCACCTCAGCGTCTAAATGTTGACATACTCAGGCTCAGGCTCAGTCCTTAGACCTCTCCTCTTCTCTGGCTTTAATCACTTAATAGATGATTTCATCTAGTCTTGTAATTTCCAATTTCACATTTCACTTACATTTTGAAGATTCTGAAGTTTATATCTCCATCCCGGACTTCTTCCCTGAACAACAAACTCCTTTATCCAACTATCTATTCTATATGTCCTATTGGATCTCTAATAGAAAGAGGGATAATAAAATTAAGCTCCCAATTTTCTTCCACCCACATCACCAAAGTTGTCCCTGTCATCATCTTTGCCATATCTCTAAATGGCAACTCCCTTTTTCCAGTTGCTCAGGCCCAAGATTTTGGAGTCATTCTTAAAAACACTCTTGCTTCCCACTCCACATTCAATCCATAGCAAATTCTGTCAGTTTTACTCTCAAAATATATGCATAATTTAACCCTGTCCACTGCTACCACCCTGACTCCATCATTTCTTTCTTCCATTATTACAGTCTTCAATCATCTCTCCGCTTCCACCCTTGCCATCCTATGTAGTACAAGGTGATATTTTTAAAATATAATAGTTCAAGGTTGACATCAGAAAATGGTGGAATCATTTTCTACCATCATCTCCCCACAGTGCACTTACATTGATAGGCAGAAGTCCAGTGGAGAAGTACAAGCACACCATTGGAGCAAAAAATAACAAAACACACATATTGAAGTGGATAAGAAAAACAGTTTCATTTTACTCATTACCCCACCCCAAGGGGACATAGTTCAATGCCAAGAAAGACCCTCAAGTCCTTGGCCCACGAGTCCTTCCACAGAGGAAAGTGAGTGCAGTGAGTCCTGCCTTCCCCAGCCATGCAAGATGCTGCCAAAGAAGCCTACCTCTTTCTGGTCCTACCAATAGGACTAAGGGTGTTAACACAGCTGAATGGCTAGGAGAAGCTGAGAGCAGAAAACAGAGGCAAGGACTCACAGCAATTAGGTCTCAAAACTCAACAAAAGTCTGTGTATCCTACTAAATGCTTGACAGACTCAAGCAAGAGGACTCTCTGCAAGGGGCTTGAAATTCCTCACCTACAGACTCTCCTATCAACTGACACACAGGTGACTCCAATGCTTCATATATCTCCCCTTCCATCTCTCCTATATGACTAGCTCCCTTCATGTGCCCCCCAGATATCAAGTGTGAGCATTTGCAGGTGGCTCACAAGCACCTGTGGTCCTCAAGCTCAACTCCACAGAATTAGAAGGCACACAAACTTGAGCATGTCAGGTCACCCCCAACTCCATCCCACCAGGGAAAACAAACAGGAGACTGATCATCCAGCTAGGCCTTGTAGGATTGAGAGAATCTAAAGAGTTCTCCTCCAAGAGGAAACAAGAAGTGTGGAGTGGGTATATCCATAGAAAAGGTCTGAGAGGGCCTCGGAATCTCTAGTCTGGCTGACAGGTGAAGGTAGTTCTTTCCCCAAATCAGTCAGTGAAAATTGAAGGTTATTGCTTCTCCAAATCTAAAGACAGCAATGTAAGACTTCAAAAAACATTAAAAATCAAGGAAACATGTTTCCATGACACCACCAAAGGAAAACAATAATTTTCCAGTAACTGACCCAACAGAAATGGAGATCTATGAATTGCTTGACAGTGAATTCAAATTAATTGTTTTAAGGAAGTTCAGTGAGCTACAAGAGAACAAAAATAGACAATTCAACAAAATCAGAAAAATAATACATGAACAAAATTAGAAGTTAAACAAAGATAGAAATCATTTAAATAAAACAGAAATTCTGGAGCTGAAAAAAACGTAATGAAATGAAAAATGCAATAAGAAGTTTCAGATTTCATCAAGGAGAATGCAATCTATGAACTCAAAGATAGATTACTTGAAACTATTCAGTCAGAGGAGAAAAAATAATGATAAGGAATAAAGAAAGCTTACAGAATTTATAGGACATCATGGAGGTAAATACAATAAGCAGTATGGAGGTTCCAGGGAAGAATACAAAAAGAGAGGGACAGAAAGTTTAATTAAATAAAAAATGGCTTCAAACTTCCTAACCTTGGGAGATATATGGATATCCAAATATATGAGGCTGTAAGACTCCCAGACAGATTCAATGCAAAAAAAATTTTATTTAGACATAAAGTAATCAAATTGTTGAAAATCAAAGACAGATAATTTTGAAAGAAGCAGGAGAAAGACTTTTCACATAGAAAAGAAGCTTCATTAGACTATTAGCAGATTTGTCAGCAAAAACCTTGCAGGCCAAGAGAAGGTAGGATGGCATATTCAAACTGCTGAAAGAAAAATTTTCCAACTAAGAATAGTTTATTCAGCATAGCTGTTCTTCAGAAATGAAGGAAAGATAAAAATTTTCCAAGACAAACAAAAGCTGAGGAAGTTTGTCACCACTAGACTTGCCTTACAAGAAATTCAAGTTCTTCAAGCTAAAATGAAAAGATGCAAATTAGTAACATGAAAATACATGAAAGTATAAAATTCAGTGATATGGTATTTAGTCAAATTCAGAACATTTTAATACTGTAATAGTGGTATTTAAATCACTTTTAACTCATAAAGTTTAAAAGTATTGAAAATAACCATAACTAAATAAATTGTTAATGGATGCACATTTTAAAATGAATTATGACAGTAAAAACTAAAATGTGGAGTAGAGAAGAAGTAAAAACGTAATTTTTGTATGCAGTTGAAGTTAAGTTGCTATCAGTTTAAATTTGACTGCTATATATACAAGATGTTTTATGTAAGCCCCACAGTAACAACAAAGCAAAATCCTACAGTAGATACACCAAAGATAAAGAGAAAGGAATCAAAGCATTCCACTATAGAAAATAATCAAATCACAAAGGAAAATAGCAACAGGGGAAGAAGGGAACTATAAAACAGAAAACAATTAACAAAATGTAATAGTAAGTCATTATCTATCAATAATTACTTTAAATATAAATGAACTAAATTTTCCAATCAAGAGACAGAGAGTAGCTGAATGGATAGAAAACCAAGACCCAACTCTGTGCTTCCTATGAGAGACTTACTTTAGCTTTAAGGACACACACAGGCTGAAAGTGAAGGGATTGGAAAAGATATTCCATGCAAGTAGAAACCAGTTGAGAGCAGGGATAGTTATATTTCTATCAGAAAAAAATAGCCTTTAATTCCAAAGCTGTTAAGAGATAAAGAAGGTCATTATAAAGGGGTCAACTTATGAAGAGGATCTAACATTTGTAAATATATATGCCATCAACATTGAAACACCTAGTTATATAAAGGAGGTATTAAGATATCTGAAGGAAGAAATTAACAGCAAAACAATAATAGTAGGGGATTTCAACACCCTGCCTTCAACAATGGATAGGTAATTCCAAATAGAAAATCAATAGGAAAACATTGGGCTTAAACTACACTTTAGAGAAAATGGACCAAAAGACCTATACAGAATATTCCATCCATCAGCAGAAGAATACACATTTTTCTAAAGCACATAAGAAACATTCTCCAGAATACAATATGTTAGGCCACAAAATAAGTCTTAATAAACTTAAGAAGATTGAAATCATATCAAATATATTTTCTTACCACAATGATATGAAATTAGAAATCAGTAACAGGAAAAAAAATGAAAAACTAACATATATGTAGGAAGGAACATGTTCCTCTGCAACCAATGGGTCAAATAGTAAATCAAAGGCAAATTTAAAAATATCTTAAGACAAATGAAAATGGAAGCACAACATATCAAAACTCATGGCCAGGCACAGTGGCTCACACCTGTAATCCCAGCATTTTGGGAGGCCAAGGTGGGCGGATCACGAGGTCAGGAGATCAAGTCCATCCTGGCTAACACAGTGAAACCCCGTCTCTACTAAAAATACAAAAAAATTAGCCGTGAGTGGTGGCGGGCACCTATAGTCCCGGCTACTCGGGAGGCTGAGGCAGGAGAGTGGCGTGAACCTGGGAGGCTGAGCTTGCAGTGAGCCTATATCGCGCCACCGCACTCCAGCCTGGGCGACAGAGTGAGACTCCACCTCAGAAAAACAAACAAACAAACAAATAAACCAAAAACCTCGAAAGCATTTCTAAAAGGAAAGCTTATAGCAATAAATGAATACATGAAGAAAAAAAGACAAATATCAAATAAGCAATTTAAATTTATACCTCAAAGAAGTAGATAAAAAGAACAAGCTAGACCCAAAGTGAACAGACAGGAAATAACAAAGAACAGTGTAGAAATAAATAAAATAGCGATGAGAAAAACAATAGAAAAGCTCAATGAATCCAAGAGTTTGTGTCTTTGAAAAGGTAAGGAAAACTGACAAATCTCTAGCTAAAACTGAGTAAAAAGAGAGAAGACTCAAAAGATCAGACATGAAGGAAGAGGCATTACAACTGATGCCCAGAAATACAGAGAATCATAAGATACTAAGGACAATTATGTGCAAACAAATTGGACAACCTAGAAAAAAATGGATAAATTTCTAGAAACATATAACCTACCAGGACTGAATTATGAAGAAATAGGAAATCTGAGCAAATTAATAATAAGTAAGGAAATTGAATCAGTAATTAAATATCTGTCAATGAAGAAAAGCCCAGGGACAGATTGCTTTACTGTTGAATTCTACCAAATATTTAAAGAAGAATGAATATCAGTGATTTTCAAACTCTTCCCATGAATTTAAGAGGAGGGAATCTTTTCAAAATTACTTTAGGAAGTCACCAATACCTTGATACTAAAGCCAGAAAATCACACTAAAAGAAGATAAATTTATTGGCTAATATCCCTGTTGAACATAGATGCAAAAATCCTCAAAAACATACTAGCAAACCAAATTCAAGAGCACATTAAAAAAATCATATCCTATGAGCATGTTGGATATATTCCTGGGATGAAAGGATGGTTTAACATATGCAAATCCATAAATGTGATACACAATACTAATAGAATGAAAGACAAAAAACATATGCTCATCTCAATAGATACAGAAAAAGCATTTGACAAATTCATTATCTTTGATGATAAAAAAACTCTTAACATATTAGGTATAAAATAAGCATACTTCAACATAATAAAGGCCATATGTGACAAGCTCACAGCTAATATCATACTCAATGGTGAAAGATTGAAAGCTTTTCCTCTATGATCAGAAACAAAACAGGATGCCCACTCACCACTTCTATTCAACATAATACTGGATGTCCTGGTCAAAGCAAATAGGCAAGAAAAAAGAATAAAAGCCATCCACATAGAAAAGGAGGAAGCAACATTTTCTCTGTATGCAGACAGCACTATCTTACATACTGAAAACCCTAAAAACCCATCAAAAAACTATTTTTTTTTTTTGAGACGGAGTCTTGCTCTGTCACCCAGGCTAGAGTGCAGTGGCACAATCTCGGCTCACTGCAAGCTCTGCCTCCCGGGTTCATGCCATTCTCCTGCCTCAGCCTCCCGAGTTGCTGAGACTACAGGCACCCACCACCACGCCCGGCTAATTTTTTGTATTTTTAGTAGAGGCGGGGTTTCACCATGTTAGCCACGATGGTCTCCATCTCCTGACCTCGTGATCCGCCCACCTTGGCCTCCCAAAGTGCTGGGATTACAGGCATGAGCCACCACACCAGGCCCAAAGAACTATCATAACTACTAAACACATTCAGTAAAGTTGCAGGATTCAAAATCAACACACGAAAATCAGCTGTGTTTCTATATTTAATAAACACCCGAAACATATTATTCTTTATAAAGTTCCATTTACAACAGTGTCAGAAAGAATAAAGTAACAAAGAATAAATTTAACAAAGGAGGTGAAAAATCTGTACACTGAAAACTGTAAAACGTGGATGAAAGAATTTGAAGTAGACACAAATAAATGGAAAGATGTCCTATGTTTATGGACTGGAACAATTAATATTGTTAAAATGTCCATGCTACCCAAAGCAATTTACAGACTGAATGCAATCTCTGTTAAAATTTCAATGACATTTATTTACAGAAACAAAAAAAGTAATATTAAAAATTGTATGAAACCATAAAATTTACATGGAACCACAAGATCAAGAAGACAGCTAAAGCAATCTTGAGAAAGAACAATGCTACACTCACTCACTGCCAACAACCTGTCTCGTCGCAGGCATGCCTTGCAACCACTCCGCAGAAATGCTTTGATTACCCACAGTCTTTCACCAGATGAGATCAGTGTCCAGGTGTATTAGTCCGTTCTTGCATTGCTATAAAGAACTACCAGAGACTTAAACATGAGGCCTGAAACCATGTATTCCTAGAAGAAAACACAGGGAAAAAGCTCCTTAACATTGATCAGGGCAATGAGTTTTTGGTTGTGACACCAAAAGCACAGGAACAAAATCAAAAATAAACAAGTGGAACTACATTAAATTTAAATGTTTCTGCACAGCAAAGGAAATAATCAACAAAATGAAAAGACAACCTCCATAATGAGAGATTATTTGTAAACTATATATATATGTATGTAAACATATATATGTATGTAAACATATATATATGTATGTAAACATATATATATGTATGTAAACATATATATGTATGTAAACATATATATGTATGTAAACATATATATGTATGTAAACATATATATATGTATGTAAACATATATATATATGGTATAAAGGGCTTGATATCCAAAATATAGAAGAAACTCAATAACAGAAAAAAAACCACAAGCAAAGGACCTGAACATTTTCCCAATAAAGACATACAAATATACAGCAAGTATATGAAAAGGTGCTCAACATCAATAATCATCAGAGAAATGCAAATCCAAACCATAGTAAAATATCATTTTACACCTGTTAGGATGGATACCATCAAAAAAGTGAAAAGATAACAGTGTTGCAGAGGATGTGGAAAATGGGAACCCTTGTACACTGCTTGTAGAAATATAAATTGGTACAGCTATTATAAAAAGCAGTATGTAGCTTCCTCAAAAAATTAAAAACAGAATTATCATACGATCCAGCAATCCCACTTCTGGGTATATATCCAAAGGAAATGAAATCACTAGTTCATTAACTATGTGTGGTGATGGGTATATTAATTAATGTGTTTGTGATAATCGTTTCACAATGTGTGTATATACATAGAAGTATACATATATTATCATATTGTATACCTTGAATATATATAATATTTGTCAATTATAACTCAATAAAGCTGGAAAAAATTCAAAAAAAATTATGTCAAAGAGATAAATTCATTGCAGCATTATTCACAATAGCTAAGATATGGAAACAACCTAGGTGTCCATTGATGAATGAATGGATAAGAAAATGTAGTGTGTGTATATGTATACACACATATGCAATGTGATATTATTCAGCCTTAAAAAAGAAGGAAGTCCTGCCATTTTCTATAACATGGAAGAACCTGGAGGACCTTATGCTAAGTGAAATAAGCCAGACACAGAAAGACAAATACTGTATGACATCACTTATGTGGAATCTAAAAACGTTAAAATCAGTAACAGAATAGAATGTTGGTTACCAAAGGTTATGGGGCGGGGGGGTGGCGGGAATGAGGAGATGTTAGTCAAAGTATACAAACTTTCAGTTAAAAATAAGTTCTGGGGATCTAATGTACACCTTGGTAACAGTGTGGATTTCAAATATTATTAAAAGTATACAGTTAATTAGCATGATTGAGGTAATCTGTTCACAATGAATACTTACATAGCATTGTACACCTTAGATCTACACAATTTTCCTTTTTCAATCATACGTCAATAAAGCTGGAAAAAAAATTAATGCATTGGCTCATATTACCCTTCTGCTGAAATTTTTCACTGCCTTCCAACTCATTCAGAGAAAAGTCCAAGTCCTTATTTACTGTTATTTCTGGCAGCCCACAAAGACAGAAGTGATTGGGCCTCTCTAATCTTATATCCTGTTATTCTTCACCTCATTCACTGTCTACAGGCATGACAGCTTTGTTACTAATCCTTGTTTATGCCAAACATGCTCTTACCTCAGAGCCTTTGCATTTGCCTGGAAATTTCTTTTCTCAGATACATGCGTGGTTCGCTTCCTTCCTTCAAATCATTGCTCAGAAGACACTTTAGTAGTGAAACCCCTAACAAACCATAATAAAATGGTAATCCCCACCCATAATAAAATGGTAACCCCCATCCTAGACCTGTGCCAGGATTCTCCCTCTTTTTTGCCCTGCTCATTTATTCTCTATATCTGGGGTGACCATATAATTTATTATCCAAAGAGACATTTATGCAGTGAAAGGAGGCACTATTAATAATTACTATAGGTGACATAGAAACTGAGACTTTTCCAGGCAAACCAGGAATATGGTACATTGTACCTATCCATAGTACTTTTCACCTATCTCGCTATTTATTTACACATTGGTCTGTTTGTTCTTTGTCTCTCTTCAGTAGAACATAAACTCCAGGAAGTCAGGAACTTTTTGTTCATAATTTTATCTCCAATACCTAAAAGGCAACTGGCCAAAGTAGATGCTGAGTAATTTGTTGAGTGAATAGAAGGCTGAATGAATAAATATGTCCTGTACTTAACTGAGTCTATCTAAAATTATAGACAATAATAATAATACTATTAGCTAAAATTTGGGAATGCTTACTAAGTATGTGCCAGGCACTGTGGTGCCTACTTTATACATATTGTCATTTTAAACTGACAACTAGTCTCTTAGCCCCACATTACAGACTGAAAGATGACACTCGAAGAGATGAATGATCTGCCACGTTTACACAGTTAGAAAGTGCTAGAGTTGGTGTTCAAACTCAAGTCCCTTGGACTCTGGGACATTTTCAAAGGTCACACCCATGACTTATCTCAGTCTCTTTACTTGGAATCTGTCTCCAGCGAAGTTCCCCTCTGTCCTCAGAGGCATCTTTCTAAGACACACATACCTCCTTAACCTTTCATGCCTTCCCACTGCTTTCCAAAGAAAGCTCAGACTCTTCAGCCTGGCCATCAAAGGCCCTTGTGGTAGAGGGGCCTGACTCACCTTTCATACCTCTTCGGCTGCTACTCCACCTACAGTGCCCCACACTTGCCTCATCTCACCCAGGAGTCCTCGCAGCTGCAGTTCTTGATGTTCTCATTGTTCCTTGAACAGGGTTTGTTTTCAGCTTCATTCCTTTCTGGAAGCCCCTCCTTACGGCAGTTTCCTCCCTTCTTTCTTGTATCCATCAAAATCTGACCCTACTGGCACCATAATATTTCTCAAATCCCCCTAATGAAAGTCAGGTTCTCTCTCTCCCTAATCCTAGAATACTTAGCTTAACTCAGCGGTTGATTATATCATGCTTTATTAAAGCTATTTACATGTGATTACTAGAGAGTCAGGGAAGATAAAAGCCAAGCCTATTTCCTCACTGTATCCTTGCAGGACCTCACAGAGCACTTGGACCATAGGAGGAGCTAAAATAGTATTGATTTTGCTGCATGTGTTGTGCGTGGATTGTTTAAGAAGCAGTTGGAGATGCAGAACTGAAGCTCAAGATAGAAACTGTAAAACATTCATGTGCAAATGAAAAATACATGTATAAGTGAAGCAGAATTTTAAGAAAACAAGTAAGAAAAGCCTTAAGAAATGCCTCATTTAGAGGCTAAAAGGGTAAAAGTGTGAGTAATTCTGAAAAATAATTTGGTATTCATAATCCTATATAATATGTAAATATATACAAGATTACATAGAATTGAATGAATAAATTACACAATGATAGAAATTCCCTCCTTTTTTTCTAACATACCTGGGTCTGATTTCTTGGCCCTCATCATTTAATCTTCCCATAGAGTTAGATCTCAGAGCAGACCCCATGCAGCATCTGAATTCACATATAAGAAACATATACACTATTATATATAGCTTTATACCAGCTTAAGGGGAAAACTATGTGCTTGTTCAGTGAAATCATTCCTTTAAGCTATTATACAAATTTGCTTGGTTCACAAGCCTATTTTTGTGGACAAGGAGGCTAAATCTACAACAACTTAAAAATGAAAATTTAAATAAAATTTTTAAACTCAATTCCACACAAATTGTTTATAAATATTTATAAACATACAAATAAAATAATAGTGGTCACTGACACATATGTAGCATTATATATAGGTATGGGATAAGTTGCAAAAATTTTGCAAATGAATAGATTTTTATTTGCAACTTATCTGCAGATAAAACATGAGAATAATTTTTAAATTGCAAAAACCAGACTGCACAAATCTTCATTATACCAGGTCACTAGACAAAGTTTCCAAGGACAATAAACCACTTTCAGCCTGACTTACACCAATACCTAAACTATAAATTGCTGCACAGGCTATTATATCACTGAGTTAGTCTGTCCTCTTGCAAGGTTACTGTTTAAAAGTATTGTCCCACTGATCAAGCAAGGTTTAAAGTGGGAAATGTGTGTGTTAGAGCAGGTTGTTAAAAGGTATGTTCAGGTATGAGCAGCCTTCACGGCATTATCATCACAAGCGCAGCCCGTGCTTTTCTGGTGTTTCTGTGAAGACCTCATCGCCTGCCTTTTGTTCTATGCCTTGCTTTCATTAGGAAGCCTACAGCAGCATCTCCCAGGTGTGTTGCCTGTACAAAGGGCATTCATTCTACTAGTGCCCAGGCATTAAAGATAAAGGACACAAATTACAGTTGGAGCTGTGTTCATGGATAAATGAGGCAGGGCGACGGTGATTCTACTGTGCTTTCTGGGTAATCCTACCATTAATTCCTGAGTTGCTTGTACAGAAGTTCTAGCCAAGAGAAAAATAGATCATTGCATTTCTTTGCTTTGAGAGACAATGAGCAGCCCCGTGAATGTATGGCCTCATTCTGTATAGAGGAGAGCCTTTTACAATGCTGATTTCCCAAGTCAGTGCAGCAGTGATGCTATTTAAAAATATACCTATATGGTGGATATTATGCAGCAGGACAATCTACACTTTCCCCTACCCAGGAACATTCAACATAGTTTCCACCAAATAAAAGAGAGAGATCGATTAATAGCAAAAGCCAGCCTGTAGTGAATGCTTACAATGGCCCATCCCCTGTTCTGAGCACTTTGTGTTTATTAACCCATTTAACCCTAATTCTGCTATTATTATCTCCCATTTTACAGAAAAGGAAAACTGAGACAGCATGATTATGAAAATGACCCTGGGTTCCATAGTGAATGGCGGAGCTGAGATTCAGAATGCAGATAATCTAACACTACAGCCTACCTCCTTAGCAATTTTCCTCCCAAGATATTATGTCTCTTACTTAATATCATTTTCATTAAAAGTCTGTATGTTAATCTATAATCCTAGCTATTATTTTCTTTTTAATAAACCATTTACCACCCCCCTCCTTCTTAAAAGGCTATTTGAATTCTTACCTAGATCTGCAGTGAGGCAGACTGATACTTTTAAAATTTATTTAACTTGTAAAAAGGCTGAAGGACACAAAACTTATCAGCAGCCTTCCAGACTTCAGGACAAATGGGTAAAAGATGTAGAGGAAGAGGAGGAAAATTTGTAAAAGGTGCTAATATTTATGAAGTGGCTCAACAAAATTAGGTAAAGATGGTCAAGACCGTACTTGCTTTGTAAATCTGCCATTACCAGATTTACAAAGTGTCACAGACTGGGTGGCTTAAGCAACAAAAATGTGTTGTCTCTGGAGGTCCAAAGTCCACATTCACAGTGCCAGCAGGTCTGGCTCCTTCTGAAGGCTGTGAGGGAAGAATCCATTCCTGGCCTCTCTGCCTGGCTTGAAGGTAGCATCTTCTCCCCTGTCTTTGTTCCCATCATCTTCCCTCTGTGCACATCTCTGTGCCCACCTTTACTCTTTGTAAAAGAGCATCGGCCATATTGGATTAGGGCATATGCTAATGACTTCTTTTCTTCTTCTTCTTCTTCTTCATTTTACTACCCCTGTAAAGATTCTATCTCAAAATAAAGTCACTTTCCTAGGTACTGAAAGTTAGCCATCAACATATGAATTTGGGGGACACATTTAATAAAAAAGATCACAGAGCTACTAAGAGGTAAGCTGGGATTCTAATTCAAGTGTATGTGATGCCAGGAGATGTTCTGTGCATTATCATACTGTCTTGCACTTAAAGATCTATAAGAAATTTCCAACACCAATTACTGAGACTGATAATAATCCACATGAGGCTCCAAACTGGTAAAAACTTCCAAAAGATTTTCTTTCTAAATGTAGACATCTATTATTTCTGTCTCTCCATCATCCCTTTCCTCCCATTAGAAATAGGGGCTTGTTCCCTTCCACTGGGACACTGCCCTTCCCCCACTATGCATTCTGGAGGGCTGCAAGCCTCAGTGCCTCCCCCAAACCCCAGACACATCATCTTTTAATGAACGCCTCTTTCCTTTGGGTCTGAGGGTTGTAAAAATGTTGACTCCTGATTCCCCAAAAGTAGTTTCCTCAGCACATGGAGAAACCTGAAATAAGCACCACACATAAAAACCGAGTAGAGGCCGGGTGCAGTGGCTCACGCCTGTAATCTCAGCACTTTGGGAGGCCAAGGCGGGCGGATCACGAGGTCAGGAGATCAAGACCATCCTGGCTAACACAGTGAAACCCCATCTCAACTAAAAATACAAAAAAATTAGCCGGGTGTGGTGGTGGGCGCCTGTAGTCTCAGCTACTCGGGAGGCAGGAGAATGGCATGAGCCCGGGAGGTGGAGCTGGCAGTGAGCCCAGATCACGCCTCTGCACTCCAGCCTGGGCAACAGAGCAAGACTCTGTCTCAAAATAAACAAGAAAACAAACAAACAAAAAAACAAACAAACAACAACAAAAAAAAACGAGTAGAGAGACGGAGATGGGCAAACAGGCAGAACAGAACAACAGACAGAGAGACTAAAGGGCTCTGGTTTTATCTACTCTGAGGCTAAAGCTACCCTGACTTTGCAAGAATTGGTTATATGAGTCAATAAATGATTCCTTTCTCTCTCTTTTTTTTTTTTCTCAAATGAGTTCGAGGAATGCTTTACTCACTTGCTATCAATATTGGTTGGAAATGAATAAATCCTGTATCTTACTTTTAAATATGTAATTGCACCACATAATTTATAATGTATGAGGTACCATGATATGAAGAATCATTTCAGAAGTAGAATTCATACAGTCCGATTTCAGAAACTAGTTTAAGTGTTTAGAAAGGCCATAAACTCTGTTTTCCATTTGCACCATAATCATTTTGACTCATAATTTCACACAGTAACCCCTGGGGCAAACCATCAAGATGGTTAATTCATCTCAAGATGAAAAAGCGAAAATTAATAAAAGTAAATATGTGGCTTACTATCAAACTGCTGTTACTAATGGAGACTTTTTTTCATCTCATCATTACAAATCATTTTTTAGACCAGAGATGCAAACTGTTCTAGATAACATTTTAAATAAAACTATATTGCTTTCTCTGAAATAAAAAATTCAGACCACGTTGCCAAATACAATAAAACAACTGTTCATTAAATAAACATCTTTATTACCTAGTCATATTTTTCTGCATTAATCTTAAGCTTATTTACCAGACTCATGCTTTAAAAATTAGTCTTATAATCCATATCTTAGCAAATAAAATTAGTAATATTTTCTACAGGAATAGCATCCTCCTCAAAAATGAAAAGAAAACCAATGGCTAGGAAACACCAACTTTAAAAAGTTCAGATTTCTGAGAATAAATTTTGTATCTCCAATATAGGAATACTTTACAGTATTTGATGTGTCACAGATCTTCTCTCAGGTGTATTCCTCTTGCCTATGTCATATAAATAAAAATTTAATACATTTAATTAATAATACATGCATACTATCTGCAAAATGTTGTTAGAATGTTTCACCTGTTTTGAAGCAGTTTATGTTCTAATGATTGCGAGAATACCATATATAGGCCAAAGATCATTTGAACTTGATTTTTTGTATTTCTAGAATGGTGTATACTGTCAGTGTTCAATAAATATTTATTCAGTGGCTACATTCATACAATAGATCATCTTTAATAGAAACATATACTGAAGTTCTACAGAATAAATAATTCTAGTATATTATATATACAGACGCTCCTTGACTTACTATCAGGTTATATCCTGAAAAACCCATCCTAAATTGAAAATATTATAATTCAAAACTTTATTTAATATAGTGAATGTACAAAACATCATAGTTTAGCCTAGCCTACATTAAGCATGATCAGAGCACCTACAGTAGCCTACAGTTGGGCAAAATCATCTGGCAATACAGTACAGACTGTGGAGTACTGGCCATTTACCCTCATGGTTGCATGGCTGGCTGGGAGCTGCCCAGTATCATGAGATAGTATCATACCATATATTGCTACCCAGGAAAGTATCAAAACTCAAAATTCGAAGTATAGTTTCTACTGAACGCATATAATCTTGCACCATTGTAAAGACCAAAAAAATTGTAATTTGAACCATTATAAGTCGAGGGTTATCTGTACATAAATGAAGATATAGATACAGACAAATGCTGTAGACATGAACATGGACACAAACATGCATGTAGACATAAGCATGGGTATAGAGATGCATGTAAAATGTAGATGCGGATACAGAGACAGAGAAACATTGATATATATGTTAAATGTACTAGGTATTTCTAGTTTTCTGCCTGAAATAAACATCTGTTATTTGTCTCTTCAGTGTCTCTTTCCACCCACTGGAAATAGCACTTCATACACATTCCAATGGGCTGCAAATCACAGCACCTCTTTCCACAGCAGAGGAATAGTAGACTTATAACTTCTCAGCCATGGTCTTTCTCTTGTGTCTGAGGGTTGAAAAGATGTATCCCTAGATGTCACAAAGGTAATGTCATTACCACATGGAGAATTCAGGGGTTTTGCACAATACACAGAAGCCAAGTCGAAAGACTAAAAGATAGATGGACACGCATAAATATGATGGTAACCCCAGCTCCATTACATTTATTGGTTACATCTCCCAGACTGTAGCCAAAAAATAGGGAAGACAAGAGAGAGGTGGCATTTGCAATTACCAAAAAAGGCACTTGAGTCTTATATGAGAGAAGAGATGTTTTTCCCAAAACCTAAATTCAAGAGTCTTTTGTGAAGAATAAAGGGTGTTAAACATTGAAATGGGAGACCATCGAATTTTTTTCCCAGAAAGTCTTTAAATAAAAATAGGCCAGGCGTGGTGGCTCAAGCCTGTAATCCCAGCACTTTGGGAGGCCAAAGTGGGTGGATCACCTGAGGTCAGGATTTCAAGACCAGCCAGGCCAACATGGTAAAACCCTGTCTCTACTAAAAATACAAAAATTATCTGGGCATAGTGGCAGGTGCCTGAAATCCCAGCTACTCAGGAGACTGAGGCAGGAGAATTGCTTGAACCCAAGAGTCAGAGGTTGCAGTGAGCCGAGATCACGCCATTGCACTCCAGTGTGGATGACAAGAGTGAAATTCTGTCTCAAAAAAAAAAAAAAAAAACAAAAAAAAAAATGAAAACAAAAAATAAAAAAGAAAAGAAAGATAGTCTTTAAAAAAAAATAAGTTCTCTTCTGCACAGGTGATTTATGTCTCAATTTTTTCAAGATCTATTTTTCTCTATTAGACATTAGATAAAATAGGGAACAAGGTGTAAAAATAGGACTTAAAACTGTAAGGATAGGATAGCTGGGGCAAGGCCAGATATGCAGAGGACCTACACACATTTTTTCCTTCGGTGTTCTCTCTATGAGATTCCACATTCACACCTATCACACATTTTTGCTATTTCTCCTGAAGAACAATGAGATACAGGTGCAACTAATTTAAAAATAAATGAATGACCATGTGAATATTCTACCTTGCAAAACATGGAAGCACAATTGATTTTTTAACAAAAAAAAATTAGCAATTGATATCAGCTAGATCTAGACAGAAAGGAGAAAAGAACTTAGATAATTCACATAGACCCTCTGGAATAACCCAAATATTCAAGTAATTTAGAAAGAACTCTCATCTGTGGAAAACCCCCAGATATTCTCTGAAAATAACACACTTATTGAGAGTGTGAGCCTTCATTGTATGATTTCAAGGAAATTCAATAAAATGCTGGTGCTTGTGTCAAATGGAGCCAAATAGAGAAATAATTGCTCAGAGCTCAATTATTTTATGCAAGCTCATTCTCATCCCCAACTCTTTAATGCTCAGTAAATTGTCCAAGTGTGCAATCAGAAGACAATTTAATTTTACCAATAATTGCTGTGGTTTGCTATAACTTTAAAAAGTTAAGACACATTAAAGGAACCTAGGGATATATATCTTTAAAATGTTTAAGTACAATATGAGTTATAATTTTCAGTGCTTAGTGTTAGTATTTTAAAAAATAATGTCTCTAGTGGCTGCACAGTTCTTCAAGGGAGCCACTTACTAAGTCCCTCTTCTGCCACTCTATTGATTCATTTCCAACACACTAGAGAAGAGGTCTTCAATCTGATTCAGTTGACTTTCAGGGGCAATCATCCCTAAACAAACTCCCAACTTCAAACACAAAAATTACCAGAAAGAATAGACTTAGTCTCACAAAGACACCAAAAGTATAGCATGTGTAAAATATTCACTTATTCCAAGAACCAATAACATTATTTTCACATCACAAAGAAGTGCACTATCGAAAATAAAGAAATTCTTAGAATCAAGAATATTATTTAGGACACAATTTTAAGAACCTTCCCTATATATGAGAAACACACAAATACCCTTCAAATTATAAAGACCATATAAAAATACCATTTTTAATGTTACCATATATTTTATAGGCTGATTTAAGAACAATGGTCATACTACTGTTGTTCAAATAAATATTCATCTGAAATATTTCAGATGAATGGTTCCAGTCACACTACTATTTTTCAGATAAATATATTTTGCTTATTTTTTATCTCACTATATTTTAAGATGAAAATACGTAGAAGCAGTAAATAAAACTAACTCATTAGATTTTAAAAGGTAGTACAAAATATTCCCACTGAAGAATCAAAGGCAGAACTAAAATCCCTAAGGTAATTGTCATAAAAATTATTTCACTATGTTAATAAGCTTTCTTCCTAAACAATTTTTAAATCGCCTTCTAAAACAGATGGCATCAGAATCATTTTCAAATGTCCACTAAATTTTAACAATTCTATTAAGAATTTAAGAAAGCTGAATGTTCTTAGGTAACTATTAGGATTTGAAGGAAGGTTTATCTTTACTTTCAGGTGAAACAGAGACATATTGCAGCTGAAAATATGGACATCAAATGTTGATGCCAGGAATAAACAGGTAACTCCTCCCTTGAAACTCCCTCACTGTCCCTCTGTGGCAGGGGTCAGAAGTGACGCTACCATTCATGTGGACAGCAGGGCTGGATCTGATCAGAAACAGTCCTTTCTGACCATTAGGTGAAGTCCATGCTGAAAATAAAATAGCAGAGCAATGAGATAGACGGCGAATCCACCTACTGGCCTCGAACCTCCCAGAACATACATATTTAGCCAGCCCACCTCTCCCAGGAGAGCAACCGACAGCACCTACCACTTCTGAAATCACCACACCAGATCCCCAGACTTCACAAAAATAAGCCCCAGGGTGAGTTCCCAGCCACCCATGAATCTATCTCCAAAACTTCCACAAGGACAAATCGATTCACGACACAACTCTGAACACCCACCTATGAAAGTCTCATTCAGTCAAGTCTATCTCCTTATATTAAGTTCAAATAATGGTATAAAATATAGCATAACAGGGCTCAAACAAAAGTCTTTTACTATCTCAGACAAACAAAGTCCAGTGATGGGCAGTTCGAGGCCAGTAGGTGGATTTGCCTTTTATCGTATTATTCTGCTATTTATTTTCAGCATTGACTTCACCTAATGGTCAGAAAGGGCTGGTTCAGATCCGACCCAGCCCTGATGTCCACATCCTAGTCAGAAAGAAAGAAGAAAAGTTTTAAAAAGTTTTGGCCCTTAATAACAAAAACACTTTATGCAAGTCATGTGACATTTCTGCTTACATCTTACCGGCCAAACTACAGTCATTTGGTCGCACCTACAAAAGAGTTTTGGAAATGTAGTTTGTTTTTTTGTTTGGTTGGTTGGTTGTTTTTTTTTTTTGTTTTTTTTGTTTTTTTGTTTTTTTTGAGACAGAGTCTCACTGTCTCCCAGGCTGGAGTGCAGTGGCGCAATCTCGGCTCACTGCAAGCTCCGCCTCCCGGGTTCATGCCATTCTCCTGCCTCAGCCTCCCGAGTAGCTGGGACTACAGGCGCCTGCCACCACCCCCGGCTAATTTTTTGTATTTTTAGTAGAGACGGGGCTTCACCGTGTTAGCCAGGATAGTGTCGATCTGACCTCGTGATCCGCCTGCCTCAGCCTCCCAAAGTGTGGATATGTAGTTTTTATTGAAGGTAGCCAATTAAAAATCGGGAATTGAATGGATAAATTTTTTAAAATAACTAATATTGAGGGAAATTTAGCAGTTTCTCACACTGTCGTCTCCTAAAACCCTTTGGAATTTAAAAAGTTAGATGGTGTTATCACACAATCAAATAACAAAAGCCAACTGAGAAAACATAAAGATAGAGAAAGATAATAAATACAACAACTTTAGGTTTCTCAATTGGACATCACACTACAGTATAACATTGTCTTTAAATCAGACCAGGGGCAGTGGCTCCCGCCTGTAATCCTAGCACTTTGGGAGGCTGAGGCATGAGGACTGCTTGAGCCCAGGAGTTTAAGACCAGCCTGGGCAACATAGGGAGACTCTGTCACTAAAAATAATAAAAACTAACTGAGCATGGCGGTGCATGCCTGTAGTCCCAGAAACTTGGGAGGCTGAGGTGGAAGGATCACTTGACCATGGGAGGTCAAGGGTACAATAAGCCATAATCATGCCACCACACTCCGGCCTGGGTGACAGAGCAAGACCACGTTCCCCCACTAAAAAATTGTCTTCAAATAAACACAAAACCTGTAAAAATCTATTATGATACTTTATAAAACAAAGAATTCTTCATGAGTAAAACTCCACTAGGTTTTTGTGAGTAGAATGGATTTCTAAAAATTGTATATCTAAAAAATTGTAGATTATACACTGTTAGAAAAGACCCAACCAGAATTAGTCTTATAATTGAAAATAAGAAATGGTTATAGTTTGTTTTTTGAATAAGTAAATTTGATTTTATTGATTTGGAGATCAACTTAAGATCTGAGACAGTTAATGACATTGTGTTTAAGGAGCCATTTTTTTTTTTTCATTCCAACCTTACAGTTTGGCTTTCATTAAAAAAAAAAAAAAAGACTGTTTAGAAGTCAATCACTTGAGCAAAAATTTGTATAGCATATGATGCGAGACAGAACACAATGTTGATGGCTTATCAGAAAATTATTATAATTTTGCCTACTCAGGTATGTTCTCAGATTCACAGTGGAAAAGACTGAGACCAAAATAACCAAAATAAACATAAGCTAAAATAAATACATATTAAAATATCAATCTGGTTGAGATGTTAATACCATCTAAAGTCAGAAGCTTTCAAGATAAAATTTTCACTGAACATATTCTAACTTTACTTACTTCTGGTAGATATCTTCCTAAGATATAACTTCTACTATCCTCCCATCTGTGCCTCTAATCCTCAGTCTAACAAACAAATACTCTTAGAAATAATAGTAAAAGAACTCATGGAGGGATATATCTGGAAACTTTGATCAAACAAATGACTTTCTATGTGTGCATGACCATTTTCAATTTCTACACTTTACAGAATTCAAAGAAGCATTAGGAATCCAAACTCAAGTCAGACTGGAGTCACAGTAGGTCAAGATACTGCAAAACAACACACTCAAAATAGATAACAGGCAAGAATCAGGAGCCACAATGACCACTCTTCGAGCCCTTGAGAGTAAAAGAAGGAGTGGAGGGATTTTAGTGTTGATATCAGTCCTTCAAGCACTAGGATAACTGTGTTGAGAGGACTTTAATTTTTGAGCAATTTATTTTGTTTCAACATTCCTATTAATCAAAGAACACTTCTGGGTGACTGCTGCTAAAGTTAACTCAGTCACTCATTTATTCCTCCAACCAATACCTAAAAAGCATCCATAATTCTAGCCCCCATGAAAACAACGTGAAGGAAACACACCATCCTTGTCCCTGTGGAAATCATAGTTTATGTGTGTGTGTGTCTGTGTGTGTATGCACATGTATGCACAATCATGCAAATTAGAGAGTAAATTGATATGCATATTGCATATAATATATAAAGAAAATTATAGGAGCTATATCTCCATTAAAAGGGCACTTACTCCAGATTTGGTAATGGTGGTAGTGGGATGGGAGAAAAGGAGCAGCAAAGACTTCACAAAACAAGTGATATCTCATCTGAGACCAGAAAGGCAAATAGGAATAACTGATAAAAAAGAGAAGGAAATAGTGTTTCAGCTTGAGTGAAGAGACAGAATTTGGAATAAATGTATGGTCTAGTTTTTCAACTGATCAATAGGACGATTTTCCTCAGCTACCGATAGCTGAACAACGAAGGCATCATCTTCATTCACTCAATGGATATTTTCTGAACCGCTCCCCCCACCCTGCCACCCACTATGCTGGGATCTGTTCTGGGCAGTGGAGGAGCAGAGGAAGGAAGAGGAGTTGGGATCCAAGAGGTTGAAGGGTCAAATTATACCTGGAAACAAGGTAAGGACTTGCAGCCTCAAAACATATTCTGTCTCTAAAATGTTTTTGTTGACCTTGAAAGTCCTTAGACTTTAAGTCTTAAACATTAAACATTTATTTAAGGATGAAAGTATTTTGTACTATTCATTAGAGTCACCAGGTCATATCAACATCCCATGCCTCAAGAAGCAGGCTACTGTATTTGTTGAATATGGACTTGGGAGCCAGATTGCCTTGGTCCAAACCTTCACTCTGCTATTGATCAGTTTTGTAAGAGAAACCAAGGTACTTAACCTCTCTGGAATTCAGCTTTCCCATCTATAAAATGAGAGGAATAATAATCATTTCTACCTCATGCAGTGGTTTGGGAATTAAATGAGTTAATATGTGTAAAGCACTTTAGAACAGTGTCTGCTACATTGTCAGCAGTCAGTAAGGGTTGCATATTATTACAGCAAAAATCTCAGGATAATCATACTGGAGTTCAATTCACTCTATGTTACTCTGAATAATAGCATTCTGTCAGTCTTGGTGCTTTTATATAACCTTAGACAAGTCACTTAAACATCATTAGCCCAAGTTTCCTCCTCTGCAAAGTGGGGGCAATAATACCAGCCTCATAAGATTGTCTTGAAGGTTAAATGAAATAGCAGATTGAAGGGCTCGTAGGCTGCAAATTGCTATGCAATTGTTGCTTGTTGTTATTATCTTGCTCTTTTTAACCCTCGTACCCAAATTGGTAAGTGCTTCTCTCCTTAGGAGGAAGACAAAAACGAACACATGCACATGACTTTGACATCATGTTTCCTGCTCTCCAGATAGTATTTAATGGATAAAAATGAATGCATCCTAATTGAGACTGGAAACTAACTTGACATCAAGCTGTACATTCAAAAGAATATAGATCTTCAATGAGGAAGAATACCTGAAGTAACATCTCTTCAGCTTCTGCTTTTGGCAAATACTGCATTCTGTCCTATATGTATTGACATCTGTGTTGTTTTTTTCTTCAAGCAGCATTTGGACAACTGAGAAATCTATATACCAGTAGCTCCTTTGCTAGGGGCTTCCTGTGAGCCCCACTTTGGACCCCGTCTGAGTGCCTTCCATATGCTGTTGTGCCACAAAGCAACTCCTCTTGCCTTTTCTTTTATAACTCATTCCAAAGAGGTACAATTGAAGAAGAGAGGGTTGGCCTGATGGGCCTGGGAATTGACTAAGATTCATTTCACTGCCTCTTATATTCTTTGAACATCAACTTCGTGTCTGGCATCATATTAGGCTCTACTAGATTACAAAAATGAAACTGATAAGACCCCAAGCCCCAAAGGACTTACAGACTCTGGTGGGAAAAATGGACAAAAACACAAATTATACAAGTCATGATGTGAAATCAGTGCTAAAAATAAAAGTGTAAATGAGGAAGTATGGAGGCTCAGAGATAGTAGTAATTTAATGTGACTGGATGGGTGAGGACAAGGCATTAAAACATGTTTCTGGCTTCACAGAAGAGATGACATCTCAGGGGAGACTTGAAGAATGAGTAGATTTCTCAAGTGTAGAAGGCAACAGGGAAGAATGCCAGGTCTAGGAACAAGATAAATAGTGGCACAGAAACGTGGAGGGGCAGCTTGGTGTTCCTAAAACAGGGAGGAGAACAAGGGGATTGAGACATGGGATCTGTGATGGGGGACATGAAGAAGGAAGAAAATTACAGCTAGGAAATAAGTCAGGCCCAAAACATCAAAACCTGTATAGAAAGTCATAATAAGAAGGTGGGATATTAATTTCTGGGTAAATTTTGGACCAGTTGAGTGGATGACACAAACACAGTTCTGCATTTTAAAAGGAGAATTCTTCTATTCTGGACAAGAAGGACCATGGATTCATTCTCTTCTAGAGAAGAGTCAGCAACAGCAAATAGGATGCTGTGAGCTTAGTAGATTGTCAGATACCTGCAAGCAGGGTGTGCCCAGATGCTGCAGCACAGACACTGCAGGATGAAGGATCTGGTGCAAAACACAAAAATCATAATGCTCACTTTCAAGGGACAGTGCTATTACCCAGAAAACTGCTGGCATAAAGACACTTGATCATTTGATTACACACTACTGTTATTTGCTTTCTCTGGTATACGTGTATATGTGTGTGCTCATAGTCATATTTATAAAGGAGGGCTGTGGTTGCATTTAAGTATTTCATTCCTTTCATTTGGGTGAAGTATTTGTATAAAATGAAAACAATTAATTTCAAATGCCTCATTCCCCAAGGAGGAGGCCAGCTTCCTCCAATCAGACCCAAGGGAGTAGCTGGCTTCATCACTGCATTTAATAGTTTATATTGTGCTTTCCCCGCCCATCGCCACCCCCAAGAAGCTCTGAATTTGCCTGTGATTTCCTGCTATCTATTCCCCAGGATTTCTTCCCAAAGGAACACACAGAAAGTGGGGCAGGATGATAGGCAAGAAGCAGACTGCTGAACTGGCTCATTCCACAGCTGTCTATTTTTTTTTTTTTTTTTTTTTGAGTAGTTTAGACAAGGGAAAAAAGAAGGCAGCTACAAACTAAATACAGTTTTTTGTAATCCTCTGTCAGACTCTCTTCAAAAGCAGGCAAAAACTAAGGTCCCAGTATTTCAATTGAGCCCCAGTTAGAAAGGCAGATGCTGCATGATCAATGGTGTTTTAAGGATTCTGTTTCGAATTTAGAGCATCAGTATGAAGGTTATTTCTCCCAATAATCAATGTCCTTTTCAAGTTTATCCTATTCATTTTTAAGATTTGGAGAGTAGTAATTACTGTAATGCCTGCTTTCCATACTAGGAAACCATGTCCCTAGAAGATGGAGCCAGTTGGTGGAAGAACGATAATTGGTAATGGGTATTTCTTACATGATTCCTTTCCATTTTGTCTTAAATAATGCACAGATCCAGAGAAATAAGAAATCTGCCTGGTCTTAATCCACTACAAGATGAACAAATATTTATTGAGCAGCTACTATTAGGAATTCAGGAAGAAACAAGCCAGTATTTTTAAAAGCCGCTGTATTTCAGGAACTTGTATTCTAGATCAAGAAAGAAAACATAAATTTAGGAAAACACAAGAGCTACGTAACAATGTGTGCAGATAAAAACGCCTCTAGGGCCTTCTTTCAGGTTTTCCTAATCACTCACGTGGATTATTTTAGAAGCCTCCCTAGTGGTCTCTGGGCTATCAATATGCCTGCACACTGATACAGAGAGATCTTCCCATAAAGCAAAGCTGGCTATGTTTCTTCCATGTTTTACAATACCTACTGTTTCTCCACTTACTGAAGTTCCGAGGCCAGACTGCTAAGCTTTCTGAGAATGTGCTTCATGGTCTGACTTGAGTTTATGTCCATAGCTTCATTCCTATATTAGTTTCTGTTGTTGCTGCAACTTGTTACCACAAACTTAGTGTCTTAAAACAACACAAATTTATCATCTTGTCATTTGTTCTGGAGGTCAGAGTCTGAAATGGGTCTCACCGGGATGAAATCAAGGTGTCAGAAGGGCTGAGTTCTTTTCTGCAGGCTCTTGTTTCTTTGAGAATTTGTTTCTTTGCCTTTTTCAGCTTCCAAAAGCTGCTGCATTCCTTGGCACATGGCCCCCTTCTCCATCTTCAAAGTCAGTAACTAAAGTAGAATCTTTCTCGCACCAAATTATTCTGATGTTGATGCTTCTGCCTCTCTCTTCCACAGTCAAGGCCCCTGGGTATTACATCGGATTCATCTGGCAAGTCCAGAGTGCTCTCTGCATCTCAAGGCTAGCTGATTAGCAGCCTTCCTTACATCTGCTATCTTCATTCTCCCTCATCACGTAACATAAGCATACTCACAGTTGTGAGGGATTAGAACATAGACATATTTGGTGGCCCTTATCCGGCCTACCACCACCTCCCACTGTTTTCCCTGGTGCCTGCACATTTTTGCCAGTGAATAGACCTTTCTGTTGACACAGCAGATTTTTACATCTCTGTGATTTTTTAGGATACTCCCTCTATCCGAAATGCATTTCCTTCTTTCCTTGCCAAACAACCTCATAGTTCCCCTTCAGCAATAATTCTACAGTGAAAATTCCTCCACAATTTTCCCAGACAAAGCCCTCTTTGAACTATAATTCAAATAATTCGGTTCTCTTGTGGCACAAGTACTGAGTGCCATAAGAGAAGCTAAGAAGGAGACAGTCTGGAATGGAGGGTTGAGGGAATGCCCTTCTGATGAAGTGACATCTGTCCTGAGACCTAAAGGAGTTAGCCAGGCAAAGGAAACGCAGCAAGTGTAGCAGCCAGAGGCACAGAGGCTAATGCAATTGACAAACCATGAGGAGGCCAAGAGGAGAGGTGGACCTGGCCAGAGAGTGGCTGAGAGATGAGAAACACAGTTAGACATGCAGGTTGGGGCTGGACCACTTCAAGGACTTTGCACTTTGTTCCATCATTGATGAGATGTCATTTTCATGGGACAAATTTAATCCTATTGGGGTTCCTAAAAATTCACTCTGGATAGCGTATGAACAATGAATCAGAAGCATTCAAAAAAGGGAGAAGAAATACTAAGCAAGAATTATCTGGAGGAAGGGAATGGGCACAGGATTGAAGCAAGAGACAGAGATATATGAGTGTTTTTTTCTGGGCCATGTTAAGTACTTGTTTGAAATGGTATTGATACAATTGAAGGAAAAGCTGTCTGTCCAGCTGATAATTTTCACCAGCAACAATCAACTGCTCAGATGTAGCCACAGGGGAGACAGATCATTGAATTTATCCTGGTTTGGGGTTTTGCCAAGAAATATTGTGGAAGAAAAACATGGTGGATAAAAACAGGGGCAAAGCAATTGAGGGCCCTTGCAAGGAAGTGATTCTAATTCCACTGAATCTCTACTGGAAAAGAGGCAAGTGGAGTCAGGAGAAAATGGAAAGAAAAATAGATGGTAGAAAGCTATGGATTGATGCTGCTAGGATATGTTTCAACCAGTGAAGCAAAAGGAAACTGGTGGAAGAAAATGGGCCATTTTGTTTTGTTATTTTAAAGGTAGTGTAGTTCTGATTATGGCAAGATCCAGAAGGTGACCATGAAGAAAGATGGCTGAGATTGAATGTAGAGAAGAATCACTAAGGATAAGCAGTCAAGGAACTGAGAGGTCAGTGTGTGGGAGAGTTCATCTCTGTGGCTGTTTGTGTAACCCAGAACTCATAATAAATGGAGATTTGGTTACCAGGAGATTAACCGACCCTACAATGAGGAGAGACAGATGGTCTTACCAGAGAGTATAAAGTTAAAAAGAGTAGGATGGAGTCATATGTTTTTATAAGATGGATGTCCTAGTCCATTTTGTGCTGCTACAACAAAAATTTAAGAAGAACAAGTATTTATTTATTATCACTCTGGAGGCTGGGAAGTCCAAGGCTGAGAGGCCAGCATCTGGTGAAGGCCTTCCTAATGCATCATCCCATGGTGAAAGGCAAAAAGTCAAGAGAGGGCAAGAAGGAGAGGGGAAAAAAAGGTTCCCGTATGAATTTGTCCTTTTAAAGCGAATCCACTCTCAAGATAATGGTACTCATCCATTTGTGAGGGCAGAGCCCTCATGGTGCAGCCACCTCTTATTCGGCCTTACCTCTCTGTTGCATCAGAGATTATATTTCCAACACATGAGGTTTGGGGATACCTTCAAACCATAGCAGTGGAGCATAAATAATGAGCTCATTTTGGCAGTGGGAATAGAGGAGGACACTGACTTCAAATCCTGACCTTGAGTTATTATTTTATGAGAAAATAAGAAGTGAACCCCTAAGAAGAAAGCCATGTACTTTTGAAACAGCTGGTTGCCAACTAAGGATTTAGGAGGAAGAGACAACATTCGGAGAAGAGTTTGAGAATATAGCAAATGCTGCATAGTATGGAGCAGGAATTTCTGAAGGAAGATGGTAATATTTAGGGATAAGAAGAGAGAGAGGATTGGATCAGAAGTATGGAGTAAGAAGAGGCTAAGTTTGAATAATAAGGCTTATCTATTTATATACTTGTCTTTACCACTAGATAGTGAGTGTCATTGACCAAGAATTTTGTCTTATTTCTTTCTAAATTTTAGAATAATACTTGACATATTAAGTTCTCCATAGATGTATGATTTTCAAATGACAATTACAGAGTACAGATGCTCTTCAACTTATGGTGGGGTTACATCTGGATAAATCCATCATAAGTTGAGATAGTCAAGACACAACCTTGTTGTAAGGCAAGAAACATACAGACTATCACTTTCCCACCATCATAAAGTCAAAAAATTTTAGGATGAGCCATCATAAATCAGGAAATATCTGTATTAATTGTATAGTATTCAGAGGAAGTAATCCCTATGGCTTAGAAAGGCTATGGAAGTAGTGGAGATGTGCTGCATGGTTTTGAGCAATATTACAACTAAATTAAACAATATGAGAAAAGCTTTTGAGTGAAGAGTATCTGGAACCAAATTAAAAAAAAACAGTTATATGGTCATTTAGATCTGATTTAAGAAGCGAAGTTATTCAAGGCTTAAGCTGAAATTTCCACATATTTGATGAAAGGGGAGAAAAACACTTAGCAAATGCAAAATCTAAAATCATTTGAAATAGTATCTTCTTCCTTGGAGACTGGGTTAGAAAGACCTGTGGATTTATTACCTTTCCTAACCTGGAAAGGCTGGATACAGTCCCCTCAGTTTATTTCATCATCACTCCTAAGAACATCAGAAGGTTTGCCTAGAAGTGGGTTTTCTTCACCACCAATGAAGTTTAGGATAGCCTCTGTGGGGCTATAGACTTCTCTGCTCCCTAAGATCCTAACATGACATTTTGCTCATGACAATTCATAGTGACTCACTGGTTTCAGGGGTAGGTCACATAAAAGATAAAAAAGAAAATGTCACTTGTTAGAATAATACCAAGAGAGGAGTGCCAACAGATAATTTGGCAAAGTGTTAAATGTCACAGGGATATTACAAAGGGAACTGGCATCAATACTGTGACCTGCAGTTATATAGACTCTGTGAAATGACTCCTCCCTGTGCCCACACAACCCTATGGGTCAGTCAGAGCCTACAAAGGCAGACATCAATGTGTCTGCCCTCAAGGTGTTTTCGATCTATTGTGGGAGAGAACATGAACACAAATAATAATGACAAGCTCTTAAATAGCGAAGTATAGGAAATGGGTGATTTACTATTGTGGAAAAAAAAAGACTAAACCCACAATCAAAGGACCTAGGTGATGGCCTTGCTCTTTGAACTTGGTCTTAACCAATACACACTTGGCATTTCATCTTCAAAATTAAGTGGCTGCATGGAATGATTTCTAAGTTCCCAAGTTCTATTACTTTGAATGTATATTAATAAAGAAAACAATATTTCTTAGGAATATTTAGAGAAGCAGAGGTATCAGAGCTACATTGAGCTAGTGGAAGACATATATTCAGGAAAGTCCTTAAGAAATGTATTTGAAGAGTAGGAGCTGATCAGAGGGAGCATCAGAGGGGTTCATACGAGAGGTTATGCATAAACAAAGACTATAAGCCCCAGAAAACTTGTGCGCAGAAAAAGTAGATAGATTTGTATCTAAACAATCTGTGCAACCTGAAAAAGAGTGGAAGAGGATTCATATGGAAAAAAGAATAGACTGCATTGTAACTAATTCTGGAGATGTTTATTTAGAGTTTAAGTTGATTTCAGAAGCAATTGGGAGCCACTGTTCATTTTTGAGAAAGGAAGTGACTTAATGTGAAAAACTACCGAGGATGAGAGACGCAGGAACCAGTTGGAGAATCCCTGAAGCAGGACAGAGGCTCTTTCTTGCATCTGGCCTTGAGTGTCTCTCTCACCTCCTTCACTAAGGCAAACTTCCTGAGGGAGTAAACCACAATGGGAGAAAGTGACTGTGCCCAAGGTCACAGACTGGGATTCTAGCTTCCTGCCACCTGGACTGCTGCTCTTTTCCAGTAAACCCTGCCCCCTGCCACTTTCCTCACTGAGCCTTCCCCCCCGCCCCTTTGTTTCCACATCTCCAAGAATAGAATGTGTCTAAATTTCATGGGTGCTGCATCCTAAGTGATCCAAATAAAGGGTTTGAAAACGCATGCATATCACAGCTGAAAAGTGTGGTGTATCTCCGGAAATAATAGAAGGAGAAAGGCAAGAAAGGTCCTATCTTCTCTCTTTCCCCCTGGAGCCTAACAGAAAACTAACAGGAAGTTGGGGGAGGAGGGAGGGTGAAGCCTGCAGTTGTCTTGCCGTGCTCAATTAGTATTCTAGCCACACACTGTCCCATCAGGGGAAAATGCTTCTCGCACACACGTGTTCAGGATATCAGTGTGATGGATCTGAGCGAGAGCCTCTCCAAACACAGTGACCATCTGCTAGGCAAAACATAGGGATCTGACAAGCAGAAGCCATTCAGGCCCGTTGTTGGGCCACATTATTACATATTTGACAAGGGTAATGAGGGGCTGTCATTAACCTTACATGACAGTTGCTACAATGACACACTAAAGCAAGGACAAAGAGCCGAACTCAGTAAAAAGGCACCTACTTCCCATTTAACCCTGGAATTATGTGACGCCATTATTCCTGACGGAGGCTGGCAGGCCTGGGGTTAATTTCCATTTCTGTGTCTGCTTGTTCTCTTTTTAAAATGTACCCCTCATATGGCTAAGGAAACTGTTGGGAAGGCACTGCATTATTTATCACAACACACTGCGATAGATGCAAGAACAGAAAGGGTCTCCCGGAGAAATGAACAAACACAGATTTCACAAGCTCTAGCGATGGCCTGAAATGAGGCATCTGAACTCTGTCTATGATATTTAAGGCAACCATTACCCAAGTAGAATGTTTCTTGGAATTTTCCACTGGATTTTTATCAGATTTCAAGGAATAGGGATGTTTTGGAATGAGTGTATAGTTACTATGACTTTTTCAGGCCCTGGGCAAACCTAGGGAAGAAAAAGTTAATAGTTTTGACAATGAAACCTTTAGTTTTGGAATCTAATTTTGTGTATCAAATTATTAGAAAGATCCTAAAGAGCATCTCGTGCTTTCACTTTATTTTACAGAAGGGACATCCACATCACGAGAGGGTCAGACACTCGCACACCCACCAGCCCATAGAGCTACATAGGTGATGGCCGACGGCCCTCAGGACTGTTTAATGTCCCATAACCCTGTGTTCTCCCAGCTTCCTCTGATCATGCAACTTTTGTATCAAAAGAAAATGGTCTTTTATTTCCCATCTAATCATTTAAATCTGGCGCTCCTCTGAAAAATATGCCTATACAAGTGTAGTCTGTAATGCTATTGTTCATGGTAGTTTTGCTTCCTAATTTTGAAAGCTGGTTTTGCATAATCTGGCCACTCAAAGTGTTTGTCCTCAGTACATTCTGCCTATCTGACATCATAGAGCAACAAAAAATGATGACAGCCAATCAAGATGCTTTGTTTTACATGAAGACACTGTAATCAAGATGGCCCAAGCCATTAAGAAGAAAACACTTTAGTAGAAAATAAAAAGATCTGTTTTGGGTAAAAGCTCTTGCAGCCCACACTGATTTGTACTTGGGTACCACCTGTCTAAATAACACCAGGCTATGACAGTGTCACAATATCAGAGTCTTTCATTATCAAGAGAGTCCAGATATCTAGTCATTTTGATCTAGAGTTTGATCTCTCGCTTCTGTCATATGTTCAAAGTAGAAAGATTGATGACTTAGTTTTTATGCAAGGTGCCTTTTATCTGGCTCACACCTGAGGCAATGCAATTGGGTCTGTAGCTGTGACTGGGGGTCTAGAGCCTTGTTCTGTCACTCAGATGGCATGAGATGAATGCCAAATTTCTCTTGGTTTCCTCAACTGGAGTGATAGGATTGGAGCTAATACTGCCAAAGGTCACGAGCTTGGTTTTGGCCAATGACTTCCAAGTTCACAGCAGAGAAAAGGGTTTTGCTGATTTTCCAGAAGGTACCATCACCTCTTTCTGAATATAATTAGCTCAGCATATAAATGAGTATAGATGATCTGGGACCTAGGAACAAAAGAAAATGGGGAAGCCAAAAAGTAAGGGTGCCCCACACCCCTGAGATTCATGTGCCTCTCACATAAGAAGATACATGAACCAGGGAGTTAATAAGCAGGTGGAGTCAGTCAAACAAATGGAGAGTGGGAGTGGGCAGTTGCAGAAGTGGAACATTCTGGCAGCGATAGGCCTGGGGCAGAGGCCAGAAGAGGAAATCACTGTAGAGGGCATTTCTGTGTAGAGTAATGTCATACTCCTCTTATCTGCTGTGTAGGGCCCAATAAACCCGCTAGTGAATGTATGGAAATTTTAATATAAAAAAATACAAAGATCTTAGAAAACCCAAACTTTCTGTTTTTCTATATACCAAAGTTAGTAACAGCAGAGCATCATATCTTCATCAAAAATTACCAGTTAAAAGTAGAAAAATGTTTGTGAAAAAAGGCAAGAAAAGGGAAAAATCCATAATAAGCCTGTCTACATCAAGGGAAGAAAATACTCAGATTTGACCTTGAAAGTTTGTTGCTATGCTAATACCTCCTTCAGCTAAATTGGTGGCTGCATTCCTGGTAAGAACTTTAGCTCAGTTAATTATTATGGTTACTGATTTATCATAATTTCCTTTTGTGGAATTGTGACAGAAGGCTTGCACACAACTGCAATTTAAAAATCAAAAGGCAATCATTTTAAAACACTATGAATTTAAAATCAGAACACGATTTAAAATCTAAGATGTACTGGTTACAGTTAAAAGTGTTAATTTTTACTACAGAGAACAATTGCTTTCACTCTCAATTAGTAATTCCGTACAGTCAAAACAAAAAAGTGGCAGGTTTAGAATGGGCTAGGATAAAATCTCATCTAGAAAACCAATCCAGCTGAGCCTAACTTTTAATCTCCTATACAGGTGTTTAAGAGTCTTCAATTTAATGTTTTCCTGAACTAAACTGCCAATTTAAAATTATTACCCGACAGCCCATAAAACAGAGTAACAGTTTTCTATGTAAAATATTTATAAAGAAAAATTATACCTTAGGACAATATTATAATGAAGTTTAGCTAGTACACTTAAATATGTATACATATATACTACACAATTAGACTCACATATTCCAATTATATGTGTTGCCTACTGTATATAAACAATTCATGCATTAAATATATCTTCACTATATTCCATATGTTAAATGGGACAAACGTTATTCTCATACTTTGCAAGTGTCAAATAAAAACAAATCTGGACTTAGGTAAGGAAAGAATTTATTCCAAAGTCTGTTGCGATAGGGAGAATGCTTCAACCACAGTATCTGTAAGTTTCTCCAAAGTCAATCAGTAAGAGAGGAACAAACAAGGGTAGCAAGAATTGAGTGTAGGGAAGTGGGTGAACAGGTAGAATGATTAGAGTGTTGACCATGAAACATCCTTCTCTGTGGTCAATTGTCAGGAGGGTCCTGAAAGAGGGGCCATTCCACATTCCAATGTTCATTTAGATTCAAGGGTAGGTCAAGGGCCAGGGGCCTGTGCAGAGAGAAACCTGACTAAAGTTTGGTCAAATAAAGTTGTTGTTTATCTTGTCCAGATTGGTCAATGGAGATAAACACTTCAGCTAATTACTTTTAAGACAAAGAATGGGAATTTGGACAGGCTGTGTCTAGCCTTGTCATAGGTAAACAAGGGTGTTTTTTTTATCTTATCCAAGTCATATGGAGAAGGGTGGGCCTCTGCAGTAACCCTAGGAACACAAAAGGATGGAGCGATTTTCTTTTTTCTTTTTCATTTTTATCTGTGGTAAAATACACACAAAATTTATCACTTTAACCCCTTGTATGTGCACAGTTCAGTAATATTAAGTATATTTGGTGGGAGATTATTATGCAACCAATCCCTAGAACTCTTTTCCCTTTGCAAATCTGAAACTCTGTACCGATTAGCCAATAACTCCCCATTCTCCCTCCCCACAGACCTTGGTAAGCACTATTCTATTCTATTTTCTTTCTTTATGAATTTGACTACTTTAGGTACCTCAATTAAGTGAAATCATACAGTTTTGGCATTTCATAAATAACTTATTTCACTTCACATAATATCTTCAAGGTTCATGCATCTTGTAGTGTCACAGAATCCTTGGGGCATCACTTCAACAGCTGGAAACCTCTGTGGCCAGTGGCACCTTCTGTGTGAGTATTGCTTGCACCCACTGGGCTTGTTTCACCCACTCAGCCCGGCAGGATGAGCTCAGCTCATGCTACCAGCCTGGATCCCACACCTGCCAAAGGTGAGCCAGGTGCAGAGCAGCAAGAGGTGTGTGGGTGAGTGAGTGCAGGGTCCAGCCACTGCACACATCCAAGCATACTGGTTGCTGTGGTGGGGCAGGCAGCTCCAGGCGCTGGAACAGGTGCCAGCTCTGTGCAAGGTTGCAGCTGAACCAGATGTACTGAATGTGGTTCCTGCTGCAGGCACCCACATCTGGACAAGAAGAACGCAGTGGCATCTGGAACTGCAGAGCATCAAGGAGGGTATCACAGCCCTGGCTTGAGGGGCCCCTAGGTCTGGGCTCCCCAAAGGGCCACAGCTCTTCTTTCCTTCTCATCACCCACAATGTGGCAAGTGAGGGAGCATGTTTTAGCCCTGTTTGTGTTACAGCTCTTTTAGTCCCGCCATTCTGAAGGTCCCAAGTTCTTGTCCCCCATCCAGGAAGAATGAGGTAAATGGATGACTGGAGGGTGAGCAAAAATGACTTATGGTAACCTGGAATTCTATTTTATATCAAATGTGTTAAACCTTTAACATATTTGATAGGCTTCCCAAAATCAAGTTGCAGCTTCAAAATTATCTTTTCTGACCCATAACTTTGAGATGAGACAGAAGGCCCTTGGAGCATCCAAAAGAGAGATAAACAGGATTATTTGACATGTTCAGTTACATGGAATTGTCAAAATAAAAATAAGATTTAATCTTCTTCAGGTTATATTTTAGTGAATAATATCAACATATGTTCCAAAATTGTATGGGATTTCTAAAATTCAAATGTCTAAATACATACTATCAATCATAATTAGGATTATTATGTTAAGTTATTGTAAACCACAGAAATAACCAAATTTCCCTGTCAGTCATGTTTTTGACTGTGACTACCCTATGACATTTTGTCATTAACAGACAATCATTGTCTTGTTTTGATCCTATTCAAAAGATAGTGTACAATCAGCTATAAGACTTTGACAGGTGCTCATTAGTTGTTTTTAAGGATTTGTCTGCATTTTAGACAAACTCTGCTTATTCCTGTGAACCAACCAGTGACCTCTGACTTCAGCTCAGAAGAAACAAAAGGGATAGGTAATATAAAAATTTGGAAAATTATCCTGCAAATCCTGCCAGGCAATGAGGGTAAATAGGGTGGCCATAACCCGGAGGTTCCTTTCTTTGGGAGAATAAGGCCAAGGAATTATGTGCCCCCCTGAACAGTTATTTCTTTTTTAAAATTTAACTACCCTCATACAAGATTTAATTTATTTCACCATTGTGAAATAATTTAGTCACAACATTGTTTTCAGAATGATTAGTTTATTTTAATTCTTATCTCTGTTGTATTTGGAACTAGATTTTTTTCCTTCACATACTTAACCTTCTTGTAAAATATGTTTCTTGTCACCAAGAGGCCATCAAACTCCAAGCAGTCATGCAACTGGAGCCTCGGATGATGGTTCCCTTTGTACAAGGGACCCTTAGATAAGCCTCTGAGAGAGAGAGCTAACAGTCATTTTCCCCAAAACAATGTACCCTGTGTGCATGAAGAGGTTAAGAGTGGTCATCGTCCCTGTACTAATGGTAGTTAGATATACCTCTTTAGAGCGGGGATTGATGGCAGTGGTGGCCTGTCTAGAGTGGCCACTGCCAAGACAGACCACCACTGCCATCTATGGAACATGCAGCCAGCCGGAGCTGGGAACAGTCAGGAGCCCTGTCCCCTTCTGAGCTGGTTGGATGGGAACCCCACCCTCCTGGATGCAGCTGCAGCTGCCCAGCCGCAGCTGCAAACCCAGGCATCCCTGTGCTCTTGAGGGCCCAGGAATACCCCTGCCCCCACAGGCTCAGAAATGCCTGCTCCCTCTGCCTGGCCTCTCCCCACTCCTGGAATCTGCTCCGATTTCGGAGCAAAGTTGAAGCTAAGCCTGGGTGCTATTGTTACCCGGCCAGGTGTGCACACACTCAGGGCCACACTGACGTGCCAGCCTCACACCACCTTGGCTCTCTCAGGACCTTGGGCACCAAGAGCATGAATGGGAGGCCAAGGGGGTGCTGACGGCAGCTCAGCAGGGGCCTGCAAGGACCCCTTGGCACAAACATCCTGGGCATTATGGGCACCATGGACTGCAGGCTGATGATGGCAGGAGGCAGACAGGCTCCTGGGTGAGAACAGACAGGTCCTCAGCGAAGCCCCATCTTCAAGCCAGAGACAGCCTGAAGCCTGGAGGCTGTGCTGTCAGTTCCATGGACAGGAGTGAGAACTTATGGTGCTTTTTCTGTGCCTGCCCATGGCCACCCATGGACCAATCAGCAGGCACTTCCTCCCCTCTGAAGCCCATAAAAACCCTGGACTCAGCCACATTCCAGCAGATGACAGGCAACCTGCCTGTGGATAGGAATTATCCACTCCAGATCTCTTTGCTGCTGAGAGCTACACAGACATGGGATGACCTGCCTGTAGAAATGAGTTACTCATATTGGGTCTCCTGAGAGCTGTTCTGTCACTCAGTGAAGCCCCTCTTTGCCTTGCTCACCCTCCAGTTGTCTATGTACCTCATTCTTCCTGGATGTGGGACAAGAACTTGGGACCTGCCAAATGATGGGACTGAAACAGCTATAACACAAACAGAGCTGAAACATGCCACCACCCCTCCCTGCTCACCACATTGCAGCAACAAGAAGGAGAGAAGAGCTGCGGCCCTTTGGGGAGTCCATACCTGGGGGCTCTCTGAGCCAGGGCTGTAGGCTATGACACCCTCTTTAGGGGCTCTGCAGTTCCTGGGATCTCCAAACTTCTGCTGCTACCACATTCCCCTCATCCAGATGTGGGTGCCCACAGCAGAAGCCACATGCAGTACATCTGGTCCAGTTGCAGTCTTGCACGGAGCCAGCACCTGGAGCCACCCACCCTGCCACAGTAGACAGCATGCCTGCCTGTGCATAGTGCCCAGACTCCATGCTAGCTCACCCACACACTCCTTACCACTCCATGCCTGGCTTGCCCTTGGCAGAGATGTGTGATCTGGGCCAGTAGCACAAGCTGAGCACAGCCTGTGGGTAGAGTGTGTGGAACGAGCCCAGAGGGAGTGAGCAATACTCAGGGAGAAGGCACCACCAGCCACAGAGTTTCTAGCTGGTGAAGCAACACCTCAAGGATCCCATGTCACCTGATTTGAAGGTGGGGCTTCACCGGGGACCTGCCCCTTTCTGCCCAGTAGCCTGTCTGCCTCCTGCCACCATCTATCATGTCATCCATGGCACCCAGGCTGTTCCTGCTGAGGAATAGGCCTGTGCTGAGCCACCCTTAACTCACCCTTACCCTATCTCCTGTGCTTATCAGTGTCCGAAGTCCAGAGGGGGCTGAGGCAGCAGGGGGCTAGCATGTCAGCACTGCCCCAAGTGTGCGCACACCTGGCTGGGTTGTGACAGTACCCAGGCTCTGCCTCAACTTTCCTCCGAAGTCAGAGTGGGTGCTGGGAGCAGGGAGAAGCCAGGCAGTGGGAGCAGGCACTTCCAAGTCCATGGGGGCAGAAGGGCTTTCTAGTCCTCTGAGACTGCAAGGATGCCTGGGTCCACAGACATGGCTGGACGGCTGCATCTGTGGCTGAGAAGGTGGGGTTCCCGCCCTGCCAACTTGGAAGGGGGTGGGGATCCCACCTGTTCCCAGCTCCCACTGGCTCCATGGAGCACGCAGCCCTGGCCGCACCTCCCCCACTGCAGCCAGTGTCTTGACAGTGGCCTCTACAGATAGGCTGTTGATGCCATCAGTAGCATGTGTCAGAATTTCTTTTTAAGGCTACATAGTGTTTCATTGTATGTATATACCACATTTTATTTATCGCATCCATGAACACATCAATGAACACATCAGTTGCTTCCACATTTTGCCTATTGTGAATAATGCTGCTATGAACATGGATGCACAAATATTTCTTGGAAACCCTGCCTTCAATTCTTCTGGGTATATACTCAATTCTTTCGGAATTGCTGGATCATATGGTAATTCTATGTTTAATTTTTTGAGGAACCTCCAAAATCTTTTCCACAGTGGCTAGACCACCAGCAGTGCACAATGATTCTGTTAAAGGAAACCAGAGCCTGAAGGTAGTTAAAACCTTTTAAGGAACTATTACAATAGGGAAAAAGAGATCTCAGTATAGAGATAGGCTTGATTCAGAATATGGCATGGACAAGTAGGAGTTTCCAGCCAAGGAGCAGCATGAGGCTAAGTGGATGGAAAATTACTAAGAGGAAACATCAAGGGTAAAGGAGATTCCAGATAAACCAATTTGTCAGGATTCTTGCTAAAAGTAGGGCAGGGTATGTTTAGATATAATGTGAGGGATGGTGGGAAATGAAGAATTTAATCATGTATCAAAGGCGATCACATATTGAGGGTGATCAGGTACCAAGGAAGGGATTCTTGCTCAACCGACAGCAAGATTCTTGCTAAAACTGGATGATACAAAGATGAACACAGAAATCCAAAGTCTAGACCTATTTGAGAAGAAGATTCAGGGGAACCTGCTTAAAGTCTGGTCAAGGAAAGTTTCTTTATCAGTTTCACATTGTCGGCATGCTCACCAACACTGTATTACTTTCTGGATTTTTGATAGCAACCATACTAACAGATGTGAGGTGGCATCTCACTGTCATTTTGATTTTTATTTCCCAGGTGATTAATGATGTTGAGTCGTTTTTCAGGGGCTTGTTCCCATTTGTATATATTCTTAGGAGAAATGTCTACTCAAGTCTTTTGTCACTTTTTAATAAGGGTGTTTGTTTTTTTATTGTTGGGTTGTAGGAGTTCTTTACACATTCCAGTTATCAATCCCTTATTAGATATATTATTTGCAAATATTTTCTTTCATTCCATAGCTTGCCTCTTTACTCTGTTGATTGTGTCCTTTGATGTTTTTAATTTTCATATAGTCATATTTATCTATTTCTACTTTTGCTGCTTATGCTTTTAGTATCATAAGGGATAGGGGGATTTTTTAGCTGTCACTGTTTTCCAGGAGCACACGGCTCAAGCAAAGTTCAGCAATGTCAAGAAGAATGTGCATTCTTAACTGCTATTATCAATTATTATGAAAAAAGATGTATCAGAATATCTGCAACCCCTTACCATAATCCTAATATTCAAAGAGTAGGGTGACATGGTCCACTGCAGTCCAATGTGAAGAATCCAGGTGAGCATTTAGAATGGCTCTCCTGTTATCCAGGACAAGTCCCTACTGCAATCCAGGCAGAGGATGGCCTCTGGGAGGGGAAGGAGGAAATGAACTAATAGGGCTGGATCTTCTCCCTGCTGGGTCCTCCTGAGGGGAAGCGGCCTTTCTTTCTCAAATCTGTACTGTCCATGGGTGAATCATAGCTAAATCCTTCTTAAGGAAGCCTGTGCTTCCCAAGAGTCTTTGTCTTGCCCTCTGCTCCCCACCTCCCACCCCCAGACCCCACCCTCTTCTCTCCTACTTCCTAGGCTTGCAATTATTCCCTTCCACATGCCCCTGTCCTACCCACATGCATGGAGCTATGGGGTACTTTCTGTCCTTTCTACAAAGTGCAGGATTAACAAAGTAAAGCCACCCTAACGAACGGCCCAGGGGACAAGAAAGATAATCGACTCTTACACCCCAAAAATGACTCCCTCTGCCTCCATGTTCACTATTCCCTTCTATTACATGCTAAAAGTCTTTTGTTCCTTTCTGCTTTGGCTTTCATTACACAAAGCTTCCTTTAATTATTCAAGTTAGATCTGTGCTCAACCCTAGGAGAAAAAGAAATGCACGTGCCCAAGAAAAAGGTGATGAGGGAGGTGTGAGAATGAGATAGCCAAAGAGAGCTAGAAAGAAGGATGAACAAACATTCCATTAAAAATCCACTCAGGAGAAAGAAAACATGTGCTCAAGAACCAGGCAAATAGGAATCTAAGAGAGCACAGGATTTATAAGGCTTATCAACAAATCAGAAAAGTACTACGCACACTAGGAAGCCATGGAGCACCTGAAAACAGGAAGTCATGGGAGAGGCAAAGTGCAGGCAGAAAGCCAGGAGGTCACAGAAATTGGAAAGCAAAACAGATGATGCAGGGCATTGCCTACAGGCAAGAACAAAATGAGTAAACCAAAACAGAGGGTGCCAAATCATGGCCAGTTCATGTTTGAAGCAGAGACCCAAAGCAGCTCAGGGAAGTATTTCAGCCATTAAGTTGTTAGGGAACCCCACTGTCAAACAGATGCAAGAATCTAAGAACCTATAAAACTAAGAACAGTTTTAGGCTGGGCATGGTGGTTCATGTCTGTAATCCCAGCACTTTGGGAGGCCGAGGCAGGCGGATCATGAGGTCAGGAGATCGAGACCATCCTGGCTAACACAGTGAAAACCCCGTCTCTACTAAAAATACAAAAAAAAAAAAAATATTAGCCAGGCATGGTGGCAGGCACCTGTAGTCCCAGCTACTCAGGAGGCCAAGGCAGGAAAATGGCACAAACCCGGGAGGCGTAGCTTGCAGTGAGCCAAGATCGCACCACTGCACTCCATCCAGCCAGGGCTACAGAGCGAGACTCTGTCTCAAAAAAAAAAAAAAAAAAAAAAAAACTAAAACAAGTTTTATATAATACTGATCAAAATATTTAATTTTTATCTAAAAATTATAATAATACATAAATATGACTTTTCTGAAAAGCTAAGAAGTGCTGAAAATGCTATAGAAAGTAAATTATGTCCCCATCTCTAATCTACTTTCTCCTTCTGTAGATGCAGTTAGTGGTACTGGATTTGTAGGCATCTTTTCAGAAAAGCTTGAATGCACATATCAGTATTTAGATGAGGCATATGCTATGTATTATTTTGCATCTTATTTTGCTCACTTAATAATATTTCTTGGAGTTTTTTTCTTCATCAGCACATTTGAATCTACCTCATTCTGTTAACAGCCTTTGCTTTTCCTTCACTTTCCACCATGATTGTGAGGCTTCCCCAGCCATGTGGAACTGTGAGTCCATTAAACCTCTTTCTTTTATAAATTACCCAGCCTTGGGTATTTCTTCATAGCAGTGTGAAAATGGACTAATACCGTAAATTGGTAGCAGTAGAGTGGGGTAATGCTATAAGGATACCTGAAAATGTGGAAGCAACTTTGGAAGGGTAACAGGGAGAAGTTGGAACAGCTTGGAGGGCTCAGAAAAAGACAGGAAAGTGTGGAAAAGTTTGAAAATTGAAACTTCCTAGATACTTGTTGAATGGCTTTGACCAAAATACTAATAGTGATGTGAATAACGAAGTCCAGTCTGAGGTGGTCTCAGATGGAGACAAGGAACATTTTGGAAAGTGGAATAAAGGTGAGTCATGCTATGTTTTAGAAAAGAGACTAACAGCATTTTGCCCCTGCCCTAGAGATCTGTGGAACTTTGAACTTGAGAGAGATGATTTAGGATATCTCATAGAAGAAATTTCTAAGCAGCAAAGTGTTCAAGATGTGAATAGGGTGCTCTTAAAAGCATTCAGTTTTATGTATTCACAAATATATGGTATGGATTGGAACTTCTATGTAAAAGGGAAGCAGAGCATAAAAGTTTGGAAAATTTGCAGTCTGATGATGCAATACAAAACAAAAACCCATTTTATGAGGAGAAATTCAAGCTGGCTGCAGAAACTTGCATAAGTAATGAGGAGCCAAATGTTAATCACCAAGACAATGGGAAAATATCTCCAGGGCATGTGAGAGGTCTTCATGGCAGCCCCTCCCATCACAAATTAGGAGGCCTAGGAGGCAAAAAGGTATAATGGGCCAGGCCCAGGGCCTTGCTGCTTTGTGCAGTCTCAGGACTTGGTGCCCTGCATCCCAGCCATGACTAGAAAGGGCCAATGTACAGCTTGGGCCATTGCTTCAGAGGGTGCAAGCCCCAAGTCTTGGTAACTTACATGTGGTTTTAGGCCTGTGGTGCACAGAAGTCAAGAATTGAAGTTTGGGAACCTCCACCTAGATTTCAGAGGATATGTAGAAATGCCTAGATGCCCAGGAAGAAGTGCACTGCAGAGGCAGAGTCCTTATGGAGAACCTCTACTAAGATAGGGTAGAAGGGAAATGTGGGGTGGGAGCTCCACACAGAGTCCCCACTGGGGCACTGCCTAGTGGAGCTGTGAGAAGAGGGCCACTGTCCTCAAGGCCCCAGAATGGTAGACCCCCATACAGCTTGCACTGTATTCATGGAAAAACTGCAGACACTCAATACCTGCCCATGAAAGCAGCTGAAAGGGGGACTGTACCATGCAGAGCCACAGGGGCGGAGCTGCCCAAGACCATAGGAACCCACCTCTTGTATCAGCATGACCTGGATATGAGACATGGAGTCAAAAGAGATAATTTTGGAGCTTTAAGACTTGACTGCCCTGCTGGATTTCAGACTTGCATGGGTCCCTTAGCTCCTTCATTTTGGCCAATTTTTCCCATTTGGAATGGATGTATTTACCCAGTGTTTGTACTCCCATTGTATCTGCGAAGCAACTAAGTTTTTTTTTTTTTTTTTTAATTGTACAGGCTCATAGGCAGAAAGGATTTGCCTTGTCTCGGATGAGACTTTGTACTGTGGACTTTTGAGTTAATGCTAAAATGAATTAAGATTTTGGGGGACTGTTGAGAAGGCATGATGGGTTTTGAAATGTGAGGACATGAGATTTGGGAGGGGCCAGGGATGGAATTATATGATTTGGCAGTGTTCCCACCCAAATCTCATCTTGAATTGTAGCTCCCATAATACCCATGTGTCATGGGAGAGACCTGGTGGGAGGTAATTGAATCATGGGGGCAAGTTTTTCTCTTGCTGTTCTCATGATAGTGAATAATTCTCAAGAGGTCTCATGGTTTCATAAAGGGCAGTTTCCCTGCACACATTCTCTTGGCTTTTGCCATGTAAGGTGTGCCTTTATTCTTCTTTTACCTTCTACCATGATTGTGAGGCCTCCCCTGTCATGTGGAACTGTGAATTCATTAAACCTCTTTCCTTTATAAATTACCCAGTCTCAGGTATTTCTTCAAAGCAGTATAAAAATGGACTAATACACAGCTCCACAGTATTCCATTGTGACTATCTGATTTGGTTAACCAGACACATACTGATCAACATTTGCAGTATTTTCACTTCTTTGTTATTGTGAGGCTATTGCTAACTTCAGACACACTTTCTTAGGAACACATGAAAATATGTCTGTAGGGTAAATTATTAAAAATAAAATGTTCTTGTCAAAAATAGATGCATTTAAAATTCGGATAATACTAAATTGCCCTTGAAAACTATCATACCAATTTATTAATTTGCAGTTCTACCCAGTGTATGAGTGTGAATATTGCCCCACCCTTTGTCAACACAGTGTACATTTGTGATCCTCACAGATCTGATGTAAAAGGCATCTCCCAGATTTATTTTTATTCTAAGTGAGACAGAGCCAATGTATTTATCAAATATTCATACTACTCTCCATTAACTGTTTTTTGCACATTTTAAAATTAGGTTCCTTATTATCAATTTGAAGGAGTTGTTTACATTATTTTTAAAGTTAGGCTTAAAAGTACTGTGTCACAGATATCACAAGTATACTTCCCAGTCTGATTTGTTACAGTCTGTTCAAGAACTTTGTTTTTAACTTAGGAAATCATTATTCTATTATTTAAACTCATGGCTTTTGTGTTTTTAATATCAATTTTAGAAAGAAAAATCTCTTTCATTCCATTACTATAACAAATAGATTCCTCTATTTTCTTCTTTTATTTATTATTTATATCTTTAGAGACAGTATCTAGCTCTATCACCCAGGCTGGAGTGCACTGGTGCAATCAAAGCTCACTGCAGCCTCAAACTCCTCAGCTCAAGTGATCCTACCACCTCATCTTCCCAATAGCTGGAACTAGAATCATAAGCCACCATGTCCAGCTAATTTTTTTTAATGTAGAGACAGAGTCTTGCTATGTTGCCCAGGCTGGTCTTGAACTCCTGCCCTCAAACAATCCTCCCACCTCAGCATCCCAAAGTGCTGCGATTACAGGTGTAAACCACTGCACACAGCCCCATTTTCTTCTAATATTTTTACAGAATTGTATTCAGGAAAGCAGGGTGAAAAACAGTTTTAATTTTAACATTTAAATTGTTGACAAGTCTGGAATTCGTTTTAAGAAAATGAATGAAGTAAAAATCCAGATTTTTTTTCTGCCTCAATGGCAACTGATTGAAATCTCAGTTGCATTAGATTCTAAATTATCTTGTGCATCTATTCTGGATCTCAGTGTGGTTCCATGAGTCTGACTATTTTACATGACAGTATAAAAACTATTGTATTAACATAGTCTTATATTTGACAGATTTAGCATAACCTTATAACTTTCAACTTTCCACTTAAAAAATCCTGTTTCCCTATGGGGGAAGGTAAGGGTGAACAGGCAGACAGCAGAAGATTTTTAGGGCTGTTAAACTGTTCTGTATGATGCTATAATGGCGAATACATGTCATTATACATTTGTCCAAACCCATAGAACATGCACACCAAGAGTGAACCCTAATATAAATTATAGACTCTGAATGATAATTATATGTCTGTCCAGGTTTACCAATGGTAACAAATGTACCACTCTGGTGGGAGATGTTGATAACTGGGGAGGCTGTGCATGTGTGAGGGTAGGGAGTACAGGGGAAACCTCTGTACCTTCCCTTCAATTTTGTTGTAAACCTGCAACTGCCCTAAAAAATAATGCCTATTTGTTTAAAGCAGCAAAATATTAGGTACTCAATTTTAATAACTTTAGAATTTGTTTTAGGAGAAGGCTTATTTGGGATTGAAAGTGAACATTAAAAATCATTAAGAATACCTTATTTCCACTTTTTTTTTTTTTTTTTTTTTGAGACAGAGTCTCACTCTGTCACCCAGACTGGAGTACAGTGGTGCGATCTCGGCTCACTGCAACCTCCGCCTCCTGGGTTCAAACGATTCTCCTGCCTCAGACTCCTGAGTAGCTGAGACTTCAGGCCCACGCCACCACGTCCAGCAAATTTTTTGTATTTTAAATAGAGGTGGGGTTTCACCATATTGACCACCCTGGTCTCAAACTCCTGACCTCATGATCTGCCGCCTCGGCCGCCCAAAGTGTTGGGATTACAGGCGTGAGCCACCATGCCCTACTCACTTCTGTTATTCCTTAATGGATTTTAGACCTAACTTGACTAGTTCCAAAAATAATCCAAAATTAATGTCTTATTATCGTGATTCTACTAAATTTATAAGTTAATTTAGGAAACATATACATCTTTACCATATTGAGTTTTCTTATTCAAGAGCAAATTATAACTTACCATTTATTCAAGTTTTAATTTATATGCCTAAATAGAGGGTTTTTTTAATTATATAGGGCTGCATATTTCCTGTTAAGTTTATGACTATGTATTTTATCTTTGTGCATGGTAGTACAAGAGGAATATTTTCTTTATATTGTCTCACTTGGTGTCTGGGTTCTGGAAAGCTATTGATTTTTATGTTAAAGAGGTATCTATCCACATTAATAATTTCCTTCATTGTTTCTAATTGAATTGAGATTATTAACTCAAGCTGTCCAGAACTACAATAACATCATCTATAAGTAATTATAATTTCTACTCTTCATTTGCAATTTTTGTCCCTCTGATTCTTTTACCTCTTCATATTGTGTTGGCTGATACTTAAAAAATCTTAAAAGCATCAGTAGAGGACATTTGTCTTTTAATAGGCTGCTGGATTCTATTTTCTAATATTTTACATCAGATTTTTCAATCAATATTTAAAAGTGACATTGGTGTATTTTCTTTTATTTCTCGATTTATTCTAGATCTTTTTGTCAAGTTAGATCTTTCTTTACAGTGTGTTTTAATGAATCTAGTCTTATATTTTAATGTAATTAATGTATCTTTTTTTTGAGATTAGTACTATTTGTGTTTGCTTCTTAAATATTTCTTTACTACAAAGCCATAAAGATAGCCACTGATAGTTTTTCTTAAAAGTTTTAAAATTTCAACTTTCAGATTAAATGTTTTAATCCATCAAGGGTTGATTTTAATGTACAGTATGAGGTAGGAATCCAAGTTCTTTTTTCCTCAAATGGATAACTGATAATCTCACACCACTTATTAAATGTTCTAACTTTTCCCTGTTTATGTATGTCACATGTCCAAGATCCATATATGTAACTAACACAGGCCAGTTCTTCCAATACAGTGTTGAACAGAATTGGTGACAGTAAGCATCCTTGCCTTGTCCCTGATTTTTAAAAGGAAATGCTTTTAATATAAGTCTATCAAAATGATATTTGCTAACAAAATAATTTATCAGATAATCAGAATAAATATCTCTCCAGTGAAAATATATGAATGACAAATAGGCACATGAAAAGATAATCAGCATCACAAATCATCCAGGAGATACAAATTAACGCAAAATGAGATACCACTATTTACCCACTAGAATGGCAAATAACTATTTTACAGATTTGTTAAATGATAGGTGGATCACTTAGCTCTTGTTATTATTTATATTATTCTAGAAGTTTGGGCTTCTAAGAAGACAATAAGAAGAATCCAATAGAGATTTTGGCTGAGGTGCAATATGACCACAAGTGACTTTTTAGAAAGATGCAATATAGACCACAAGTGACTTTTATGACAGCAACAATGTAAAGGAGGGACTGGGGTGGACTAATCCTAGGGATGCCGAAGCTGGAGAGAAGGAGTTATTAGAAACATGCCAAGGGAGAGGAAGGAAAGCTTGAACCATGGCAGTGAGAAGAGGAAGAACAGATTTAAAAGTTGTCCCTAGAGAAAATTGATAGGGTCCAGGATATAATTAGATATAGGGTGTCTAGATTCCAGAATCAACCTATTGATAGCAATGACCTAAATATTGGATATTGAAATACACATCTCAAAATAGCAAAATTACACAAATCACATAATTCTCATATTTGGGAAAAAATACTATTGAGATAAAGTTCCAATCAAATTAGAAAATTCTTTTAAAAAGTCTCAAAGGTTTTTGTTTTGTTTTATCAAATGATAAACATAATTAAATCTATTAATTTTTTTATTTGTACCATGTACCACATGTGGCATGTGCATTATACATTTACAATACAAAATTGACATGTTGGCTCAGAATAAAATACATGAAGAGAAAAAAGTTACAGGAATTAATTTTTCAGTTCAAACAGAAATGTCATTTGTGTGCAGATACCCTAAAAACGGAATAGAAATTTCATACATTTTGAGCAGAAGGACTAGGTTTGTTTAGTGCATTTAACATCCCTTGGCAAGTTGAAAAAAAAATAAATAAAATATCCTCCTTTAAATTTAATCCAAAGGACTACACATGTGTTTTCATGACCAGTAGCAAAAAAAACATTTTCTTTACCTTGGAATTTACCTCTAGTTCAAAATATTTGTTTCTGCCATATTGAGGAGGATCTTCTAAACTAAAGCAAATTTCCCTGACTCATTGGTCTTTGCCTCTTTTTAATATCTTCTTTGGTTCTGTTTAAACAAATATCACAGTAAGGGAAAAGTTAGAGTTAATAACATTCAGTAGATTTTATAAACATTTGCTTACACAGTCCCATTTGAAATATCTTTGCCCTGATTTATATTCAAAGGCAAAAGCATATTGAATTACAACCAGGGCTGCTTATCTAACTGTGCATCAGATAAGTTTACTTGAACTATAGCTGCCCCAAGGCTATTACCTAGGGATCATCAGCAAACTTATCCCCAGATAGTTTGCATTTCTATTACTCGATAACACCTGAATCTTCCACCAGGTTTAAGCAAGACTCATGAAACACAAAAGATCCTAGGTCAGTCTTCTGGAAACCACAGACTCCCATCTTCCTGGAGGAGAGTCCAACTGAGATTCAAATTCCCATGAAAATAATGTGTGAGGATGTCTCTCCAAGACCAAAAGTGAGCTATTGCAGTGAGTGGTGCATCATGTATGAATGCCTTTGGCTCTCTCATTGACCCATTTTTTACTATTTGATGCATAATTAATGTTGAGGTCAGAGTTGTCACATTCTCTTACTTACTTCTTTGCAGCTATTGGCTTTCCTGGTAGCAATTTAAACCACTACATCAGCTTGAAGTGGTAGCACCTAATTTGGAAGAAGGGGAAGATTTCTGTATCCATAGGAAATAAGGCCTAGGGGCATACAAGCTAAATTTGCAACAAAAAGACCTGAATTTGACCAGATTTTTGACTTTGAGTTTTATATTTATCTTTTCTGTGTTTAAGTCGCTTCTTATAAATAAGAATTATTATGTCCTCCCACCATACACACAGAATTTTTGTGAAAAACAAGTTAAAAATTATGAAAGCATTTTGAAAATAGTAAAGGCTTTGTAAAAGCAAGAGATGGCATAGAAAGTACTTCCCCAAAAGCAATGGCACCTCTGCACGCATTTTCAGACTTCTGACGGGTAACTAGACCAACTCTATTGGCATTTGCTTTAAAAGGATCTCTGCATTTAAAAAAAAAAAAAAGAACCATCAAGGGTGGCTGAACCTTATTTCCTGAGGATAATTTTTCAAAACCTCATACTGTAAAATAATGTGATAGGTAGAATAACTTCACAAATAACCATATTGCACATGTACTCTATAGACACTTCTTCAAACATGTACTAAATTCACACACAGGATTCTGGATGATCATATTAGAATGAGGGAAGTAATTGTTGAGAAAATTCAGTTTAGATCCTTACTTTGAAGTGTTCTCAGAAATTCAAAGGTGTGTGTGTGTATGTGTGTGTATGTGTGTGTGAGAGAGAGAGAGAAAGAGAGAGAGAGAGAGAGAAATTTTAGGACCACTGAACTTCTTCTACTAGTTTTAAGTAACATGCTATTGTCCATCCCTAATTTCTTCTGCCAAACTTTCTGGTGGACTTTTGTGTATTAATAGCATTGCTCCATATGTACTGTCCTATATAGGGACCATCCAAGTGAATGAAGTTATCCATCCAAGTGTTTTGAGATCCAAAGAAATAACTGTCCAAGTATTGATTTTATTTTCTAAGGAATTAATTTTGTCCATTTGAAAATTGCCATTATATGATTGCCCACTTTGGAATTTGTCCAGAATGACAGCTGTCACAATTCATCGTCCTGCTCTTATGAAATCTGCCATCTATTTTGTTAATGAATAAAATAGGTCAAAATCCAGGCATTAGTTCAAATCCACATGTCAGGACTTCCAGTAATTCAGCATATTCTTTATATCCTCACTCAGGACCTTGCTTCTAGAATTCTCAGCATCAGGACATGAGAATATCAATCATATTAGCACACATTACTTTGACTATGATAATTTTAGAAAATAAAATTTCCAGGGATCACAGTCTAGTGCTAAACCAGCAAACCCTAGAAAAAGAGTGATATTGAGGCACACATGGAATCAAGACACATTAATTTCTGTAGGATTTGATTGAGTCCTTGTCTTAGTTGCACAATTCACTGTGTGACCTTTGAAAATCCAGTCTCCATATTTGTAAAATGGAGATAACATCTTTCCTAACTGCTTCAGAGAATGAAGAATATGTCTGAAAGCCCATCATAAACTGTAGAAACCTATCTATCCACAAGTAACATGTCCTTATTAAAGGAAGATCATGGTAAAAGGTGTTTGGGTGCCTGTTGGTATCTATTTGTAATTGTTGCTGTTTTGTTGCTTTTTAAAAGGCACATTAAGAAGTGCTTTTTGTCTGCAAGTCTCTAGATGTGATAATTTACCCACGTCTCCATTCTTCACACTCTGTATGAACATTGTTTCTCAATGTTTCTTTGCATGTTTTGCAAGAAAAACTTTCTGCTATAAATGTGAAACAGTAGTGTAGACTTGGGAGATGGAATGCTGTCCTGATTGGGCTCCCTTGGATGGAGAAGTATTCATCCTGGGCTAGTCAAGCAACCAAATGCATAACCACTAGACTGCAGATCCCGTGTTTTATTTGCAACTATGTCTCCAGCATCTAGAATAGTAACTAGCACAGAGAAGGCTACATTTTTCTGAATCATATTAACACTCTTTTAACTAATGCCATTGGTACATCCAACTAGAAAGGTCAAATATGTTTTGCAAGCACATTTATAAGGCTCATCTCAAGGCTGCTGGCTGTGTACCATCTCAAGCTTGCTGAAACTTGGGGGTTCCTAAACAAGCACACCAGCCACTAATCCATTTGATAAATGTCATATAACATACCTATTTTTATATTTTCATATATGTATGTATCTGTACATTATGATTTGATACTTAATGGTCCTTAGGAATAAGAAAGCCTCTATGAATTGTTCATAACAGAATGTCACAATAACTGGAAAATCTTCTTAACAACTATTAAATAGGAAGAACTGTTAATTTCAAGCTTTATTGAGATCTTCCTCATTTGAATTTGAGTTTATTTTTCCCATCTCTTTATGGAACTTGTGCCATAAATATAATGAAGTCTTTTGTGTTTGAAAATCTTACAATGCTTGAATGTTGTTATCCTGAATATTGCCTTTTATTGTATAGCCAAATAAACAAGAGTTTGGGTTGATTTTGTTTGGATCATAGAATGTACACTAAACTTGCTTTTCAGAATAAATCCCTGTTACTAGCTTGTTTTATGGTATTTTATCTTTTGTTTTAATACTGAAACTGTAGACTAGAGAAAAACAAAATCTTCATTATGGGAGATTCACTGAAATGATTTTAACAAGTACACTGTTTACTCAGCACACTTTTCTATCTCCATGACAATTTTTGTTTTCTCTGTACTGTTTCCTGAAACTACAAACTGAGGAAACAAACTATAGGAAAAAAAGATCAGCCTCACCTCTCCCATCTCTGTGTCACCACCTGTTCCTTTAGAAACTTCAGGGCTCTCATCAAGTTAGTATTAATGTAGTATCTTCACTGCTCTGGAAGGATCAGGATTCTTTATGAACATCCAAAAGAGACAACACAGCTTAGCCACAGAATCTTTAGAATCTTACTTGAGGTATTGCTGCTTTTGAAATACCCCATGGTACCAATGGCAGGAACTGTCTGTGTCAACTCTGCCAAATCAGAACATACACTTACTTTATTTGTTTGTTTTTAAGACAGACATCTGGCTAGGGATATGGTCATTTTTACTTTCAAACTCAGATTTAAGTGTTATATTATCTCTGTGATTAACTCCAGTGATATCCTTGTTCAAAGATGTATAGCCCAGTGATTCCAAAATAACTTTTTTAATTGTCCCTTAGGTTACCTGGAAACTTAGCCCCATATCTAATTTGTGACAGCTTCTTGAACAATGGTGTTGAGTCTGGGTAACTAGGGAATTGGCAGTCTGCCTTTGTAGACAAATGGGTTATTCCTTCTCACGTTCTGAGTCAAATCTGAACCAAAATTCACATTTGGTCTCGTGACCATGATAGATAGAAGAAATTTTCATTAAGCAAAAGTGACACAGTTTCTTCCTTCTCATTGTGAACACTCTGGTCCAAGCCTTTATTATGCAGTGTTCAGGTGCTCCAAAGCATCCTACCTGGCTGGTGTCCTCGCCTGGGTCTCAGACCTCTGGTGTCCATGCTGTAGATCATTTATTCTGGTAGCACTTGTTGAATCCTTAATGAATGGGAGGGAGCTTAGGGATGCAAAGATTCTAAGACACAGTCATTGCTTCATGCTGATCATAGACCAGAGGGGAAGGAGGAATGTGCTCATATTTTTCTAACTGGATTTTGAAGACAAAGGAGGTGAAAAGAGAATTCCAGGTGAAAAACAAAGTGAGCTAAAGTATTAAGGCAGGAAAGATAGGCCACATTTGTAAACAATGTAGTCAAAGGCCTCCAGCAGCCTACTGGCAGCAGAGGAACCTTGCTCCCACCTGAGAGCACTGAGCAATGTCACCGTGCTGGTGCACAGCTACACAGTGACAAGAAGACAGCGCATTAAACAAACCCAGAGCAACAGGTCAGGGCTGAGGCACAGTTATCTAACTGCTTGGAACCACTTGCCATAATGTGTAATACTGGCTATTTAGTAAAATACAGTTGGGATGGCACAGCTGCTGGCATGTGGGAAACGCCCGCCACCTGCCCTGTGAAACTGTAACCAGGCAGTTTAACTTCAAAATGCATTTCAAAACTTCTTTTCTCTTGAGTTTCAAGATATAACCTTGAAGCAAACTGCAGAAGCCTTTTCCCTTAGCCTTAAAATAGACTCCACATCCCTCTCTTTGTCACTGTATATACTCTCTTCACATTTATCTAACTGTATGCAAGTATCCAATTATGTGCCTTCTTAGAAGTTCCACAGACTAATCTTGAGGTATACAGACCAACCCTTGAGTCCCAGCTGCAAAGTACCAGCAGTTACTTCAAGGTGGCTCATTAACAATCCAGCTTTGTTGAGATGATGCCAGCCCAAGATCCAGGTGGACAGGGACCCACGATAGTCACCAGAATAAGACACACAGACATTGTACTCAGCACAATTCTTGTATGTCTTCCTTGTCAAGTTTTCATTTTTTAAACTCCTTTTTCTCCCCCCCAAAAAATCAAAGTGGTTGCTTTGGATGAGAATCTGGCCACTTCTCCTTTACTAGTTTTGGTTAATAAAGTCACTTTCTTTCTGCCAGATGTCACTCTGTTAATTGAGCTCTGCAAGTAGTGCAGGATTAAACTTGCCTTCAACTGAAACTTCATTCGGTTACAAAATCTCAACTTGGAACACTTAGGGAAATTGATTCCCTGGGAAAGAAGAGGAGCCGCTCTGAGAGGTCCCCAAGTTGGCCATGATTCTTGTTCTCTTTTGTCTTCCTACATCCTTTTCTGTAGAACATATCCCATTTGCAGAGATTTTTGGAATTGTGTTAATGACCTTGTGGCAAACAGCAAATTGTCCTGGTTGGCCGTGCTTTTTCCCTGCCCCCACACCTTCTATACCAGCAAAATAAATAGCTATCTCCCTTCCCTTTTCTTAACAGTTTAACCACTGCTTAATAACCATGATTGCCAATTTGTTTATGAGCCTCTTAGTCCCTAATAAAATGTGAGTGCCTGCAGGCCAGGAACCTTGTCTCTTCATTTCTTTATCCCCAGAGAATAGCACAGGGCCAGACACAGAGCCGCTGCACAGCACATGTTATTAAATATATTGGCAATGGCACAGGTGGGTAGGAGACTGGACTCCATCAGGAATCCCATGGAAGACCCCACAGTCCCTGCTGAGGCACTTCTGGACCCAAGAAAAGTGATCTCAACTGTTCTTTACATATATTACCTCATTTGATGTTTCAGTAATGCTTTAAAGGAAGTATCAGTATTATCTCCTGGGTACAGAGGAAGAATCTGAGCCTCATAAAAATTAAATAACTTGCCCAAGGTTTCTCATCAAGTAAATGGAGAGTCAGGACTGGAATGCAGCTCTGTGAGACGTCAAATCCATGCCTTTAACCATTACTTTATATTTCAACTTCAAAAATTTTAATTCACGTCATGATGATGGCAAGCAAAGTGAATTAACTATCACTACGTGTCAATGGGGATATCGTCTATGTAGATCTCACCAAGTATCAGAATTAATGTCTCCAGTTATAAATCGGTAAGTCTTAGTTGCATACTTGTTTCCAATTGAAGTCTGAGAGCAAGATCATTAGATGGACTCTAAATATCTCTTCATACAAATTGGTCCCAGGGCAGCAAAGGAAGATCAATTTGTTCCTGCCTCCTTGCACATTTCCCATTGAATATGGCACCTCTGACAAAGCCCGTAGGTTGCATTATGTATCCATATGGAACCATAGCTTCTTATGTAACAGGAACAAAGATATTAAAATATAAACTTCCAAAGCCTTTGTCTTCACCCACCCATAAAAAGGATTCTGTGTTTGTACTCCTGTGCTAATAAATGTAATAGGCTGGGAGAAGGGGGAAAAAAAACTGAGCTGATTGCCTAAACAAGGGAGGACAAAATGAGACAGAAGAGGAAGGCAGGAGGAAGGGGTGTGTAGAAAGTGAGCAAAGGTTCTGAGAGAGAGATGGAGAAGAGAGATTTGGGGAGAAAGACTAGCTCATTGGGTGAGATTTTGGTGGAGGAATTGTCTGAAGAGGATATTGAAGAAGCTTTGGTATTGCATTGAGAAGTGTGACCCTTTCACAGCTTCCACAAGGATAAATTTATCACATTCTTCAAAATTTTGGGGGTGGAATATGTCCTTTGTATGAGTCACCATATCAAGATGGGACTTAAGACAGGTGCAAGAGTCCACTTTTTCCCTGGGTTTCACTTGTTTCTGGCAGGAACCTTAGGAATCTCTCTCTCATATTTTTATTTAGAGATGCAAGTACTGATAGGTGGAAAATACTAGTCCAAGTCACACATATGGTCTGCTCTATTACTTAGATGTGAATGTGCATAAAGAACCTTGTTTCTAAAGGAAAGTAAGGTACATAACTCACAAAATAATATACAAGTCCCAATATACAAAAAAGTAAATTTCCATTAAATCTTGCTGGATTAAGTACACTCCACAATTTCCCACAAAACTTTAAAACTGGTGGAAAATATATTTCAAAACATATTTAAATATAGAAATATATTATATTTATATTCATATATAATTTTAATTATGTAAAATAAATTCTAACTGTATAGTCTTTTATATATTTAAATTACATATAAACTAAGTGTGTGTGAAACAAGAATGGAAGCTCATAATGACTCAGAAACTGAAAAATAGAAAGAAGATAGAAAGCTTCAAAGAAAAGACATGGCCACATAGGAAAGCTGCCTCCCAAGACATGCCAAAAAACAATTCTGCTGCAAAAATACAGGAGCAACCCTGAGGGTGTTCTGTACTCAGAAGAGGTTGAAGCTCAAAGCAAGAAGGGTACATGATGGGCGAAGAGTTGGATTATTCTAGAGAAATCAGTCATGTGAGTCAACTTCAGAACAGTTGTCAGCAACAGGCATAGCTGCCTCCAAGCAGAAACTGTGAGTGTCATAGGTTGCGGTCAAGAGGCAGGACAGAGTCTGAGTGGCCTGGCCACACATGGGAGGAACAAAGGGAAGACATTGCTAGAAGATCCTCACAGGCCTGGAAGCACAGCCCCTGCCACTTACCAGGCTCCCAGAAGAGTACAAGAGATCCAGCTCATCCTCATAAGCCAAATGTACCACAGAGGTAGTAGGCAGCCCAAGGAAAAATGCCAAGTACCATATGGTACCCAACAAGGATGTCAGCATGAGAAATTTTAAAGAATAAATTTTTAAAAATAGGTAAAGAGCAAAGAAGAAAAGGAAAAGATTGATGAAGTCAGAAATAAGATTAACATATAAAAGTCATGATAAGAGTTTCTCTACTTTTGTTAGATGTGCTTCATGTAACTTTGCAACAACCAATATAAAATGTGTTAGTTGCTAGGGCTACCCTGGTGGTTAATTTTATGTGTCAACTTGACTGTGTTATGGAATGCCCAGATAGCTGGCAAAGCATTATTTTGGAGGATGGAGGCTTATCTGTGAGGGTGTTTCCAGAAGAGGTTAGCATTTGGTTGAGCAGACTAAGTAAAGAAGATCCACCCTCACCAATGTGGGTGAACATGATGCAATTTATATATATATATAAAATATATAAATTGAGGGTCTTAACAGAACAAAAAGGCAGAGGAAAGGTGAATTTGCTCTCTCTTCTTGAACTGGGGCATCTATCTTCTCCTCCCCTCAAACATCTGACCTCCTGGTTCTCTGGCCTTCCAACTCAGAATGAATTATACCATCAGTTTTCTGGTTCTCCAGCATGCATACGGCATAACATGGGGCTTCTAGAGCTCCATAATGGCATAAGCAAACTCTCACAATCTCTTCTTATATGTCCATATATAGCCTGTTGGCTTTGTTTCTCTGGAGAACTCTAATATAGCTACCACAAAAAAGTACCACCGACTGAGTAACTTAAACAACAGAAATTTAATTTTCTCATAATCCTGGAGGCCAGAAGTCCAAGATCAATGTGTTGGCCAGGTTGGTTTCTTCTGAGGTTTCTCTCATTAGCTTGTAAATGGCTCTCTTCTCCCTATGTCTTCATGTGTTCTTCCCTCTGTGTATGTCTGTGTCCTAATTTCCTCTTCTTATAAAGATTATTATTTTGGATTAGGGCCCACCTTAATGACCAAATTTTAACTTAATTAAATATCTAAAAATCTTATCTCCAAATACAGCCACATTCTGAGGTACCTGGAGTTAAGACTTCAACATAAAAATGTGAGGAGACACAATTCAGGCCTAACATAAAAGCAGAAGCGTGATTAATTATATGGTTCTCTATGTCCGAAATTCTCAAATAAATAGATGCCCAGGAAAAACAAGCTTATTTGTGCTATGAAGTACTAAAAAAATACCCCACTTAGATTATCTGAAGGAGGTTACTGAGTAGCAAGATGAGAAATTTCTTTAACAATATTCTTACAGCAAGCGCAATGTATTTCATAGCACTGTTTCTTACAATACTCTTAAATGTAAGTGGATGGCTGTCTTAGTCTTCTGTGTGCTGCTATAACAGAATATTACAGATTAGGCAATTTAAAAAGAACAGAAATTTATTTCCTCACAGTTCTAGATGCTAGGAAGTCCAAGATTAAATCTCTAGCACCTGGTGAGGGCCTTCCTGTCAAGTCATCTCATCTCATGGAAGGCAAAAAGGCAAAAGAAGACAAGAGGTGCCAAACTCATTCTTTTCTAAGGAACCCACTCCCATGATAACAGCATGAATTTATTCATGAGGCTGGTATCCCCATAACACAAACATCTTCCCATGAGGCCTCACCTCCCAACACCACTGTACTGGGGATCAAGTTTCCAACACGTGAATTTTGTGAAACACATTCAAACCATACCAATGGCATAATGCCAAGATACAGTTTAATACAAGCATGTCCACTTACATGATTATTTAATTTCATCCCAGAATAAATTTTCGAGTATCTAAAAAAATAAACAAATGGTTTTCTCGAGAAAAAACCTCCATAAATATTTTTCTCATCCAACATTTCAGAAGTCTTGAGAGAGAATAGGTTTGAAGTTTTACTTCCAAGAAAGAACCCAAAGCCCAATTAGTTTATGTTACCATTTCAGAGTAGAGCCAAGTACAGTCTGGTCATTAGAGCTGGGTTGATGTATCCTTCTAACTTAGCTTTGCTTCATGGTAAGAGAAGGTGCTCTTCACCTGATCTGCTCTCAATAATAGACAGCTGCCCAAAAAACAGGCTTGAGACAACTTATGTATTTATCAGTATACAGTAGTTCTCCCTTATCCATGGTTTCACTTTCCATAGTTTCAGCTACCCATGGTAAACAACAGTCTGAAAATACTAAATGGAAAATTCCAGAAATAAACAATTCATAAATTTTAAATTCAGTGCCACTCTGAGTAGCATGATGAAATGTTGCACCATCTTCTTTAGTCACACCCAAGATGCAAATCATTACTTTCTCCAGCTTCTGCATGCTCTGTAAGCTACCCACCCATTAGTCACTTAGTAGCATCTCAGTTATCAGATTGACTATCATCATATAACAGTGCTTGTGTTTAAATCTCCTTTATTTTATCCTTAATGGCCCTAGCTAGAGTGCAAAAGTAGTGAAGCTAGCAATTCAGATATGCCAAAGAGAAGGCATGAAGTGTCTCCCTCAAGTGGAAAGTTGAAAGTTCTCAACTTATTTTTAAAAAATGTATAGTGAAGTTGTTGAGATCTGTGGTAAGAGCAAATCTATTTATGAAATTGTGAAGGAAAAAGAAATTTATGCTAGTTTCCCTGCTGCATCCCATACTGCAAAAATTACAGCCACAGTACATTATAAGTACTTAATTAAGATGGAAAAGGAATTAAATTTGAGGGTAGAAGACATGAACAAGAGCATGTTTCAACCGAGAGCAGTTGAGTTCAGTACTATCCAAGGTTTCAGGCATCCACTTGGGGGTCTTGGGATGTATCCCTTGCAGATAAAGGAGGTCTGCTGTATAATCAATGCCAAAGCAAAAATTAGAATTGTTTTCCCTGGCTATCCTGTACTCCTTTGGTTATCAAACTTGAGCATTGTGCATCAGGGCTTGTTAAAGATTTCAGGCCTCTCCCCAGAGTTTCTGGGTCAATAGGCCTGGGGTGGGACCCAAGATCTTTTATTTCTCAAATATTTTATATTTTCCCACCTTTTATTTCTCAAATATTTTATATTTTCCCACTCAACACTGCTACAGTGGTTCCTAATCCACCCCTATTAACTAGCTGTTGGACCATGAGAAGTTTATGTCCCTTCTTTCAGCCTTGTTTCCTTGTCTGTATGGTAGAGATGAAGGAAGGAAGTACTTAACAGTGTACCTGGGAGGATTAAAGAGCACAGAGGCAGGCAGAGCCCTGCTATGATGCTCATGTCAGTGTTCTCTCCAGTGCACCAGGCTGCTTAGCTTATTATTTTTTTTTGTATATAGCAGAATATTAAAATAATACTTTTTCTCTCAGTTTTGGCTCAAAAGATTGGGCACAGAATGGTAGATGCTAAGGACCCCCTTCATGACAAAGTGGGATCTAGAATAACTATTCTGAACTGGTAAAGGCATGCCTTCTGGAGTGATTCTGCACATAATCCCCTTAAGGGTTTTAAAGTCTTGAATTAAAAGACCAAGAAGTACCTGTGCAGTTGGAGTATTTCTGAGGATCCCACAAAGCGATCTGTATGAGAAAGTGTGTGTCCCCATACTTTGCCCATTTAAGCATTCACCAAGATGAGAAAACATAAACTCTAGATCACAACAGTGCAGGCCAAGTAAGGCCTCCCAGGGTCTGTCTTGACTCTCTCCTCTGGCTCCAACCCTAGAAGAAACAGAATCAATCCTGAAAGGAGTTCATAGTAGGGTGAAAAGGAGTGCCAGGCAGAGAATCTGAGAAGACCCCAGCTGCCCAAGAACATGGGAACCCACCTCTTGCATCAGCATGACCTGGGTATGAGACACAGAGTCAGGGGAGATCATTTTGAAGCTTTAAGATTTGACTGACCTGATGAATTTCAGACTCGCATGGGGCCTCTAGCCCCTTTGTTTTGGCCAATTTCTCCCATTTGGAGTGGCTGCATTTACCCAATGCCTGTACCCCCATTTTATCTAGGAAATAACTAACTTGCTTCTGATTTTACAGGCTCATAGGTGGAAGGGACTTGCCTTGTCTCTGACGAGACTTTGGACTCTGGATTTTTGAGTTAATGCTGAAATCAGTTGAGATTTTAGGGGACTGTTGGGAATGCATGATCAGTTTTGAAATGTGAAGATATGAGATTTCAGAGGGGCCAGGGATGGAATGATATGGTTTGGCTCTGTGTCCCCACGCAAGTCTCATCTTGTAGCTCCCATAATTCTGTGTCGCGGGAGGGACCTGGTGGGAGATTATTGAATTATGGGGGCGGTGTTTCCCGTGCTGTTCTCGTGATAGTGAATGGGGTGTTTCCCGTGCTGTTCTCGTGATAGTGAATGGGTCTCAGGAGATCTGATGGTTTTAAAAACAGGAGTTGCCCTGTACAAGCTCTCTTTGCCTGCTGCTGTCCACGTAAGATGTGACTTGCTCCTCCTAGCCTTCTGCCATGATTGTGAGGCTTCCTCAGCCAAGTGGAACTGTGAATTCTCCATTTAACCTCTTTCCTTTGTAAATTGCCCAGTCTTGGGTATTTCTTTATCAGCAGCATGAAAACAGACTAATATACGAGCCCAAGCCCATTCCCCACTGCAGCTTCCCGAGTCTGCAGCACCTCAATCTGGAGGAGGAAAATAGCTTTAACCTCCAGTAAAGTTCTGAGTTGTCACTATAACAATAGACTAGGTAATTTTGCTACTAAAATAAGACTTCTTTTGAAATTAGAATTACCAGAAGATTTGTTATTACCCTAAAGAATCCAGAAAAGCTAACAGGATTTCATCCAAGGACAAGAAAAAAACAAACTTGCTAGTTCAATTGAACAATGAAGACAAAAGGTTTTTACCCTTAATGTATTGGTCTTCTAAAAGAAGTGGTATTTACGCATATACAATTTACATGCATAAGCCTATAAATCCGACATTGCTGAAGGATATTTCTTTATTCTGAGGTTTTCTTTTCTCTCAACATATACCAGGTAAAAAAGTATATATCACCCGATGTCACTCTCAAACAAAAGAGACATGGTCAGTTGAAGCAGTTCTAAGCAGCTTAAATACAGTGTCTTAAAAATGCATATTCTTCCAGAAACTATCTTGGAATATTATGCAGACAGGAAATAAGCAAAATATGTTCTGCTGATAGTCGGTAAATATAAATGGCACATTTTTTAAAGCTCTAAGAAAGTTAGCATAGTCTAGATCAGTCAACTACAGTTGTTCAGAAAAATGCTTTGCTGATATTGGCCTATCTCGCAAGCCACAGCATTACTTGTTTCGATTAGCCATCAGTTGTTACTAAGAGACGTGCATCTGCAAGAAAGCATCTAAACTTTTCAAATATACGAGGCAAGATTTACATTCCTCTTCATCTTTTAAACCACTTTTTTGCCATGTGTGCAATAGTGTAGGTAACACCATGAAGAAGCTATGAAAAGCTAGAATCTGGGCACACTCTGAATATTTTACAGAAGGATGCTCTTGGAACCTGATCATCACTACATTACTTTTTGCTTGAGAATATTCTGAACTGCATTTTTTTGCTTTTTTTTTTTTAATTACACTTTAAGTTCTAGGGTACATGTGCAGAACGTGCAGGTTTGTTACATAGGTACACATGTGCCATGTTGGTTTGCTGCAATCATCAACTGGTCATTTATGTTAGGTATTTCTCCTAATGCTATCCCTCCCCCAGCCTCCCACCCCCCCAAAAGGGCCCAGTGTGTGATGTTCCCTGCCCTGTGTCCATGTGTTCTCATTGTTCAACTCCCACCTATGAGTGAGAACATGCAGTGTTTGGTTTTCTGTCCTTGTGATAGTTTGCTGAGAATGATGATTTCCAGCTTCATCCATGTCCCTGCAAAGGACATGAACTCATCCTTTTTTATAGCTGCATAGTATTCCATGGTGTATATGTGCCACAATTTCTTAATCCAGTCTATCATTGATGGACATTTGGGTTGGTTCCAAGACTTTGCTATTGTGAATAGTGCTGCAATAAACATACGTGTGCATGTGTCTTTATAGTAGCATGATTTATAATCCTTTGGGTATATAGCCAGTAATGGGATCGCTGGGTCAAATGGTATTTCTAGTTCTAGATCCTTGAGGAATCGCCAAACTGCCTTCCACAATGGTTGAACTAATTTACAGTCCCACCAACAGTGTAAAAGCATTCATATTTCTCTACATCCTCTCCAGCATTTGTTGTTTCCTGACTTTTTAGTGATTGCCATTCTAACCGGCATGAGATGGTATCTCATTGTGGTTTTGATTTGCATTTCTCTGATGACCAGTGATGATGAGCATTTTTTCCTATGTCTGTTGGCTGCATAAATGTCTTCTTTTGAGAAGTGTCTGTTCATATCCTTTGCCCACTTTTTGATGGGGTTTGATTTTTTCTTGTAAATTTGTTTAAGTTCTTTGCAGATTCTGGGTCTTAGCCCTTTGTCAGATGGGTAGATTGCAAAGATTTTCTCCCATTCTGTAGGTTGCCTGTTCACTCTGATGATAGTTTCTTTTGCTGTGCAGAAGCTCTTTAGTTTAATTAGATCCCATTTGTCTATTTTGGCTTTTCTTGCCATTGCTTTTGGTGCTTTAGTCATGAAGTCTTTGCCCATGTCTATGTCCTGAATGGTATTGCCTAGGTTTTCTTTTAGGGTTTTTATGGTTTTAGGTCTTACTGCATTTTTTCTTTTGTTTTTCAGACAATTTTGATTAAAAAAATCAAATGCTATTTGTTGATTTTAACAAAAAGCATTTGTTGTAGTTCTAGTTCACCTTCAAACTAAGACACATTTGTGCAAAACATAACATATGCTTGTCTAGCTTTACGTAATTGAAATCATTGCTTTTCCAGCAAAGAACCATTCAGTGGACTTCCAAAGTCAGTTTACTGGACTTCTAAAGCAGTCCAACAAAATTCACACACATCCAACCAAACAAAATAAAACAAAACAAAAAACAGGGATTCCTAAGCTGAATGTGTGATTTTGGTATAGATTTAATAAATGCAAACTCTATCACCTTGTAGAGCTCACCTCAACTTTACATCAAGAGTTTTCTGGTCATGAAAAACAATTCAAGGAATTCTTACTGCCACAAAATAAGTAAAAAGTATATCTGTAAAAGGGCTTTCCATACTTTCTCCATGTAACTTGGGCCTAATGCAATGTTCTATCTCTACTCGTTGTTGTAGCTCAATAAATATCACAGCCTCTTACATTACAAAGAATTATGGTAAGGGCTATAGCAATAAAAATAATAGAATTAAAAGCAGAATTCAGGTTACTGGTAATGAATTTTACCTAAAAATTTACTGTCATCAGTGCTGAATAACATACAAAGATATATAAACATGCCACAGCTCTATTTAAGTTTTGATTGTGACATTGCATTAAAAGGTGATAGTACGGCAGGCAACTTGGGTTCTAATCCTAATTCTGGCATTATCCACTGTGATACCTAGGATTGATTGTTTATCTCAACCGAGCTTTAGTGTTAATAGTAACACCTTACCCATTGATCAAAGCTATTGAGAGAATCCAGCCAGTTAAGACATTGTGGAGGGAGGAAGGAAGGAAGGAAGAAAGGAAGGAAGGAAGGAAGGAAGGAAGGAAGGAAGGAAGGAACTAGGTAGGTAGGTAGGTAGGAGAGAGAGAGGGAAGGGAGAAAGGAAGGGAGGGAGGGAAGAGGGGAGGGAGGGAAAAGAGGGAAGGAGGAGGGGGAGGAGAAAAGGAAGGAAGGTGGAAAGGAGGGAAGGAAAAAAGGAGGGAGACAGAAGGGAGGAAGGGAGGGAAGGAGGGAGGAAGAGAAGAGGCCTTTAGATGCAATCAGACTTGAGTTTGAAAACAGGATGTACCAATTCCAGGTCAAGACTTCGGCCAAGTCATGTGTCTTCTCTGTGTCTTTACTGTTTTACCTAAAAAGTGGAGATGGTGGTAAGGCAAAGTTTACAGCGTTGTTAAAGAGATTAAATGCCATAATGTGTGTCAAATTTTAGTACATTATAGGTGTTCCATAAATGGCAGTTGAATTTGTTAATCATCTATGTAAAAATGATTTGAGAATATGAACTGTTTCACAAATGCGAGCCATTAACACCATGTAATATATTCATGGAATTAGGCAAAGAACTTCACTCAGGATAAAGGCACTGTTACATGGACTCTGACCAGACTACTTCTCTATTCTTATCCTTTCCCATAAACTCTTTCTAGAAGGTTCACTTCTTACATCTTTTCTAAATCCATGATTCCACTTAGTATTGACCACTAAAGCAATAATGTCTGGCACTTATTTAACACCTCCTTTTACAGACAAAGGTAACTATTAATTTAATAACAATCTGTCATTATAAGCAAATATTTCCTTTCTGCAGCTGCTTTCCTCACAGGTTTCCAGTTCAGGGAAACCTCATTTCTAAGCCACAGTATTGCTCATACTACATTTGTTTTGCGGTTAACATAGACATTCACAATCAAATGTTTATTTTTAAAATGAATTAAATAGACTTAACCTTTATCTCAACCTGAAGCAAGAGCATAAATGATAATAACTCATGAACACTTTTAAGAATTACATCCTGCAGATTATGTTTAGCAGGGTCTGGAAAACACAATCTGATGCCCTTCTCTGGACTGCCTGTTACAGTACAGAGCATCTGCAGGTTTCCCTGTGCCGGTAAAACACTGGAAGGGGGCAGCTTTTGTAACAGGATCATTGGCTCAAATGAAGTGAGTCAATCTGATCGATAGAAATTGCACATGCAGCAAAGAGCCCTTAATGGATCTTAATCTCCATTAGGCTGAGTTGGAGGAAGTTGTAGGGGAAGCTGCATCACATTTCAGCCATTTATAGTAGCATCATGGTCCATGAGCAGCTTTCGGGGAACAGGCGTATTCATCCCAGGGTGCTCTGGGACAACCATCAGTGGGATGGTAAATTCTTGCATCATTGGTGTCCAGGAAATGCTCTGGGGGATACTCTAGAGAATTGCCTCCAAGGCTTATGAAAATTTTAGCAGGAATTCATGGTGGTTCAACCAGAAGAACATTAGCACATGAAGCTTTTCTGTCATGTGTAATTAAATGTGGTTTAGAATCCCTTAGATATGACTTACAAAACCAAAAGGAACAGTTTCAAGTTTTGTTTTTTTTTCTACTGGAGACCAAGAAAATGTGTGCTATGAAGAGAATGACAAGGATCAAGTTTTCCATAAATAGGCATACTTTGCACATAACACATGAAAATATAAAAATCTAATGTTTGGATCCCTAGAATGTGAAACTAACTGCCTCTCAATTTAATGTATAATAGGGAAAGCTCCATGTGGAAATTCAAAAGAAAAGGAAAATTGCACACAATTTAGAAGACTGCCCATTGTACATTCACTCCGAAATTACAACACAATATCTCGTAATTAATGCTGATTGAGTACTTTGATTTCAAAAATTGTAAAGCATAGTACATGGACATTGCATTATACATTCACACACACCCTCACAAAGTTCTTGATGTCAGAGACCAAAATAGAGTAGCCAATAGCTGACGCTTTCATTGCTTTTTTTCTTACTCTAAGTAGAACTTTATGATATAGATTCAAAAGTCCAAAATTAATCAAAATAAAACTGAATTGAGCTATGACACAAACAATTTATCCCCAATGTTTGGGCTACTTAATTGGAAATGTGAGCATTTTCTTCTTTGTCACATTGATAATTTCAAATGTAGACGCTTTCTTTCTCTATGATTTTGCAATACATCAACATTACTTATTTCTGTTATTACAGCACTTCATCATTACATACCAAGAGACTTCATTTTCATGTCTGACTTTCAACTCGATTGTACCTAGAAAGGTATCTGGCACATAGTTAATAAACAAATGAATTGTGAGCCCACTGAAAACCAAAATAGACCTTTTCATTGCTTTACACTTTTTGCCTAAGATAACACTGACATAAAATGAAGCACAATATATTTTTGTTAAATAAATGCAAAAACAGTAAGTTCTTTTACATACAATAATCTTTCTGTGAGGCACTTTTAAATACTACCTATTTTGTAAAGGTCTGAGAGGCTTTTTGACACATGTCAAAAGATCACCATGACATGAAAAACTAAAGTAGGAAAAAAAAAGCCAGATTTGCACTTTTATCTGGGTCCTTCCACAAGAGAGACTAGAATGACATCTATGAACTTTTCAGGTATGCTACTTTATTGTCTTCAGTTATGAATTTTAAAAACTAAGTTATTAATACTTGGAATTTTTTCCTACTAGCAAATATGCTGGGGATGATGAAAAGAAAAAAAAAAACTAAATAGCCAAATATGTTTTATTCTTTTTGCAATTGAACACAGAGAAGAAATTGCTTTATGTCAGAAGAACTATCTAATAATTTACATTTTTAATTATCTTATTATTATCTACTAATTTCTTCTACATCTGTGACATTTCGAAACACAAAATCTTAGGTCAAGTGCCCAGCACATCGTAGGAACTCACTATATATTGTTGAATGAATTAATTAATAAATCTTGTTCCAATAAAATAATGGAAGGAAATATGCAGCTTCCTTGCAGTACCACAGCACAGTCTCTGATTCCCAGCATGTGAAACAGCCTTTCTTTCTGCTTCATAAATATCACTCTGGACTCTTAGACTATCAGAATGCCTTAACCTGACTCTCAAAACTTACATCCATATATAATCATCTGGGAGTTGAGCATAGACAAGACAGAAAGTGCCTCTGGTAATGAAATTTTTGATGGCATAAAACATTTCTAATAATTTTTATTTTAAATTATCTTGTTTATTACAAAAATATGAAGTTTGAATCAAGTGAGAATTTTCCAACTCTTAAATTAATCTACTCTACTTGATTTGATAGTACTTAACTCATCTGTCTTTTGGGATCATTTTTTTCTTTATATCATAGATTGACTTAGATCAACTTTATTACATCATTACTTGAGAGAGGGGAATAAAAGAATTTGCCAGTGTATATTTTGGTATAATACTAACTGTCTAAAGCCTAGGAAATGTATATTTTATTTGATATTGCCACAATAGCCTTTTACCAACAATTTATTTTAGTAAAAATTTCCTAGAGTGCAAATAATTATAATTGACCCCATTGGGAGTTTGGAGGCTCAGCTGTGAGGAGAAACTAAGTGCAGGTTCTGAGATATTGCATGACTTTTGTGAAAGGAATCTGGAAGTGTTTGTCTCTATCTTCTTATCAATGACTGGACAAGTCACTTTCCTCAGCCATCATGGTCTCTGCATTTTGTAAGTTCCAGAAATTGGCCCACCTGGGAGCCTGGAACTCCATCTACCCTAAAATGTCTGATTAATCTCTAATATTGGAAAATATGGGCCGGGCATGGTGGCTCATGCCTCTAACCCAGCATTTTGGGAGGCTGAGGCCAATGGATCGCTTGAGCCCAGGAGTTCAAGACCAGCCTGGGCAACATGGCGAAACCCCATCTCTACTAAAATTTTAAAAAATAATAATAATACAAAAAATTGGCCAGGCGTGGTAGTGTGCACCTGGGTCCCAGCTACTCAAGAGGCTGAGGTGGAAGGATTGCTTGAGCATGGGAAGTCGAGGTTGCAGAGTGAAACAAGATTGCACCACTGCACTCCAGCCAGGGTGACAGAAGTGAGACCCCGTCTCAAGAAAAAAAAAAAAAATTAGAAAATATGGCCCCAGGAGAAGGTCTCTTATTGTGAAATCTCTTAAGAGTTTATTTTAAGGGAACTCTAATTTTTCAAAATTATGGATTCTAATTAGCTGTAGAGGCCTAATTCTCTTGGGAAAAGTATAAAAGTTGTCCTGTCTTCCAAAAGAAAAATATTTTATTTATGTAAAACAATAGGCCCACTAGACTACTAGACTTTCTTTTCTAAATAACATAGCAGACTAATTTTAAACAAATTTTAGGACCACAATTTTTCCCAAAAGCAATAATTTTATTAGGAGTAAGAGCATTTTAGGCATAATTTTCTCACTGTGATCAGTTTTATGGAGTACTTTATCTCCATGAAATAGCAAATCAAAGCAATTTAAGACCATTTATGAAATTCACCAATCTATCACTGCAGCAATACTTTATATCGGTTATGAACAGAGAGACTCCAGAGTCAGGCTGCCCTGGTTTGAATCCAGTATTCTCTGTGTACTAGCTGTGTTAATTTCTCTGCTCTTCAGTTTCTCCTCCCATAAAGCGAGGATAATAATAAAAAGATGTACCTTCCCCATTTAGGGAACATAAGATCAAATGAGTTTATGTGCTTTAATGCAATGCCCAGCAAATAGTAAGTATTATTTGGAGATTTTATTGTTACTGTGTACAATAATGCCAATGGATACAAAACCTTGGATAGTCATGATATTAGAGGCTATTGTACCTTGATATTAAAGTTAAAATCACAATCAACAAGAGTATTCTCATATACATCTAAATGCCCATATAAATAATGTTAACCATGGTTGTGTCTTAATTCGCTGTCTTATTAATTTTACGTCAAGCAACTTGGTATATCTAATAAATACAGTGAATACCTGACTTAGCCCTCTCCCCCATGCACATACGTTACAGGAGAATATACTTCTTTTTTAAAAAAATTCTGGTGACGTGCATTAATTATCATATAAAATCAACCCACTTCGTAGTTACTTTCAGGAAATGCAAATAGGTATCAAACATTAAGTCTAAAAGCAAATTCATTGAACTGAAAGGCATTTCCCAAATTAATTATATTTCAATTAACATCATCAATTTTAAGTTACTCCACACACAATGCATCAGTTCTTTCGAATAGATAAGGAAATGCTTTTTATAGTTAATTTTATTCTGTCCAGCTAGTCAGGATATACTTCTTTCTTGGACAAAATGGTCTGTTGGTAACAAATGCCTTTAAGATTGTTTCACGCTAAGATGAATTCCTTCAGGCTGTATGGTACAGTATTCTAGGATCTGTGCCAAGTACTTGTGCAAGTGTGTGGGAAGCTTTTCTTTGGGAAAACCACTACTGTTCCTACATGTATTCCCACTGTCCCTGCCCTTGTTGCACATAGGACCTCTGCCTAGGAGAAAATAAGAACTGGCTTCTTAAGCAACCAAACAAAAATATCTCTTTGCTTTCTACACATTTGTAACATCAAATATATGGTACTAGGTTAACCACAGAAGCAAGAACACCTGCCTGAAGAAATTGATCTTGATGTAACTGTGACCTGGAACCTCACAATGGTTGACTTAAGTCCTGGTGTTGAAGAGAGTATCTAAATGGGCATGCTAACTCTCTACTCGACATTCACTCAATTCCTTCCTTATTTTAATGCAGATTATCTAAAAGAAAATTATTCAGCCTTTGACGATAAATTCAATATTCTGCTAAATTACAATTTTATGGTACGGCCTAAGCTTTTATAGGTCAAAAACTCTTTTCAATACTGTTGTCAGCTTTTGCAAACTCATAATTGAAAAAACAGGTTTTCACATGTTATCTAATGTGCTTTAACAAAGTATATGCGTAATGAAAGTGTCTCTTTAATTTAATTCTGGAAAAAGTTGTTCTCTAATAATCTAATAATGTATATGTTTTCATTGATCAGACATGAGAGTGTTTCCTTTGCGCGCTGTTATGAAACAATGATATAGTTCATGTGAAGTAGCAGTGCTGGGCACAGTAAGCACTCATCTGCTGTTGGTTCCTTTTATTAGCTGTTATTAAACATTATAATCATATTTGAAGAGTCAAGTGATTTTTCTTCATCTATTGCTATAGACAGCCTCTGTTCTAATTTTATACTTGATTATCCTGTTTTACATTATTTAATTGTATAAGCTACCTCAAAATATGCAAAGTATCAGTTGAAATTAAATATTTTAAATCAAGTAAGAATCCAACATGGTATTTGTGATACGAATGATGGCGATGAGTTTGTTTTAAACTTACAAATTACAGCTGATAACAGAAGTATAAATAAGACTGTGGCTAAGAAGTGCAGTAATTTTTCTATCACAATGAGAAGATTTGTGCTAATTTAATGTGTAGCCACATGTCTTATTATAGTTAGACATAGTAAAGCCTCAGTAGGTCAGATTAATTGGGAATTGTAGAGAAAAACTAATCTAATGAATGAAAAGTTTTAACTGTAGAATATATAATTAAGGTAGCGCATTACTATTAAAAACATGAAAACAGAAGTGAAGTCAGTCCAAATGGGAGGTGACGACAGGCTAAACTCAGGTGACTCAGGGTATGGCAGGCCCAGCTCACAGGAAATTTCCATAGAGCAGGGCACAGAGGGGCACAGGAGGCTGAGGTCCCTTGCTCTGAACTCTCAGAGGTGACTGCAGGATGATGCAGTAGCACAGGGCTGCTTGGAACAGAGATAGAGGCATTGCCAGTTTGCTAGTGTGGGCAGAGTCTCTATCCAAGCTGGAAACACCCTTTTTAAGACATTATATGAACTATTTATAATTTTGCTCTCTTTGCAGTCACTGTAAATAGTCTTGAAATCATGGACTATTGAAGCAGGAAGGAACCCCATGGACCACAGGGCAGAACTTTCATTTTGCAGCTGAGGAAATTGAAGTTCTGAAAGGTTACCCAAGGCCACACAGCTGGCTGGATAAACAGCCAATACTTAATTCCAGGGCTTCTCATGCTCAGTTCAATGCTCTATGCCCTGCCATCCTAAGATAGAGTGACCAATTGCCCCTGTTTGTCTGGGACTACCCTGGTTATAAAATTGAACATCCCATGTCTCAGGAAACCCTTCAGTTTTGGCCAGACCAGGGTGGTTAGTCACCTTAAAAGATAAATGCGTTTCTATTTATATCCCTACAACTTTTGAAACAGCAGTTTTCATGGCTCACCATGGCAAAAATTCACCAGGCAATAGGCTGGCCAAAAGAACTTTGGAATAAAGAGCAGCCTTAACATTAAGAAGTGGTGTCTTTCTGGCATTGTAGTAAGAGAGAAGAGTAAGAACCTCTTCATTTTCCAACCTCACCTGTGACTATTATACCTGACATAGGTCCCACATTATGTGATCAGCCCCTGCCTACCCCACCACCACAATATTAGGGCAGCCAGATCAGTGGCAAAATCTACAATGGGTCTCCATTTCCCAAGACCAATTATAATCTGGAAAAATGTTCCAAAAGAGAAAGTCGGAGTGGGGTTTAACTCCAGCCAATTTAGCTTCCCACCATTACCCCCACACACAAAAAGAGTGTGGCTTGGCCTAGAGCATACCAAGATAACAAATATACAAATTTTAGAAAAATTAAAATATCTGCTTCCCTCCAAAAAATCATCAGAAAGCAAAAAGGAAGCTCTTCTGGCAAGGCATAGTGGTTCACACCTGTAATGCCAGCATTTTGGGAGGCTGAGATGAGCCCAGGAGTTTGAGGCTGCAGTGAGTTATTATTTTACCACTGTACTCCAGCCTGACTGACTGAGTGAGACCCTGCCTAGAAAAAAAAAAAAAATTGAGAGAGAGAGAAGTAAGCCCTTTTGAGCATCTTAGTTGGAACAAAACAGAAAAGAAAATGAATACAAATTCATTTTGCTTTCCTTGGAGAGGTGGGGGTAGGCTGAGAAAACATCTAGGAGACAAAAGGCCCATAGTACCCAGCAGCAAGAGGCCCTTGTGCAAAGGACTATGATTCCAATCTGGGGTGTGGAGGGGGTTCTTTTGGGGCCTTCCTCCAGCTCAGCTTTGGCCTGGCTGCTAGACACTGTCCCTGACAGCCCAGCCTCCTCTTCCTCACAGTTACTGTCTTCATCATGCAGCCCTGGCAGCCATATTCCAGGCAGCCCAGAGGTGTCTGAGCCTCAGCTTCCAAACATCATGTGGATGGTATCAGGGAACTCAATTCCAAAGTAAGCTGCCCTGGTCTTGTTTCAAAAAAAACTTTTAAATGCCTTCTGAGAAGAGAGGCAATGAGACAAATATCATGTTGTTCTTGTTCCGGGACTCAACATTTCATATAAAAATATTCCTCTTTCTGGGAAGTAAATAGTTTGTTTATTCTTTGCTGTTTTTTCCCCATTGATTTTATTTTGAAGGAACTTGTGAAAAAACCATTTTTTTCACCAATTTCATTCACACTAGAGAAATAACAATACCTTACTTTATTACTTTGTACTTTATTCCTTCGCTTTTTTGAAGACTCTCTTAGTCTGCATGGAGCTAAAAGACATGGAATAAAGTCTTTTATATAAAAAATTGCTTTTCTTAAAAAGTTTATAGTTCTTAGCAATATGTTAATAAATGTGTTCCACATGTGATGTAGCTTCCTGTAAATTTTCTTTTCTGAAAGCTAATGGAACCCTGCAAAACATCAAAGGTGTCAATGAGCCTGGCTAAGAATAACATAAATTAGAGCTAATGCACTTTCTGTGGATTGGAAAGATGAAATTATAATTTCAATTGGAAGCATTCTCTGGCTCCATACCTCCAGATCCTAGTAAATCTCCCGTTTGAATATTTGTACCTCTGAGGCTTCTTGATTAAATCAGAGCCCCAGAGGCTACCTGCCTTCCACTGGTTTTGCAGACTGACTTTTCCACTGAGTGCATAATATGATACAATGATACACTAATATATCCTCAACCCTATTGGTTTAGTTTTATCTTGTTGTTACGGTTGTTTTATTTTGTTTCATTTTAGGAAGTTTCTCTGGAAAGAATACTAGACTTAAAATGTGAAGACTGGGTTTGAACCCCCGTTCTACCACTAATTGACTTGAACTTGAGCAATTTCTCTGCGTGTCAGTTTCCTATCTGGTGAAACTGCAATAATGACACAATTATACAGGTTTATTGGAAAATTACCATAGGACAGTAAAGTGCTGACATGCAGTAGGTGCTTGGATATTTATGGGACGCTTCAGAGGAACAATTATCTGAATATCAAATATTTTTTGTGCCTATCACTGTAAAAAGAACCTCGAGCAGGACACAAAAATAAGACCTTGACCTCAAATAGATTGCAATCTCATAATAGCTAGCCTCCATTGAGCACCTATTATGTAGCATGTAGTACACTAAGTACTTTAACATGCATTGTCTTAATTCTCATAACAACCCTGTGAGGTCAACATCATTACAGTCATTTTACAGGTGAGAAAAGTGAAGCTTAGAAATGTTAAATAGAACTCCCAATGTCACACAACTAACAAGTGGCAGACCTGGAACTGGAGCACAGGTTTGTCTGTCTTCCTACAGCACTGCATACAATGGAAGCTGAGAAAGCTTTAAACACACATGCATGCATGCACATACCCACACACACACACACCCACACCCCCCCTCCCACACACACACACACACAAACACAATTATATTCCAGATTGTTCCCCACTCTTATTCAGGACACAGAGGGTTAAAGAGATGATGACAAAATAGCATAAACAGCTGGTTCCAAGGTGCTAGTTGCTCTTCTCTGATACCATTTTGTTTTTGCTCTGCAGCTGTACCAGAAAGTTTTTGTTCTCCCAAGAAAATACTGAACTGAAAAGATAATTGGTATTCAAGACACACATGTTTTCTACCAGCAAATAAGAAGAAAGCACAACAGTATTCTTGAAGGATGCTGATTTTTTTGTGTTTTGCAATTCTGCATTTTCAAAAACGACATCTGTTTTGTGAGTGACTAAAAACTCTGGGGGAAGAATTTGTAAAAGGAAATAAAATTGTGTTTCTGAGCATTTTGCTCCTTACTGCCTTCAAATGATATTTGTTTAGTTGGCCCATTTTTCCAAAAACATTGTCAAGGCAGAAGTTTCCTGTTTCCTGCGCTCATTTCTGACAGGTTTGAAATGATGTTCCAGTGGCAAATGTTTTAAGTTTCTTCTAGCACTCTTTTCCTATGTATCAAATCATCTTTTCTTTCAAGCACTCAAAAAAATTGTGCCTTCTAGGAGCATAAATGAATATAATGCATTACATTTATGTTGTGTGTTTCGAGAAAGAACTCAGCAGTATTTTACTGTCTTCGCTTTTCTAGGCTGTTCATTTTTTGCCAGTGCATCAACAAATAAAAAAATTTGAGAGAGCCATTTCTTATTCAGCCCCATGTCTTTGATTTATCACTTCCTATTCCATAAATTTCCTGTCTCTGCTTCACACAAATAAAAAGATGTAGTAATTCATGTAGTTTGTCAGCCAAATCCCAGTTTTAGAGAAGAATAAATGTTAGGGAAGGTCATTAGAGGGAGTTCCCTCTGCAAATGGTGCAGCGTGAGGTTGAACCACACCCCCTCCAACTCTCAAATCTGTACATGGCCATTCTGAAAGAATCCCCTTCCGAATCCAAAAAAAAAAACACACTCATGACAGCTTCCAAGGTATAACTGGCAGAATCAACAGTCTTCAAGGTAGGCACAAAACTCATAGACTATAGGTGTGGGTCTTTATCCCCAATCCTGCTTTTGCCCAAAATTTATGGAGCCAGCCATCACAGAGAAATAAAATCTAATGAATCTCTGAGAACTTTCATGAGACAGAAATCTTGTAAGTTGTCCTGGCGATTTAGTTCTCATTTATCTAGTCCTATAATTCACAAACCTTAAACCATGTTTGCTCAATACTTCTTTCTCTAAATTTATGTGTGTCATTTTTGTTTGATATCTTAGTGATACACAGTTCAACTTTCTTTGGGTTTTAGGCATTGGCCAGCCAAGTGCACCTGCCTTAGCATTTGCTTCTCTGCACAACTCTTCTGCCCTTTGGTATCCATTGACTTCGTGTCTCCTCTTCGGAAACACATAAGCAGAAGGTCCCAGACTGCTTCACGTACCAGATGGTACTACCATTACAAGCCTGGAGAGACCAAAGTCACAGATGAGGCTACCCAGGAAAAAATAATAGACCTCATTGTTGACTCACTCTTGGGGTCAAAGTTCTCACTGGCAAAGGCCAACAGAAGGCTATCACCAAACGCTGTTCACAGATAAAGAAATTTAAATGCACTTAATAAAAGTACCATACTTTCCAAAAACTCATAAGGAGAATAGGAGTTTGGCCATGTCTGAAGATCTGTGACTGGGACCTAGACTAGGCATCACTCTACCTTTTAAACAGCTCCTGAGGTGGCCAGTGAGTGACTCTGCATTACAAGATAGACTGTGCCAGCTCCCCACAGAGCTGCCCTGCTGAGGAATCCCAGGACTACAAGCTCTGATGTAACCTGAAGGACAGGCCTCACTTGTTCCAGTGGGCCAGGGCTGAGGGTTTCAGATTCATTTTGAAGTCACAATTTATCACAAGAAAAATCGAAAATAGGCACAGTGACCTCATCCATTGTGCCCATGTCATGTCATGTCATGTACAGCTTCATTCTTTAGAGAAGATGCCCTGAAGCCATTTAGACAAATCCATGGCTTTAAATATTTTCATTTGCTTTTTTTTTGCTTCCCACTGTTTACATCCCATTTGTTCCATTTTGTAAAATAGAATGATTTTCTTAGATGTTGTCAGGAATTCCAATTATTTTCCTTTAAGAATTGTCTGTTTATTCTTCATACTTACGTATTATCACTGTTTTCAATTTACTAATCTTTTTTCACCCTCCATTTTTATTGTGAATTTGTACTCTTTCCATATACATTCCTACTTGAACATTGACTGTGAATGTCATGGTCTCTCCTCACCTTTTCAAATCTTACTGGACCCTCAAGGTCCATTTATAAATCCCAAATCCTGCACCTAACCATCTGAGCTATCATGAGCTCATGTTGATCTCTTCACCTGGAAATTGTCCACAGCATGATGGCATACAACAACAGCATATTAGTTTCAACTGGATGTGCTACATTGAACCAAGTGAAAACCATCTTCCATTAGCAGTAAGCACAGAATTAGGCACAGAATAAACATTCCATAAACACTTGTCAAATTAAACACAATTAGCCAGAGGAAGATTAGAGGTGTAGGTAAGACCAAGAAGGCTTCATTTATTCATATATTCATTCAACTGTGTTTATGAAGCATCTAAGCTTAGGAGAAACAAAGACATATGTCATCAACACTGTTCCCTAAAATATCTAGTGGGAAGAATACAACATGAACAAACAGATGCATTAATGTGGCACTACAGATTAATTAAAAGGGGCAGTAGGAGCACAATGGAGAAAGTGGTCAATTCTACCCAGATTCAAGACTGACTCCCTGAAGAAAGCAAGACTGTAGCTAGGTTTAAAACAAAAAAAAATGGGTGTGTATTCAACCTAATGGATGGAGAAGAAGGATGAGAGAATGTTCTGGACAAGAGAGCAGTTTGAACAAAGTCAGAATGAAATATTAACAATCTGCCAAGATACTAATTCAGTAGGTCTAAGATAGAAACCAGAAATTAGCCTCTTCAGCAAGCATCCCCTGGGTAATTCTGATGCAGGTAGACCCAGAATCACACTTTCAGAAACACTGCTCCACATTCTAGTTTTTAAAGGACTTGCTCAGAAATATTTGATTGTGGATAAAATGTCTCATTTGGCTTGGTGAGAAAGAGCAGCTACTTTCATTCAGACAGTTCTTTCCTCCACAGTCTTGCCTGAGTAAACCTTCCAAAATATTGAATTCAGTCATCTTATCTCTTAGCTAATAATCCATCAATGACCAGCCTACTGCCCAGAGAATAACATCCAAGACTTTAGTAAAGCATTCCTGGCTTCACATGAACTGACCTTCCCCCCACCCTCTCCTATGGTCTCACTGCTCAAACTCTACCTTCTAATTATGTTAAAATCCATCCTTCTGCTTCTTCTTATTGTTGTTATAAGGATATGAAAATTTAAGATATACAGAAAAGGCTTTATTAAATAAGGTTATTGTTCTTATAGAAACATAGGATCAATTTAAGTATTAACTGTGAAGTCCCAGAGCATTTTCCTTCTGTCTGTGGAATGTTGAATTGTTTCATAAATATCATTCAGCCAAAAGAGTTCAAATCTGAGAGAATGTTTACAAATATAGCATGAAATGATGAGAATGCAAAAGCAAAAATCATCCTAATACCCTATTCCTAATAAATATATGTACACACACGTGTATGCCCACACACGCACAAAAGCATTCATAGACATACACAGCACACACACACACGCACGCACACTCACACACACACACACACAGATGTCTCATACCACTGGAAGGCATCCTGGAATCTGTGCATCACCAAAATATTCAGTGATGAAGACATTTTCTTCCTGGCACATTAGAGAGAGAAACTGAGACCAGACAGCTAGTAAGATAAGACACACTCTCCCTTTAGGAGCACATGCTGCTTTGGCAAACACAAATATCACTCACTCACACACACATGTACTCAAGCCTGTGCATAATTCTCTTGACAACTCCAACTTATAACATTAGCATATGAATGCTGAGGCTTACAGTGATATTCACCCACCAAATGGAGTTTATAATATAAATGCAATGAAAAGTATCTGAAAGCTTACTCTTCACTCTGAATTGAGTCTGTCAGAGCCTGTATATGAAATATATATAATATCTGTATAGAACCCAGTGTAAATATATTCTTCTTGCATGCATCCATGGAGGAAAACTGAGATGGTCAGGACAGTACTAAATTCATACTTCCTTCCTAAATAATGCATGAAATAAATGGCTCAAATTTCTTGGCTTTATGTATGTATATCTCCCCCTGTTTCCAATATTTCATGTGTATTAGTCCAAATGCAATTTTTTTCAAGGTCTTTCTGTCTTCATTTTATTTTGTTAGATGTCCTTTTCCTAGCTGCCAAGAATTATTCACAACTCCAGGAAAAAGATTTTACAAATGTATCCATAATCTACTCAAACAAAACCCGGGAATTATTAGTGTATGTGATATGTCTTTCCCAATAGATTATATGTTCCTTAAAGGGAAAGATATTGATTTATTAATCTTTAAAGTCACGTCATCTTTTAAGTCATGTGCCTAAAGAAACAACAATTTATTATGTCACTTGATTCCATGGGTTGGTTGGGTGGCCTCTCTCGAGCCTTCACTTGGGATCATCTTGTGGCTCCATTCATCTAGAATGGTTGGCAGGCTACAAGATTCTAGCTTCACTCAGGTGCTGGCTGTCAGCTGAGTTTGCTTGGTCCTCTTCCACGTGGCCTCTCTTCCTCCAGTCAGCTAGACAACCTTCCTACAGCTATCCTAGGGTGAAATTGCAAGTCCTCTGACAGCCTTCCCTCACACTACATCATTTCCACCAAGTTTTGATAGTCAAAGAAAGTCAGAGGCCTAGCCCAGGCACAGATGAAGGGAAGACAGATGCCACTGTACCATGGGAGGACTGGCAAAGTCACCCGGCAAGGGGGCACGCACACAGAGATAGCAAGAAGTGTTGTAGTCATCCTTGCAAACAATTGACCACACTAACCCAGAGCTAAAATGCAACTATATGGCAGGCAAAAGTCATTTCTGGAAATCTCATTCATTCATCCATTTATTCATTCACTCTTTTAACAAACACTCATCAAGTTCATACAATGTAATGAGTACTTTGTCAGGCTCTGGAAATAAAGTCAACAAGAGGGAGAGTGAATTCTTGACCTCATGCAATTTATAAAGAATAAATAAATGAGTGAGTGAAAGAAAAGTGATAGGCAGTTGGTTGGAACTTGCAGAGATAAGGCTTTAAATTCTAGACAACTTTTTTAGTTAAAAGTTTGCATATTTTAAAATGCCTTAATTACTTATTGGGGTTAAAGAACCTAAACCAGGATACTCTAAAGGGACTAAAGTCAGAGTTGAATCCCAAGGAGTTGGGGCTGAAGCAGAGATTTTCTGTTGAAGGCAACATGAGCTACAGGAACCAGAGGGGTTGGCTCAGTTTTGAATATGGGAGACACCAAGACAACTGTAAGAGTCAAGGTTTGCAGGAAACAGAAAGCATGCTAGGCAGGGAATTTGAGGAGAATTTAATGAAGAGATTATATGTAGCATTAGGGGCAAAATTGAAGAAAATAAGAGGAGATACTTAGATACCCAGAAATAAGCAACAGCAGGAAGTCATTACTTAGGCCTGAAACAACAAACAGAAGAAATATTTTTACCAAAGCTGGATGAGAGCTGAAGCTGTGGGAAAGGTCACCCTTAGCAAGAGATACAGTTGTGGAGGTAGCCACTGCCAGAAGAGCAATTCCAAAACACAGAAGTGGCAGGGCAACACAACTGTCTCTCTCCCCCTGCCCTCTCACCTCCTACCTGCCTTTCATTGGTCAAACCTAACTAGAAGCCACGGGTGCACTGCACCCAATGTATCATGGGTTGGCTATGTTACTATTAAACAAAATATAAAGCACTATATATGGAAAAAGTTGAAATTTGAGAGTTAAGGAAAACAATGGAAACACTAGTGAATTTGTGAGCTTGATATGCCTGCAGTTTGTCTGATTATGGATCTCCTATACAGTTGAAAATATGAATCAAGTTCATGGAGGAAAAAATGCAGCTGAAGATAAAGATGTAGAAATCATCAGCTTAAAAGAGTGAAGAGAGAAAAGAAATGGGAGGAAAATAGGAAACGTCACATAAATGTGAGACATGTCAGATGGAGCCCCTTGCCCCTTGGAGACCAGTGCTTACTTGGCATGAGCCCCAGCCCACTCCTCAGCCGCTGGATGTCTGATAATTGCCTCAAGATTCCTTGCAAAACTCTGGGGGTTGATGGAAATTTCACTTGTATCATTCTTATAGTCTGTCTTGTTTTCTTCCATGCATCTCTCTGGGCATGCAGCTCAACCCTTCTCTCAGTTTCCACAAAAACCTACTCATTTCAAATACTTCACCAGTTTTAAAAGAATTTACTCAAGATATATATGCTTGCTGGATGAGAAACATCAGTCTCCTGCCATAATTTTTTTCCTTCCATTCCTGTTTCTTGTCTCCTCTCTCCAGAGCATATACTCCAACCCGACTCTCATCCTCCAAGTTCCTCCAGGCAGACTAGCTTCTCCTTTCTTCTGAAATATTAACACTAACTAAGGGATGGTACTCATCTTCTACCAAACTCACCAAGGCCCTTAGCAGAACCAAAGCCTGAGCACTAACATGACCATTCTCTCCAGAAAGGAGACAAGGAGGTATCACATGCTGCCTTCACTATTATAATCCATCAGAGTTCTGTGGCTACACAGCTCACTCTGGTCAAATTGTGTCCTCTAAGATGTAACAAACCCCCAAAGTGAAAATCTAGCAAACCAGTAGTCTTGAGAAAAAGCATTAGGCATATTCTCCAAGCGTATCTTATATAAATAGTCTACTGCAGTTTCTTTAAAAAAGTGTACCTAAGCTACCAGAAAATGTTGGAAATTTGGAAAGGGAAATTAAAAGGCCATGTGCTTCTTAAATTTATTTCCTGAACCTTCAAGTATGTAAATGAGGAAAGAAGTGAAAAACAGCAGGTCAGGTTCCCACTTCTTCTATTGAAATGTTATCACAATTTAACATACTAGAAAAGGGGCATGCCTGTGATATGCTAATGACTTCAAACCGGAAAATGTGTGAGTTTTGGGAAAAGCTTGGGAAAAGCTCATTAAAGACTTTAACCTAAGAAAAAAATTCACTTGGTCTGTCCTGTAAACTAGAGCTTTCCTTATCCTTGCCCATTTCCTGTTTTTATATGCTCCAGGAATTTTCCCTGTAGTTTGGTCTTATTTTCTCCTTTAAGCCAAGATTTATAATAGTTTTCCTCCTACATATTTTGTTTGTTTGTTTCCTTGCTAGTTTCTTTGATTTTTGCTTTTGTCCTTTGAAAGAGAGAGAGGTGATCTCTATAGTCACTGTTTGTTCATTCCCTACACTTTTAACACACTGCCAATTCAGATTTTAATGGTTTGGAGAACTATGATGTAAGATATGATTTCAAAAAGGCTTCCATCAGGGTAGGAAGGCTGCCTCAGCCACAGAATTTTTTAAAATATCTTATTATTATGGGAAAGAGTGATATTTTAACCACTTAATACATATCTATTGGGGCAAAGGGCTGTGCTCTTTTCTGAAGCTCTCATCTCTTAGCTTTTTTGGAAGTGACAAGTGCTTTCTCCCAACTGATGTTTAATTTTCTCCTTATAAAACCACTTTTGCAAAAATTATGACAGTGAATGAAATCTAGCATAGCTGACTCCATCTTGCTTCTAACCTCACAAGCTAACCGTCCTTGCTCATTCCTGGGTGAGGCCAAGCTAACCATGGAAGGGATTTAGTTAATAATTTAACTTTGAACCAAGCATGATAAGAATCCCTCCCCAAACTGACTACGCTCCAAGGACTGAATTTGCCTTTGGAAGACTAATGAAAGACCACAGTTTAGGATGATGGGCAGGGCCTGAATTCTGCTAAGATGTAGGTATCATTCAACAATAACCAGACATTGTTCTGGAAGTCACAAGATTTTTAACCTCTCCAGTGGCTCCCATAAATAACATCACTATTGTCACAACCTAAGATTGGTTTTTGAGGCATTTTCCAGACATTTGCATTTGGGCAGACCACCTGATGCCGCTCAGACTTGTGACACATAGCAGGAAACTGGCTCAACCAGTCCCATAACTCCCACCCAGAAATGGACTCAGCACATGCTCAAAGACCATTTTGGACACTCCTATGATTTTATCCCCAATCAGTCATCAGCACCCATTCCCTTGCCCCCTGCTCATCAAATTATCCTTAAAAACACTAGTCTACAAGGTTCTGGGGAGGTGGATTTTAGAATTGACTCCCATCCTTCTGCTTGGCTGGCCTTGCAATAGTTAAACCCTTTTTTGCTGCAAAACCTGCTGGTCTCAGTGCACTGACTTTTCTGGGCAGTGAGCAAGAAGAACCCATCAGGCTGTTACAGTTAGTTGTGTCCTCTTTCTCCTCATAAACATTAATGTTCCTAAGATTGCAATGATGGATAAGTAGGCCTCTCTATGATTTATCTCTCTATAATACTATCTAAAAGAGTGTATGTGTGTGTTAATGTCTGAAACTAAGTGAAAATGGAGAGTTTGAGAAATAAATTTAAGACGCATCAATGTAAAGAACTGAAGTTAAATAGTGTATGTTCTCTAATAACAGAAGAATTAAGCTAAAAACCAATAATAATATATAACTTTAAAATTTGAAAAAATTAAAACACTTTTAAATAGCCATGAGTCAAAAAAAATAGAGACAAATTCCTTGAAAACACAATTTACTAAAATTGTCAACTAAAACAGGGGTTTGCAAATCTGAATAGTACTGTCCTTACTTTAAAAAAAAAAAAAAATATATATATATATATATATAAACACACATATATATATATAGAATTTGAAAACTTTTTACCAAAAAAAATCAGGCTTCAATGGCTTAATTGGTACATTTTCCAAAATCTAAGAAAGGAAAAAAAATACCAATTTTCCAATAATTCAGAAAATTAAAAATGAGGAAACACTATTGAAAGGAATCAAACAATTTCACCCCAAAATATGGTTGTCTTGTATAATAAGTATTCTGAATTAAAACCTTAGAGATCCACAAGCCCTAGAAGAAATTTTTATTCTATCTACATAAAGATAGTACTGACCCACCAAGGAGAACAATTGTTCCTGTTCCCCTCCTTGTTATCTCATTATCCATTACAGAAAAGAAGACCAAAAATGTAATCAGAGCTGAACAGACCCTTTTTTAAGATAAAGACTTTCTCCAAGGGCCATTTAAATTCCAAAGAGAACTATTTATAAGTTAATTTCTGTTCCCCTTCCAATTTTTCTCTCTAGTAATCATTTATTGCCCCTCAACAGAATTCCCTTTCTGCCCCCTCTCATAACCTACTTTACCAAGTTCCAAGCCCCCACTTTTTCTGTAGTCTTAAAATGATATATAAGGTTTTATACTTGATTGGAGGCTTGGATTTTCATTCTGAAAGCTCCCATGTATATATATTAACTAAATTTGTATGCCTTTTCTCCTATTAATCAATCTTCTGCATGCCACTGATTTTTCTGTGAACAATTACAGGGGTCAAGAGCCTTGTTCCCCATACTATTTACTATGTTTTATGAGGACAGCATAACTTTGATACCATAATCTGTCAAAAACATGAAAAAACAGGAATAGCATAAGCCAAACTTCCTTATAAAGACATGTATACAAAACATTTATGTTACCAAATAAATTAGACCAATATAAGAGAAACATAATGTATCATGAAAAAATGAGGTTTATACCAAAAATGCAAGGTTGGTTAACATCATAAAATAAGTCAGTAAAAAACACCATTTCAATAGAATAAACAAAAATCTATATGGTAACCTCAAAGTATACATTAAAAACATTTGACAAAATTAAATGCAAAATAATTACATCGAATTTTAAACTTAAATTAAAAAAAAAAGTTTTAGAAACTGAAAATATAATGTGAAAAATGCATTTGCAAAAACCCAAAGATCATAACAATGACAAAATTTGAAAACTTTCTCTATGCAATCAAAAATGAGACAATAAAATCTTCTATCACTGCAGTTTAATAATTGTCTGGAGGAATTAATTCATAAAATATAGCAAGCAAAAGAAACAAAAACATAACAAGTAAAAAGAGAATAATAAAACTCTATTCAATGACAAATTACTGTATATGTAGAAAACCCAAAATAATATACAGATAAACTATAAGAATAAGTAAATTTAATTTAAAAAGTCACTGTATAATAGTTCAATAAATAAAAATCAACTGTATTTCTGAATATTAGTAATAAAAATGAAATTTTAAAAGTGATCATTACTTACATCAGCATCAAAATGATCAAACATCTAACAATAAATTTTTTTTTTTTTTTTTTTTTTTTTTTTGAGACGGAGTCTCGCTCTGTCGCCCAGGCCGGACTGCGGACTGCAGTGGCGCAATCTCGGCTCACTGCAAGCTCCGCTTCCCGGGTTCACGCCATTCTCCTGCCTCAGCCTCCCGAGTAGCTGGGACTACAGGCGCCCGCCACCGCGCCCGGCTAATTTTTTGTATTTTTAGTAGAGACGGGGTTTCACCTTGTTAGCCAGGATGGTCTCGATCTCGACCTCATGATCCACCCGCCTCGGCCTCCCAAAGTGCTGGGATTACAGGCGTGAGCCACCATGCCCGGCCTAACAATAAATTTAATGAAATGTAAGTAAAACATCTACATAGAAAACTATAAAACTTCACTGAGATAAATTAAATAAGACCTCATTAGTCATGGGATAGACACAGATTGGAAGACTGCTATAACAGAAATGTCAATTTCCTCAAATTAATTCATAGATCTCATGAAACCCCAGTGAAAAACCCAGAGGAATCTTTATTTGGAAATTGACAAGCTGCTTCAAAATCTTCATGGAAATGCAAAAGCCTAACTATAGCAAAAATATTCTTGAATCAGAAAAAAGTTGGAAGACTTTTATATTACCATAAAGCTAGACTCATTATAAAGCTACAGTAACTAAACCATTTGTGGTAATGGCACAAAGATAGACAAATAGAACAACAGAAAAAAATAGAGAATATATAATTACATCTACCAATATACTACATACAAAAATAACTAAATAAACAGAGATGTTCTATGTTCATAAATAGGAAGACAATTTATGATAAAATATCTCAACAATGCAATGAGGAAAGAATAGTCTTTTCAATAAATGATGCTGTGTCAATTTTATATCTATATGGGAAGAAATTAAGATTGGCCCTATCTCATATTTTACCAAATAAAAAAATCAATTCCAGATTAGTAATTCTAAATGAGAAAGGTAATAAGAAAAATATTCTAGATAAAAACACAAGATATTATCTTGATAACATTAAGGTAAGCAAAGATTTCTGAAAGAGGATCCAAAAAAATACTAAGACCCATATTTATAAATTTCTTTTTTATTTAAAATCTTTATGCATCAAAGATACCACAAAGAGTGTAAAAAGATGAAGTACATTGTGAGAGAACATATTTGCAATACAAATACCAAACAAGGGACTCATAACCAGAATATATTAAGTACTCCTACAAATCAATAACTAAGAAAAAAAAAGAGGTAATGCAATTTCTTTAATGCAAAAAACTACAACAGCCATTTTATTTAAAAAGGAGATACAAATGGTTCATAATGTCATGCACGTCCATGTGAAGAGACCACCAACAGGCTTTGTGTGAGCAGCAAGGCTATTTCACCTGGGTGTAGGTGGGCTGAGTCCAAAAAAGGAGTCAGCAAAGGATGGTGGAATTATCATTAGTTCCTATAGGTTTGGGATAGGTGGTGGAGTTAGGAGCAATTTTTTGTGGGCAGGGGTAGATCTTCTTACAAAGTACATTCTCAAGGGTGGGGAGAATATTACAAAGTATCTTCTTAAGGGTGGGGGAGAATATTACAAAGTACCTTTTAAGGGTGGGGAGGGTGTATTGTCAGAAAGTCAATTGATCAATTAGGGTGGGGCAGGAACAAATCAAAATGGTGGAATGTCATCAGTTAAGGCAGGACCTGGCTATTTTCACTTCTTTTGTGGATCTTCAGTTGCTTCAGGCCATCTGGGTGTATACAAGCAGGTCACGGGGATACGATAGCTTAGCTTGGGCTCAGAGGCCTGACACATTATTAGCAATAAGAAAAATATTAATTTTTTTTTTGAGACAGAGTTTCACTCTGTTGCTCAGGCTAGAGTGTAGCAGTGCAATCTTGGCTCACTGCAAACTCTGCCTCCTAGGTTCAAGCAATTCTCATGTTTCAGCTTCTCAAGTAGCTGGGATTACCATGGTGTGCTCCACGATGCCTGGCTAGTTTTTATATTTTTAGTAGAGATGGGGTTTTGTCATGTTGGCCAGGCTGGTCTCAAACACCTGGCCTCAAGTGATCCACTCACCTCAGCTTCTCAATTGCTGGGATTACAGGCATGAGCCACCACATGCGGCCCTGCCATAGGAAAAATGTTAATTAAAACCACATGATGGGAGTGCTTCCAAGATGGCTGAATAGGAACAGCTCCAGTCTGCAGCTCCCAGCGAGATCAATGAAGAAGACGGGTGACGTCTGCATTTCCAACTGAGGTATCTGCTTCATCTCAATGGGACTGGTTGGACAGTGGGTGCAGCCCACAGAGGGCGAGCTGAAGCATGGTGAGGTGTTGCCTCACTCGGGAAGAGCAAGGGGTCAGGGGATTTCCCTTTCCTAGCCAAGGGAAGACCTGACAGACTGTACCTGGAGAAACAGTACAATCCTGACCAAATGCTGCACTTTTCCCATGGTCTTAGCATCCGGCAGACCAGGAGTTACTCTCCTGTGCCTGGCTCGGTGGATCCCACGCCTACAGAGCCTTGCTCACTGCTAGTACAGCAGTCTGAGATCAACCTGCAAAGCTGCAGCTTGACGGGGGAGGGGCATCCGCCATTGCTGAGGCTTGAGTAGCTCACAGTGTAAACAAAGTGGCCAGGAAGCATGAACTATGGGGAGCCCACTGCCACTCAGCAAGGCCTACTGCCTCTGTAGATTCCACTTCTGGGGACAGGGAATATCTGAACAAAAGGCAGCAGACAGCTTCTGCAGACTTAAACGTCCCTGTCTGACAGCTCTGAAGAAAGTGGTTCTCTCAGCACAGTATTGGAGCTCCAAGAATGGACAAACTGCCTCCTCAAGCGGGTCCCTGATCCCTGTGTAGCCTGACTAGGAAACATCTCCCAGTAGGGGCCGGCAGATATCTCAAACAGGTGGGTGCCCCTCTGGGACAAAGCTTCCAGAGGAAGAATCAGGCAGCAATATTTGCTGTTCTGCAGCCTCCACTGGTGATACCCAGGTAAACAGGGTCTAGAGTGGACTTCCAGCAAACTCCAACAGACCTGCAGCTGAGGGGTCTGACTGTTAGAAGGAAAACTAACAAACAGAAAGGAATAGCATCAACATCAACAAAAGGAACATCCACACCAAAACCCCACCTGTAGGTCACCAACATCAAAGACCAAAGGTAGATAAAACCACAAAGATGGGGAGAAGCCAGAACAGAAAAACTGAAAATTCCAAAAAACAGAGTGCCTCTTCTCCTCCAAAGGATAGCAGCTCCTTGCCAGCAAGGGAACAAAACTGGTTGGAGAACAAGTTTGATAGGTTGACAGAAGTAGGCTTCAGAAGGTCGGTAATAACAAACTTTTCCGAGCTAAAGGAGCAGGTTCCAACCCATCGCAAGGAAGCTAAAAACCTTGAAAAAAGATTAGATGAATGGCTAACTAGAATAAGCAGTGTAGAGAAGACTTTAAATGACCTGACGGAGCTGAAAAACATGGCAGGAGAACTTCGTGACGCATGCACAAGCTTCAATAGCCAATTCGATCAAGTGGAAGAAAGGATATCAGTGATTGAAGATCAAATTAATGAAATAAAGCGAGAAGACAAGATTAGAGAAAAAAGAGTGAAAAGAAATGAACAAAGCCTCCAAGAAATATGGGACTATGTGAGAAAAACAAATCTATGTTTGATTGGTGTACCAGAAAGTGATGGGGAGAATAGAACCAAATTAGAAAACACTCTTCAGGATATTATCCAGGGGAACTTCCCTAACCTAGCAAGTCAGGCCAACATTCAAATTCAAGAAATACAGAGAACACCACAAAGATACTCCTTGAGAAGAGCAACCCCAAGATACATAATTATCAGATTCACCAAAGTTGAAATGAAGGAAAAAATATTAAGGGCAGCCAGAGAGAAAGGTTGGGTTACCCACAAAGGGAAGCCCATCAGACTAACAGTGGATCTCTTTGCAGAAACCTACAAGCCAGAAGAGAGTGGAGGCCATTATTTAACAGTCTTAAAGACAAGAATTTTCAACTCAGAATTTCATATCCAGCCAAATTAAGCTTCATAAATGAAGGAGAAATAAAATCCTTTATAGACAAGCAAATGCTGAGAGATTTTGTCACCACCAGGAATGCCTTACAAGAGCTCCTGAAAAAAGCACTAAACATGGAAAGGAACAACCGGTACCAGCCACTGCAAAAACATGCCAAATTGTAAAGACCATTGATGCTATGAGGAAACTGCATCAATTAACAGGCAAAATAACCAGCTAACGTCATAATGACAGGGTCAAATTCAAACATAACCATATTAACCTTAAAAGTAAATGGGCTAAATGTCCCAATTAAAAGACTGGCAAATTGGATAAAGAGTCAAGACCCAGTGTGCTGTATTCAGGAGACCCATCTCACGTTCAAAGATGCACACAGGCTCAAAATAAAGGGATGGAGGAAGATCTACCAAGCATATGGAAAGCAAAAAAAAAAGCAGGGGTTGCAATCCTAGTCTCTGATAAAACAGATTTTAAACCAACAAAGATCAAAAGAGACAAAGAAGGCCACTACATAATGGTAAATGGACCGATTCAACAAGAAAGGCTAACTATCCTAAACATATGTGCACCCAATACGGGAGCACCCAGATTCATAACGCAAGTCCTTAGAGACCTACAAAGAGACTTAGACTCCCACACAATAATAATGGGAGACTTTCACACATCAGTATCAGTATGGACAGATCAATGAGACAGAAGGTTAACAAGGATATTGAGGACTCAAACTCAGCTCTGTGCCAAGCAGACCTAATAGACATCTGCAGAACTCTCCACTCCAAATCAAAAGAATATACATTCTTCTCAGCACCACATTGCACTTATTCTAAAATTGATCACATAATTGAAAGTAAAACACTCCTCAGCAAATGTAAAAGAACAGAAATCAAAACAAACTGTCTCTCAGACCACAGTGCAATCAAATTAGAACTCAGGATTAAGAAACTCACTCAAAACCACACAACTCCATGAAAACTGAACAACCTGGTTCTGAATGACTACTGGGTAAGTAACAAAATGAAAGCAGAAATATAGATGTTCTTTGAAACCAATGAGAACAAAGACACAAGGTACCAGAATTTCTGGGACACATTTATAGCAGTGTATAGAGGGAAATTTATAGCACTAAAAAATGTCTGCAAGAGAAAGCAGGAAAGATCTCAAATCGACACTTTAACATCACAATTAAAAGAAATAGAGAAGCAAGAGCAAACACATTCAAAAGCTAGCAGAAGACAAGAAATAACGAAGATCAGAGCAGAACTGAAGGAGATAGAGACATAAAAAAACGCTTCAAAAAATCAATGAATCCAAGAGCTAGTTTTTTGAAAAGATCAACAAAATTGATAGACTGCTAGCAAGACTAATAAAGAAGAAAAGAGAGAAGAATCAAATAGATGCAATAAAAAATGATAAAGGGGATATCACCACCGATCCCACAGAAATACAAACTACCATGAGAGAATACTATAAACACTTCTACACAAATAAATTAGAAAATCTAGAAGAAATGGACAAATTCCTGGACACATACACCCTCCAAGACTAAACCAGGAAAAAGTTGAATCTCTGAATAGACCAATAACAGGTTCTGAAATTCAGGCAATAATTAATAGCCTACCAACCAAAAAAAGCCCAGGACCAGAAGGATTCACAGCCGAATTCTACCAGAGGTACAAAGAGGAGCTGGTACCATTCCTTCTGAAACTATTTCAATCAATCAAAAAAGAGGGAATCCTCCCTAACTCATTTTATGAGGCCAGCATCATCCTGATACCAAAGCCTGGTAGAGACACAACAAAAAAAGAATTTTAGGCCAATATCCCTGATGAACATAGATGTGAAAATCCTCAATAAAATACTGGCAAACCGAATTCAGCAGCATATCAAAAAGCTTATCCATCACAATCAAGTCAGCTTCATCCCTGGGATGCAAGGCTGGTTCAACATATGCAAATCAATAAATATAATCCATGACATAAACAAAACCAATGACAAAAACCAGATGATGTCAATAGATGCAGAAAAGGCCTTTGACAAAATTCAACAGCACTTCATGCTAAAAAATCTCAATAAACTAGGTATTGATGGAATGTATCTCAAAATAATAAGAGCTATTTATGACAAACCCACAGCCAGTATCATACTGAATGGGCAAAAACTGGAAGCATCCCTTTGAAAACTGACACAAGACAAGGATGCCTTCTCTCGCCACTCCTATTCAACATAGTGTTGGAAGTTCTGGCTAGGGCAATCAGGCAAGAAAAAGAAATACAGGATATTCAATTAGGAAAAGAGGAAGTCAAATTGTCTCTGTTTTCAGATGACATGATTGTATATTTGGAAAACCCCATCACCTCAGTCCAAAATCTCCTTACGCTGATAAGCAAATTCAGCAAAGTCTCAGGATACAAAGTCAATGTGCAAAAATCACAAGCATTCCTATACACCAATAATAGACAAATAAAGAGCCAAATCATGAGTGAACTCCCATTCGCAGTTACTACAAAGAGAATAAAATACTTAGGAATCCAACTTACGAACGATGTGAAGGACTCTTTAAGGAGAACTACAAACCACTGCTCAACGAAATAAAAGATGACACAAACAAATGGAAGAACATTCCATGCTCATGGATAGGGAGAATCAATATTGTGAAAATGGCCATACTGCCCAAGGTAACTTATAGATTAAATGCGATCCCCATCAAGCTACCAATAACTTTCTTCACAGAATTGGAAAAAACTACTTTAAAGTTCATATGGAACCAAAAAAGAGCCCACATTGCCACGACAATCCTAAGCCAAAAGAACAAAGCTGGAGGCATCACGCTACCTGACTTCAAACTATACTACGAGGCTACAGTAATGAAAAAAGCATGGTACTGGTACCAAAACAGATATATAGACCAACAGAAGAGAACAGAGACCTCAGAAATAACGCCACACATCTACAAACATCTGATCTTTGACCAACCTGACAAAAACAAGCAATGGGGAAATTATTCCCTATTTAATAAATGGTGCTGGGAAAACTGGCAAGCCATATGTAGAAAGCTGAAACTGGATCCCTTCCTTACACCATATACAAAAATTAACTCAAAATGGATTAAATACTTAAATGTCAGACCTAACGCCATAAAAACCCTAGAAGAAAACCTGGGTAATACCATTCAGGACATAGGCATGGGCAAAGACTTCATGACAAAAACACCAAAAGCAGTGGCAACAAAAAACAAAATTGATAAATGGGATCTAATTAAACTAAAGAGCTTCTGCACAGCAAAAGAAACTATCATCATCAAAGTGAACAGTCAACCTACAGAATGAGAGAAAATCTTTGCAATCTACCCATTTGACAAAGGGCTAATATCAAAAATCTACAAACAACTTAAACAAATTTACAAGAAAAAACAAACAACCCCATCAAAAAGTGGGCAAAAAATATGAACAGACACTTCTCAAAAGAAGACATTTATGCAGCCAACAGACACATGAAAAAATAGTCATCATCACTGGTCATCAGAGTAATGCAAATCAAAACCACAATGAGATACCATCTCAGGCCAGTTAGAATGGCGATCATTAAAAAGTCAGGAAACAACAGATGCTAGTGAGGATGTGGTGAAATAGGCATGATTTTACATTGCTGTTGGGAGTGTAAATTAGTTCAATCATTGTGGAAGACAGTGTGGTGATTCCTCAAGGATCTAGAACTAGAAATACCATTTGACCCAGCTATCCCATTACTGGGTATATACCCAAAGGATTATAAATCATGCTACTATAAAGACACATGCACATGTATGTTTATTGTGACACTATTCAGAATAGCAAAGACTTGGAACCAATGCAAATGTCCATCAGTGATAGACTGGATTAAGAAAGTGTGGCACATATACACCATGGAATAATATGCAGCCATAAAAAAGGATGAGTTCATGTCCTTTGCAAGGACGTGGATGAAGCTGGAAACCATCATTCTAAGCAAGCTATCACAAGGACAGAAAACCAAACACCGCACGTTCTCACTCATAGGTGGGAGTTGAACAATGAGAACACATGGACACAGGGCAAGGAACATCACACACCAAGGCCTGTCGGGGGGTGGGAGACTGGGGGAGAGATAGCATCAGGAGACATATCTAATGTAAATGACGAGTTGATGGGTGCAGCAAACCAATGTGGTACATGTATACCTATGTAACAAACCTGCACATTGTGCACATGTACCCTAGAACTTAAAGTATAAAAAATAAATAAAATAAAATAAAAATAAATAAATAAATAAATAAATAATGCCTCCTGGAACTAATGAACAATGATAGCAGTGTTGCAGGGTACAAGGTTGGTATACAAAGTCAATTGCTTTCCTAAATATTAGCAAAAAACACGTGGGATTTGAAATTAAAAACACATTTACCATTTATATTACCACCCCCCAAAAATGAAATACTTAGCTTTAAATCTAACAAAATATGTATGAGATCTATATATGGAAAACTACAAAACTCTGATAAAAGATATATAAAAAGAATGAAATAAATGGATGTTCTATGTTCATGAATAGGAAGACTCAATATTATCAAAATGTTGGTTCTTTCTAACTCAAACTATAGATGTAATGAAATTCCAATCAAAATCTCAGCAGGTTATTTTGTACATATAAGCAAACTGACTTTAAAGTTTATATGAAGAAGTAAAAGACCCAGAATAGCCAACTAATAATGAATGAGAAGAAAAATGCTGGATGTTACTTGAATTCAAGACTTACCCCAAAGCTACAATAATCAACAGTGTGCTATGGCAAAGGGATAGACAAATAAATTAATGGAATAGAACAGAGGGCCCAGAATTAGAACCACATAAATATTATCAACCAATGTTTGACAAAGGAGCAAAGGCAATACAATGGAGAGAAGATAGTCTTTTCAAAACAATGATGCTGACATCCACATGCAAAAAAAAAAAAAAAAAAAAAAAAAAAAAGAATCTAGACCCAGATCTTGCATCCTTTACAAAAATTAACTCAAAATACATTATAGACCCAGATATAAAATTTTAAAACTATTAAATTTCTAGAAAATAACAGAAAAAAACTTAGATGACCTTCGGTATGGTGATGACTTTTTAGGTAAAACATCAAAGACACAATACATGAAAAAAAATTGATATATTGAACTTCATTCAGATTGAAAACTTTGACTCTGTTAAAGAAATGTCAAGAGAATGAGAAGGCAAGAAACAGACTGGGAGAAAATATTTACAAAAGAAACATCTAATAGAAGATTTTTAACCAAAATATACAAAGTACTCTTAAAACTCAACAATAAGAAATGTTACAACCCAATTAAAACAGGGGTAAAAAACCTGAATTGACACTTTACCAAAGAAGATATAAAGATGGAACGTAAGCATATAAAAAGATGTTCAACATATGTCACTAGGTAATTGCAGATTAAAACGACGAGCTACAACTGCATACCTACTCGGATGGTTAAAATCCAAAATATGGACAACACCAAATGCTGGCAAGGATGTGGAACAGGAACTCTCTTTCATTGCTGGTGGAAATGCAAAATGCTATAGCCACTTTGGAAAACAGTTTCCCAGTTTTTTACAAAACTAAACATAGCATTCATTACCATATGATCCAGAAATCACGCTCCATGGTATTTATGCAAATGAATCCAAAATATATGTTCACACCAAAAATTGAGCATAGCTGTTTATAGCAGCTTTATTCATAATTGCCAAAATATTGAAGTAACCAAGATGTCCTTTAGTAGATGAATGAAATGAACTGTGGTACAGCTGGACAATGGAATATTATTCAGCACTAAAAAGAAATGAGCTATCAAGCTATAAAAAGACTCAGGGGAAACTTAAATGCATATTTCTAGGTTTAAAAAGCCAGTTTTGAAAGACTACATACTGTATGATTCCAGCTATACATCATTCTGGAAAAGGGAAAACCATGGAGACACTTAAAAAATCAGTGGTTGCCAGAGGTTAAGAGGAGTTGACAGATGAATGGACGGTGCACAGTTGATTTTTAGGGAGTAAAATTATTCTGTATTATACTGCAATGATGAATACATGTTATTATAAATTTCAAAAAATTCATAAAATTTCCAACAACAAGTGAATCCTAATGTACTTTGTAATAATGTGTCAATGTAAGTTCATCTCTTGCAATAAATGTAAAACTATGATGTAAGATGTTGATAGTAGAGCAGGTTGTATACATGTGGAAGCAGGAGTTACATGGGAACTCTATGCTTGCAGCTCAATGGCACTATGAACCTAAAACTATTCTAAAAAATAAAATTTATTATTTTTAAAAAATGAGATGCCAGCAAAAAAAAAATGACAGTAAGAACACGTAAAATTCCTCTTCTGTATAAAAGCAATAAGAACTATAGAAAAAAATGGTTGAAATCAACTTTTCAGCACTCTGGAAATTAATCAAAGACTTGCAGCAAAAACAGGGAATATTTATGCAAGGAAAAAAACAATATCTTGATAAGGAAAGTGAGTTTTGTTGTAGTTTAACTTATCTATCTTCATACCTTTTTTCAGTCCTGCTGTAACTTTGAACATCAATAGATCACAATCATGGTAAAAACCAGTAGTCTGACAGTCCATGGAGGAAGAAGAAAAAGATTGGAGGTAGTACAAGGTTGCATTCCCAAAGAACGGTTATAATTTGTCATCTCTGGTGGTTCCGTAAAAGAACCCACTCACGAAGTTGTCTTAATTTGACCTGACTTGAACAGCCTTCTTGCCAGGAGAATTTTCTAAAAACAATTAGACAATTGAATGTTGTGGCATCTTAGGTGGTGAATAAGATGGCACAAACCATAGACTAACAAAAAGGTTAAAAGAAAAATCTTGGAAATGAGATGTCCAAAAGGGACTTTGATAAACTTTAACACATACTTGGGAATCTAGAAGGCTATGTGAAAATATAGAGTTGTGAACAGGCTCAGAACCGTATATATACTTGGGAAAGACCTCAGAAGGTCCTAGGCTGTCACTGCTGTCTAAGCACAAGTTTCTCTGTAAGCAAAAAGTGAGGGCTAAGAAAGAGTTTTAAACTATCTGGCTGAGTGTTCAAGAAACTCTTCAACCCAAGAAAAGAACCCCTCAGCAAAGACTGGAAGATGTATTGGTTCCAGGCAATTAATGAAATCTCTATCCAGCTGCTAGCTGACTACTAAGGTAAGCAGAGCAGAGAATTCAGTGTCCATACACAAGGAATATAAACTTTACAGAATTAGTTCAGATAAGTCACTAAACAACAAACAGTAACAACAACAAGAACAGCAAACAACCACAGCAACAAGTTCTGAAGAGGGGGAAGAATCTATTTCCAGAGTTACCACACTACAGTTTTAAATGTCTAGTATTAACAAATAGTTACAAGACATGCAAAGAAAGAAGAAAATATGGCCCATATGCAGGGGGGGAAAAGGTCAATAGAAACCTTCCCAGAGAATACCATATATTGGATTTACTAGAAAAGACTTTAAGTCAGCTATTTTAAATATTAACAAAGAACTAAACAACTAAAGGAAAGTATGAGAATAATATATGACCAAATGTGGAGTATTAATAGATAGAAATAAGAGAAGAAAGAACCAAATAGAAGTTCTGAAGGGGTATAATAAATAAAATTTATAAATCAGTAGAGGATCTCAACAGCAGATTTGAGCAGGGAGAAGAAGGAATCAGTGAACTTGAAGATAGGTCAATTAAGATGGTCCAATCTGAGAAACAGAAAAAAAAAAGAAGAAATAAAAATAAACAGAGTCTCAGATACCTGTTGGCCATTACCAAGCATAACAACATATCCATAATGGGAGTCACAGAAGGAGACAAACGAGAGAAAGGGTAAAAAAAAAAAAAAAATATATATATATATATATATATATATATATATATATATTTAAAGAAATAATGACCACACAAGCTTCCCAAATTTCTAAGATTGAAGATATTCCCTACATATCTAAGAACCTCAATAAACTCCAAGTAGAATAAACACAAGCAAATTTACAACTAGACACATCATAATCAAACTATTGGAAGGCAAAAAAAATCATCTTGAAAGTGGCAAAAAAAAAAAAAAAAAAGAAGTGATTGATTACATACAAGGAATTCTTAATAAGGTCAATAGCTGTTATCTAACCAGAAACCATGGAGGCCATAGCACAGTGGGAACTGTATGTTAAAAGTGTGAAAAAGACTGTCAACCAAGCAAAACTTAGTTAACAGGATAGCAAAACTATCTTTCAAAAATGAAAAAGAAATTTAGACATTCCTAGATAAACAAAAACTGAAAGAAGCAATTGCTAGCTGACCTACCCTATAATAAATACTAAAGGCAGTTTCTTAGGCTGCTATGAAAAGAGACTAAAGAGTAACAGAAATCCACATGAAGAAATAGAGAGTACCAATAAATGTTTTTTAATAGGTAAATATGAGTTAGTATAAATTTACTGTTTGTAATATTTTTCTCCTATCTGATTTAGAAGACAACTGCATATACCAAAAATCATAAATCTGTGTCTATAGGCATATAGTGTGTAAAGATGAAACTTATTACAATAATAATACAAAGATAGAGGAACAGAACTATATAAGAGCAAATTTTTGTATACTACTGAAACTAGGCCAGACACAGTAAATCAAACCTGTAACCCCAGCACTTTGGGAGGGCAAGGCAGAGGATCAGTTGAGTCTGGGAGTCCAAGACAAGCCTAGGCAACATAACAAAACCCTGTCTCTACAAAAAATAAAAATTAGCTGGGTGCAGTGGTACATGTGTGTAGTCCCAGCTACTCAAGAAGCTGAGGTGGGAGGATTGCTTGAGCCCAGGAGTTTGAGGCTGCAGTGAGCTATAATTGTGCCGCTGCAGTGAGCTATAATTGTGCCACTGCACTCCAGCCCGGGTGAGAGAAGAAGACTCCAACTCTTAAAAAATAAATAAATAAATAAGAGAGAGAGAAAAAAAAAACTAGGCTGACATGAATCTGACCTGGGTTGATATAAATTAAGATGTTAATTGTAATCCCTAGGAAAATAACTCAAAACTATATAGTAAAAGAAATGACAAAAGAATTAAAATGTTATTACAATAATAGACTGGAAAATATCTATTAACACGAAAGAAGGTAGTAATGGAGGAATTAAACACACACAGAAAAAGACATAATATGTATAGAATATAAACAGCAAAGTGGTACAAGTTGGGTTCTTTCTCATCAGCAATTACTGTAATGAAATTAGGTTAAAGTCTCCATTCAAAAAGCAGAATGGATTCTAAAAATGATGTAAATATGATGTCTGTACCTCACTTTAGATTTAAAGAACCAAATAGATTGAAAGTGAAAGGATAGAAAAAAACATTCCCTGTGAACAGTAAATCAAAACAGAGTTGGAGTAGCTATATTATAATCAGATAAAATAGATTTTAAGGCAAAAATTGTTGCAAGAGATAGAAAAAGGATATTCTATGGGCCGGGTGCGGTGGCTCACGCCTGTAATCCCAGCACTTTGGGAGGCCAAGACAGGCGGATCACGAGGTCAAGAGATCAAGACCATCCTGGCCAACATGGCGAATCCCTGTCTCTACTAAAAATACAAAAATTAGCCTGGCCTAGTGGCGCATGCCTGTAATCCCAGCTACTCAGGAGGCTGAGGCAAGAGAATTGCTTGAACCCAGGAGGCAGAGGTTGCAGTGAGCTGAGATCGTGCCACTGCACTCCAGCCTGGGTGACAGAGCGAGACTCCATCTCAAAAAAAAAAAAAAAAGAAAAAAGAAAAAGAAAAAGGGTATTACATAATGATAAAAGGGTCAATCAATCAAGAAAACACAACAATTATAAATGTATATGCACCTTACAGCAGATCACAAAATACATGAAGTAACAAATAACATAATTGAAGGGGGAGAAATAAACATTTCAGCAACAGTAGCAGAAGACTTTAACACCACATTTTCAATAATGGATAAAATAACTAGACAGAAGGTCAATAATGAAATATAGAACTTTAATAATGCTGTAATCCAATTACACATACTGAAATTCAAAACAGAAATAGAAAGCCTGAATAGATCTAAAACAGGTAAAGAGATTAAAGCAATAATGTAAAAAATAAATCAAAAGTCTACCACAAAGGAAAGTTGAATTTACTGATGAATTCTACCAAATATTTAAAGAATAATTAATACTATCTCATAACAAACTCTTCCAAAATATAGAAGGGAGAAAATACTTCATAACTCATTTCATGAGGTTAGTATGTCCCTGACACCTAAAGCAGACTAACACACTACAAGAAAAGAAAACTACAGAACAACATCCCTATGAATTTAGATGTAAAAAAATCCCCAATAACATGTAAATCTTGCAATATATAAATAGAAGTATATACCACAATCGAGTGAGATTTATCCCAGAAATGTGAGATTGGTTAAACATATGAAAATAAATCAATGTAATACATAGTATTAATAGAATAAAGAACAAAAACCGCATGATCATCTCAATAGACACAGACAAAGCATTTTACAAAATCCAACACATTTTCATGATAAAAAACCCTAAACAAGTTAGGAATGGAACAAAACTTCCTTAATTTGTTAAAAGGCATTGATGTGGTTTGGCTCTGTGTCCCCAAGCAAATCTCACCTCGAATTGTAATAAGCCCCATGTGTCATGGGAGGAACCAGGTGGGAGGTAATTGAATCATGGGGGCAGACTTTTTCCATGCTGTTTTTGTGATAGTGAATAAGTCTCATGAGATCTGATGGTTTTATAAAGGGGAGGTCTGCACATGCCCTCTTTCCTGCTGCCATGTAAGCTGTGACTTTGTTCCTCCTTCAGCCATGATTGTGAGGCCTCTCCAGCCATGTGAAACTGTGATTCCATTAAACCTGTTTCCTTTATAAATTACCCAGTCTCAGGTATGTCTTTATTAGCAGCATGAGAACAGACTAATACAGGCATCTACAGAAAACCTACAACTAATGCCACAATTAATGGTTGAAGACTGAAATCTTTCCGACTAAGATAAGGAACAAGACGTGGCTAGTTTGCCACTTCCACATATCATTGTACTAGAAATGCTAGCCAAAGCAAATATACAAGTAAAATAAATAAATAAATAAAGCATCCAGATCAGAAAGGAAAAAGTAAAACTATCTAGTATAAGTATGAAATTATACTGTATATAGAAAATCTAAGAAATCTACCAATAAAAACAAAGACTAGAAGTAATAAATGAGTCTATTGAGGTTTCAGGATACAAGATTAATACACAAAAACGTATTGTACTTCTATACACGAGCACTAAATAATTGAAAATAATATTTAGAAAACAGTTCTATTTACAATAGTATCAAAAAATGACATAGAAATAAATTTAGCAGAGAAGTACAAATTTGTACGATGAAAAGTAAAAAACATTGTCAACAGAAATCCTGAACATTTTGAGTAAAGTAATAACAGAGTACATAAGGGCAGCTTTGAGGTTGTGTGTAAATGTTTATTTTCATGCGCATCCATGTGAAGAGACCACCAAACAGGCTTTGTGTGAGCAATAAAGCTGTTTATTTCACCTGGATGCAGGTGGGCTGAGTCCGAAAAGAGAGTCAGCGAAGAGAGATGGGGTGGGGCCGTTTTATAGGATTTGGGTAGGTAAAGGAAAAAGGGGGGTTGTTCTCTGGCAGGCAGGAGTGGGGATCACAAGGTACTCAGTGGGGGAGCTTTTGAGCCAGGATGAGCCAGGAGAAGGAATTTCACAAGACAATGTCATCAGTTAAGGCAGGAACAGGCCATTTTCACTTCTTTTGTGGTGGAATGTCATCAGTTAAGGCAGGAACCGGCCATCTAGATGTGTACATGCAGGCCACAGGGGATATGATGGCTTAGCTTGGGCTCAGAGGCCTGATATTTATATGTTGATATAAATTGTTGTTGCACAGGTATATATAATTTGTAAAATTTCATTCAGTTATATACTTTGGGCATTTTACTGTATGTGTGTTATGTTTCAATATTAAAAGGATGCCCAAAATAAAAAACTAATCGAATCATGTGGCATGATTGTTAATATTGAGTGTCAACTTGATTGGATTGAAAGATACAAAGTATTGTTGCTGGGTGTGTCTGTGAAGGTGTTGCCAAAGGAGATTAACATTGAGTCAGTAGACTAGGAGAGGCAAACCCACCCTCAATCTGAGTGGATATCATCTAACCAGCTGCCAGCGTGGCTAGAATAAAACAGGTAGAAGAAAGTGGAATGAGGAGACTTGCTGAGTCCTCGCCTTCATCTTTTTCCCGTGCTGTATGCTTCCTGATCTCAAACATCAGACTCCAAGTTCTTCAGCTTTTGGACTCGAACTTACACCAGTGATTTGCCAGGCACTCTTGGGCCTTCAGTCACAGACTGAAGGCTGCACTGTTGGCATCCTTACTTTTGAGGTTTTGGCACTTGGACTGGCTTCCTTGCTTCTCAGGTTGTAGACAGCCTATTGTGGGACTTTACCTTGTGATCGTGTGAGTCAATTCTCCTAATAAACTCCCCTTCATACTAATATATACATGTATCCTATCAGTTCTATCCCTTTCAAGAACCCTAATACATATGGTATTTTGTTTGCATTCCCATTATGAAACATAATGCATTTAAGACAAAAAAGACAAGTATACTATAATGAAGATATTGAAATTTAAAATATATAATCTAATAAAGAGTATCCAACAATAGAAAATAAATTCAAATCACTGGGTCTAAGTAAAACACACACTAAAATAATAAAGGGTCCTGTTAATATAATCTCAAAGCTACTGACAGTAATTCTGAAATTGCCACAGACTTATATTAGGGAGATATTCTGGTTCTCATAAGGAAAAAAAAAAGGTTACAGAAATAATTCATTTAGAAAGGTGAAATTGATCTATATCAAAAATTGATAACATCTTGGTCTCTACTACCATTCCCCACCAAATAGAAAGACAGCTCTTCAGACATATGGCTGACTCCAGGTCTGTGGTAGGGTAGTATGTAGGGAAAACTCTAACTGTGTTTCTCCTCTGCTCTCACACCATAACTGTCATCAACAGGAAGAAGATTTCTGTTACCATATGTGTGAGATTGTTTTTCACAAACACCAAGCAGTGGACACCAGCTAGGTATCCTCAAATTCAGTTCCAATACTGTCTACCAAGAGATAGCTTCAGATCCCACAGGTTGAGGGCTAGTCCCCAAGACTGATCCCCACACATGCCAGTCACAAGTGTAGGCCTCCAGAACTTCTGACCACCTGGCTTCAAGTTGGGGTTCCCATGACCCCCTCTTTGGGTTCGATTAATTTGCAGGAGGGGCTCATAAAACTCAGGGAAACACTTACATTTACTGGTTCATTATGGAGGCTATTGCAAACGGTACAGATGAAGAGATGCATAGGGCGAGGTATGGGGGAAGTGGCAGGGAGCTTCCATGACTTCCCTGAGTGAGCCACCTTCCAGGAATCCCCATGTGTTGAGCTATCCAGAAGCTCTCTCAACCCAGTTTTCTTGTTCCCTGCCACCCCGTGGAGACCTCATGACATCAACGTTCCTCCCGCTAGGGTATAGGGTGGGACTCTCTCATGGGAGGTTCTTAAGACCTCGAGTCCTACCTTGGAGCAGATAAAAGGAGGGCAGGAGAAAGGTGGAGGCCTGCCTCTGAGGCTTAACACACCCAACATGATGGTAACAAAAGACTGTAACAAGGACTATGGGAGTTATGAGCCAGGAACCATGGACAAAAACCAATGTATATCATAACAACACAAGTAGGAGCAAAATGAACCTAGAACTTGCTGTTATTCCTCAGATAAGTAAATACTAAAACAACCAACAACTACAAAACCAATGGATGTCTGTTACAAGTGGAAAGGAGCTCCCACTGGCTAAATCTAGGCCAATTTAAACACCAAAATAAATACGGACGGCAGTTAATCACAGATCGCTGAAAACACAGGAATCCATGAGTCTGTACTAATAACAAATAGATAACTAACCAACTGTTCGAATAAATACATAAATAGTGGAGAAGGGAGGGCTCTCACCTACAGTAGAATCCCTAGAGCCTATAGGAAAATATAATGGGAAAGGTGGAGGCAGAAAATCACCATTTAGTGCCATCAGGATAAATATTTCAAACAAGCATTACCAATGAGGGCAAAATGTAGGGAGGAAATTTGATGAGGGCCAACCGAAATATCTGCATAATCTTAAAGTTTCTCCCTCAGACTCTGCAGTTGCAAGAGAAAATAATCACAACCATACAATAATAAACTGGACAAGATAATCAATGATGCTTGTTTTGATCCAAATTAATATCACCATTGAGGAGCAGATGGGCATCCAACATGTACCTCCAGAAGTGATGTCCTCAGAGGAATACTGCATTTCTTCTGTTCCAACCTGGAATGTGTATATTGATTTTAATCATCAGGAAGCGTCAACCATCCTGAAATGAGGAACATTGTATTAAAAGGAAGGAAGTGATACTGAATTCTTGAAAAATGCCAATGTTATAAAAATATAATAAAAGCTGTGAAAATTCTTCCCAATTGAAGTAGGTTAAAGAAATAACAATTAGATGCAATACCTAATCCTAAATGAGATCCTTAAACAGAAAAAATGAGTAAAAAACATTATTGAAGCATGTAACAAAATTGAAATATGGGCATTAGATTAGATAAAATTATTGTGTCAATGTTAATTTTATTAAAACTGATAACAGTATCAAAGAGAGAGGATGATGATAAATATTGAAGCAAATGGCATAACACATTAACAGGTAAATCTGGTTAAGGGATATATTGGCATTATATATACACTATTTATTTCTATTGTTGTAATTTTTTTCCAAATAAAATGTTTTGAAAATTAAAAATCAAAATTAAATCTGTAACAGTTGTCCTTACAACTTAATTAAAATTAATGAAGGGCCTCCATATTCCAAAAATTTGTTAAATATTCTTTTCTTTAATCCTAAGAATGGCATTTTCCAAATAACTGAGTAGGCTTAGGAAAATCTGTTCTTGGTTCTATTTTTCTAAAAATTTTATTAAATCGGCCTGGTGCAGTGGTTCATGCCTGTAATCCCAGCACTTTGGGAGGCTGAGGCGGGCAGATCACCTGAGGTCAGGAGTTTGAGACCAGTCTGGCCAACATGGCAAAACCCCGTCTCTACTAAAAATAGAAAAACTAGCTGGGTGTGGTAGCGTGCACCTGTAATCCCAGCTACTCAGGGTACTGAGGTAGGAGAATCACGTGAACCTGGGAGGCGGAAGTTGCAGTGAGCCATGCCACTGCACTCGAGCCTGGACAGAGCAAGACTCCATCTCACAAAAAAAAATATATTAAATCTCTTGTTTAAGTAAATATAAAGAACACTGATCAAAATTCTTTGCATAAAAAATGTACCAAAAACACATACTCACACACACAAGGGCTTGCATGTATAGAAAAACTTATATAAGTTTATTCAAGTAATAAGTAGTTAAAAACAAATAAAATTTAGTGACTTTTTCATGGCATAATTCTAGAAGGGATGTATAACTCATTTTATAATTATCCTGATATTCTATAATGCTCAAACTAAAGCCTTTAAGATACAATTTAACTTATATATACATAAAATCCTATATTTTGGTTGAATAACCAGTTTCATGTTTAGGATAGGGGAACCAAATTTGAAATTAGGCCTTATAAAAAATCTTAAAAGTCAAGTTGGCTACAAGCTTATTAGGTACTAATGTTTATTAAACGAACATATCTGTCACAAAATGCTATGAGAAAGTCTTAGGTGGCATTTATAAAGTGTAGCCACTAGATCAAGAAAAGTAAAAATTTCCACTGTCATACACCAGAGTTGTTGATTTAGGGGAGCCACATATTAGAAAAGATAATGACAAGCTCTGGAGTAAGTACAGAATTAAAGGTCTAGGATCTAGAGCAACCTTTTTCTTTTTTTCTTTTTTTTCTTTTTTTTTTTTTTTTTTTTTTTGCAATTATCAAACATCTACAATGTGCATTGTCTAAGAATATTTACAGTGAGGTGAACCCGTAGCCCATGCCTTCAAGGAATACTGCAGTTTTCTGGCATACTCCTCAACCACAGTGCCCTCGTTCAGGCTCTGCCCCCTCAACTCCTAACAGCAGGCTCCATCTCACTCCAGGTTCTGCTCTTACCCTCTTTCTACTTAGGCAAAGCTCAAAGAGTCTAGATGAGGATCAAGTCAACCCACCTGGTGCTGTGGCTATAACTACTCCCCAGGAATTAGGCTACCTCTAGGTACAGTGATTAAGGCCCTAGAGTTCTTGCCTGTATGCAATTTCTCTAAGGCTTATGTCTGGCTGTGAATATTTCTGTATTTTGAGAGAATGATTGCTATTCCTAAATTCTAACTCTGCCACTGGGCTGTTGTTACAAATCCCCTTGATAATGACCATCTGCTTGGCTCACTGTTATTACCAGCACAGATTTAGTGTCCTGGAAATCCACCTACCTATCAGGATACCTCTTAGACTTCCTTGGCACTGGCAGTTTCTCTAGACCATTGCCTACCTAAAACTACACTTTTGAGTTTGTCCCTGGAAGCCCAGTTACATGTATAAGCCTCTAAGTCTCAGTGCCTTCTGTATCAGATCTTTTCTTTGATTTAAAAAAAAATGCATCATTATACTAATAATTGCAGGACACTAAGAGAGAAGGAGAAACGGCAAATTTTGATAATGGTTCTAAGGGGTAAAAACTAAGTACTGCACAATTCTAAAGTGGCTTTCAACTGATTAAGGATTCAAAAAGTCATTTTAAAAGGAAGTGATACTTGATCTTGGTTTTCCATAGCCCACAAACACAATAAAGTGACTACACAATTGAGTCTACAAAACAACCAGCTAACAACATGATGACAGGATCAAAAACTCACATATCAATACTAAACCTGAATGTAAATCCTTTACTTAAAAGAAATAGAGGGGAAAGCTGAATAAAAAGACAAGATCCAACTGTCTGCTATCATTAAGAGACCTATCCCACATGTAATGATACTCACAGGCTCAAAGTAGAAAGATGAAGAAAGATCTACCATGCAAGCAGGCAACAAAAGAGAGCAGGAGTCACAATTCTTATAATAGATAAAACAGACTTTAAACCAATAACAATTAAGTAGGACACAGAAAGACATTACATAATGATAAAGATTTCAATTCAACATGAAGACTTAACTATCCTAAATATATACATATCGAACACTGGAGCACCCTGATTCATAAAAACAAGTTTGTCTTGACCTATGAAAACACTTAGACAGTCACACAATAATAATGAGAGACTTCAACACCCCACTGACAGTGTTAGACAGATTATTGAGGCAGAAAATTAACAAAGAAATTCTGGACTAAAATTCAACACTAGACCAACTGGACCTAATAGACATCTACACCCAACAACCACAGGATATACATTCTTCTCATCTGCACACAGAATATATCCTAAGGTTGACCACATTCTCAATTATAAAGCAAGTCTCAATAAATTCAAAACAACTGAAATCACCCAAAGCACATTCTTGGACCACAATGAATAAAAGTAGAAGTCAATGCCAAGAAGATCTCTCAAAACTACACAAATACTTGGAAATTAAACAACTTGCTTCTGAGGAACTCTTTGATGAACAATGAAATTGAGGCAGAAATTAAAAAAAAAACTTTGCAATTAATAAAAATAGAGACACAACTTACCAAAATCTTTGGGATGCAGCTAAAACAGTGTTAAGAGGAAAGTTTATAGTACTAAACACATTCATCAAGAAATTAGAAAGATCTCAAATCAACAATCTCACATCATACCTAGAGGAACTAGAGAAAAAGAACAAATCAACTCCAAAGCTAACAGAACAAAAGGAATAACTAAAATTAGGAAAGACTGAATGAAACTGAGATGCAAAAATCCATTCACAAGATCCATAAGCCAAGCACAGTGGCTCACACCTATAATCCCATCACTTTGGGAGGCCAAGGTGGGTGGATCAGTTGAGGTCAGGGGTTCAAGACCAGCCTTGCCAACATGGCAAAACCCTGTCTCTACTAAAAAGACAAATAAAATTAGCTAGGCACAGTAGTGTGTGCCTGTAATCTCAGCTACTCAGAAGGCTGAGGCAGGAGAATTGCTTGAACCTGGGAGGCAGAGGTTGCAGTGAGCCGAGATTACACCACTGCAGTTTAGCCTGGGCAAGAGAGTGAGACCCCATCTCAAAAAAAAAAAGAAAGAAAAGAAAAAATATTCATGAAACCAAGAGCCAAGAGTTGGTTTCTTGAAAGAATAAACGAGATTGATAGACTGCTAGCTAGATTAACAAAAAAAAAAAAGATCCAAATGAACACAATCAGAAATGACAAAGATGACATTGCAACTGATCCCACAGAAATACAGAAGATCCTCAGAGACTGTTATGAACACCTCTATGCATAAAAATTAGGATATATAGAGGAAATGGATAAATTCCTGTCAACACACACCCTCCCAGTATTGAACCAAGAAGAAAGTGAAAACCTGAACAGACCAATAATAAGTTCCAAAATTTAAGCAGTAATAAAAAACCTACCAACGGGGGAGGAGCCAAGATGGCCGAATAGGAACAGCTCCAGTCTACAGCTCCCAGCGTGAGCGACGCAGAAGACGGTGATTTCTGCATTTCCATCTGAGGTACCGGGTTCATCTCACTAGGGAGTGCCAGACAGTGGGCGCAGGTCAGTGGGTGCGCACACCGTGCACGAGCCGAAGCAGGGCGAGGCATTGCCTCACTCGGGAAGCGCAAGGGGTCAGGGAGTTCCCTTTCCGAGTCAAAGAAAGGGGTGACTGACGGCACCTGGAAAATCAGGTCACTCCCACCCGAATACTGCGCTTTTCCGACGGGCTTAAAAAACGGCGCACCACGAGATTATACCCCGCACCTGGCTTGGAGGGTCCTACGCCCACGGAGTCTCGCTGATTGCTAACACAGCAGTCTGAGATCAAACTGCAAGGCGGCAGTGAGGCTGGGGGAGGGGCGCCCGCCATTGCCCAGGCTTGCTTAGGTAAACAAAGCAGCGGGGAAGCTCGAACTGGGCGGAGCCCACCACAGCTCAAGGAGGCCTGCCTGCCTCTGTAGGCTCCACCTCTGGGGGCAGGGCACAGACAAACAAAAAGACAGCAGAAACCTCTGCAGACTTAAATGACCCTGTCTGACAGCTTTGAAGAGAGCAGTGGTTCTCCCAGCACGCAGATGGAGATCTGAGAACGGGCAGACTGCCTCCTCAAGGGGGTCCCTGACTCCTGACCCCTGAGCAGCCTAACTGGGAGGCACCCCCCAGCAGGGGAACACTGACACCTCACACGGCAGGGTACCCAACAGACCTGCAGCTGAGGGTCCTGTCTGTTAGAAGGAAAACTAACAAACAGAAAGGACATCCACACCAAAAACCCATCTATACATCACCATCATCAAAGACCAAAAGTAGATAAAACCACAAAGATGGGGAAAAAACAGAACAGAAAAACTGGAAACTCTAAAACGCAGAGCGCCTCTCCTCCTCCAAAGGAACGCAGTTCCTCACCAGCAACGGAACAAAGCTGGATGGAGAATGACTTTGACGAGCTGAGAGAAGAAGGCTTCAGACGATCAAATTACTCTGAGCTACGGGAGGACATTCAAACCAAAGGCAAAGAAGTTGAAAACTTTGAAAAAAATTTAGAAGAATGTATAACTAGAATAACCAATACAGAGAAGTGCTTAAAGGAGCTGATGGAGCTGAAAACCAAGGCTCGAGAACTACGTGAAGAATGCAGAAGCCTCAGGAGCCGATGCGATCAACTGGAAGAAAGGGTATCAGTGATGGAAGATTAAATGAATGAAATGAAGTGAGAAGGGAAGTTTAGAGAAAAAAGAATAAAAAGAAATGAGCAAAGCCTCCAAGAAATATGGGACTATGTGAAAAGACCAAATCTATGTCCGATTGGTGTACCTGAAAGTGATAGGGAGAATGGAACCAAGTTGGAAAGCACTCTGCAGGATATTATCCAGGAGAACTTCCCCAATCTAGCAAGGCAGGCCAACGTTCAGATTCAGGAAATACAGAGAACGCCACAAAGATACTCCTCGAGAAGAGCAACTCCAAGACATATAATTGTCAGATTCACCAAAGTTGAAATGAAGGAAAAAATGTTAAGGTCAGCCAGAGAGAAAGGTCGGGTTACCCTCAAAGGGAAGCCCATCAGACTAACTGCGGATCTCTCGGCAGAAACCCTACAAGCCAGAAGAGAGTGGGGGCCAATATTCAACATTCTTAAAGACAAGAATTTTCAACCCAGAATTTCATATGCAGCCAAACTAAGCTTCATAAGTGAAGGAGAAATAAAATACTTTACAGACAAGCAAATGCTGAGAGATTTTGTCACCACCAGGCCTGCCCTAAAAGAGCTCCTGAAGGAAGCGCTAAACATGGAAAGGAACAACCGGTACCAGCCGCTGCAAAATCATGCCAAAATGTAAAGACCATCGAGACTAGGAAGAAACTGCATCAACTAACGAGCAAAATAACCAGCTAACATCATAATGACAGGATCAAATTCACACATAACAATATTAACTTTAAATGTAAATGGACTAAATGCTCTAATTAAAAGACACAGACTGGCAAATTGGATAAAGAGTCAAGACCCATCAGTGTGCTGTATTCAGGAAACCCATCTCACGTGCAGAGACACACATAGGCTCAAAATAAAAGGATGGAGGAAGATCTACCAAGCAAATGGAAAACAAAAAAAGGAAGGGGTTGCAATCCTAGTCTCTGATAAAACAGACTTTAAACCAACAAAGATCAAAAGAGACAAAGAAGGCCATTACATAATGCTAAAGGGATCAATTCAACAAGAAGAGCTAACTATCCTAAATATATATGCACCCAATACAGGAGCACCAAGATTCATAAAGCAAGTCCTGAGTGATCTACAAACAGACTTAGACTCCCACACATTAATAATGGGAGACTTTAATACCCCACTGTCAACATTAGATAGATCAACGAGATAGAAAGTCAACAAGGATACTCAGGAATTGAACTCAGCTCTGCACCAAGTGGACCTAATAGACATCTACAGAACTCTCCACCCCAAATCAACAGAATATACATTTTTTTCAGCACCACACCACACCTATTCCAAAATTGACCACATACTTGGAAGTAAAGCTCTCCTCAGCAAATGTAAAAGAACAGAAATTATAACAAACTATCTCTCAGACCACAGTGCAATCAAACTAGAACTCAGGATTAAGAATCTCACTCAAAACCGCTCAACTACATGGAAACTGAACAACCTGCTCCTGAATGACTACTGGGTACATAACAAAATGAAGGCAGAAATAAAGATGTTCTTTGAAACCAATGAGAACAAAGACACAACATACCAGAATCTCTGGGACGCATTCAAAGCAGCGTGTAGAGGGAAATTTATAGCACTAAATGCCCACAAGAGAAAGAAGGAAAGATCCAAAATTGACACCCTAACATCACAATTAAAAGAACTAGAAAAGCAAGAGCAAACACATTCAAAAGCTAGCAGAAGGCAAGAAATAACTAAGATCAGAGCAGAACCGAAGGAAATAGAGACACAAAAAACCCTTCAAAAAATTAATGTATCCAGGAGCTGGTTTTTTGAAAGGATCAACAAAATTGATAGACCGCTAGCAAGACTAATAAAGAAAAAAAGAGAGAAGAATCTAATAGACGCAATAAAAAATGATAAAGGGGATATCACCACCGATCCCACAGAAATACAAACTACCATCAGAGAATACTACAAACACCTCTTTGCAAATAAACTAGAAAATCTAGAAGAAATGGATAAATTCCTCGACACATACACTCTCCCAACACTAAACCAGGAAGAAGTTGAATCTCTGAATAGACCAATAACAGGATCTGAAATTGTGGCAATAATCAATAGCTTACCAACCAAAAAGAGTCCAGGACCAGATGGATTCACAGCTGAATTCTGCCAGAGGTACAAGGAGGAACTGGTACCTTTCCTTCTGAAACTATTCCAATCAATAGAAAAAGAGGGAATCCTCCCTAACTCATTTTATGAGGCCAGCATCATTCTGATACCAAAGCCAGGCAGAGACACAACCAAAAAAGAGAATTTTAGACCAATATCCTTGATGAACATTGATGCACAAATCCTCAATAAAATACTGGCAAAACGAATCCAGCAGCACATCAAAAAGCTTATCCACCATGATCAAGTGGGCTTCATCCCTGGGATGCAAGGCTGGTTCAATATATGCAAATCAATAAATGTAATACAGCATATAAACAGAGCCAAAGACGAAAACCACATGATTATCTCAATAGATGCAGAAAAAGCCTTTGACAAAATTCAACAACCCTTCATGCTAAAAACTCTCAATAAATTAGGTATTGATGGGACGTGTCTCAAAATAATAAGAGCTATCTATGACAAACCCACAGCCAATATCATACTGAATGGGCAAAAACTGGAAGCATTCCCTTTGAAAGCTGGCACAAGACAGGGATGCCCTCTCTCACCACTCCTATTCAACATAGTGTTGGAAGTTCTGGCCAGGGCAATTAGGCAGGAGAAGGAAATAAAGGGTATTCAATTAGGAAAAGAGGAAGTCAAATTGTCCCTGTTTGCAGATGACATGATTGTATATCTAGAAAACCCCATTGTCTCAGCCCAAAATCTCCTTAAGGTGATAAGCAACTTCAGCAAAGTCTCAGGATACAAAGTCAATGTACAAAAATCACAAGCATTCTTATACACCAACAACAAACAAACAGAGAGCCAAATCATGAGTGAACTCCCATTCACAATTGCTTCAAAGAGAATAAAATACCTAGGAATCCAACTTACAAGGGATGTGAAGGACCTCTTCAAGGAGAACTACAAACCACTGCTCAAGGAAATAAAAGAGGATACAAACAAATGGAAGAACATTCCATGCTCATGGGTAGGAAGAATCAATATCGTGAAAATGGCCATACTGCCCAAGGTAATTTATAGATTCAATGCCATCCCCATCAAGCTACCAATGCCTTTCTTCACAGAATTGGAAAAAACTACTTTAAAGTTCATATGCAACCAAAAAAGAGCCCACATCGCCAAGTCAATCCTAAGCCAAAAGAACAAAGCTGGAGGCATCACCCTACCTGACTTCAAACTATACTACAAAGCTACAGTAACCAAAACAGCATGGTACTGGTACCAAAACAGAGATATAGATCAATGGAACAGAACAGAGCCCTCAGAAATAACGCCTCATATCTACAACTATCTGATCTTTGACAAACCTGAGAAAAACAAGCAATGGGGAAAGGATTCCCTATTTAATAAAGGGTGCTGGGAAAACTGGCTAGCCATATGTAGAAAGCCGAAACTGGATCCCTTCCTTACACCTTATACAAAAATCAATTCAAGATGGATTAAAGACTTAAACGTTAGACCTAAAACCATAAAAACCCTAGAAGAAAACCTAGGCATTACCATTCAGGACATAGGCATGGGCAAGGACTTCATGTCTAAAACACCAAAAGCAATGGCAACAAAAGACAAAATTGACAAATGGGATCTAATTAAACGAAAGAGCTTCTGCACAGCAAAAGAAACTACCATCAGGGTGAACAGGCAACCTACAAAATGGGAGAAAATATTTGCAACCTACTCATCTGACAAAGGGCTAATATCCAGAATCTACAATGAACTCCAACAAATTTACAAGAAAAAAACAAACAACCCCATCAAAAAGTGGGCGAAGGATATGAACAGACACTTCTCAAAAGAAGTCATTTATGCAACCAAAAAACACATGAAAAAATGCTCACCATCACTGGCCATCAGAGAAATGCAAATCAAAACCACAATGAGATACCATCTCACACCAGTTAGAATGGCAATCATTAAAAAGTCAGGAAACAACAGGTGCTGGAGAGGATGTGGAGAAATAGGAACACTTTTACACTGTTGGTGGGACTGTAAACTAGTTCAACCATTGTGGAAGTCAGTGTGGCGATTCCTCAGGGATCTAGAACTGGAAATACCATTTGACCCAGCCATCCCATTACTGGGTATATACCCAAAGGACTATAAATCATGCTGCTATAAAGACACATGCACATGTATGTTTATTGCGGCATTATTCACAATAGCAAAGACTTGGAACCAACCCAAATGTCCAACAATGATAGACTGGATTAAGAAAATGTGGCACATATACACCATGGAATACTATGCAGCCATAAAAAATGATGAGTTCATGTCCTTTGTAGGGACATGGATGAAATTGGAAAACATCATTCTCAGTAAACTATCGCAAGAACAAAAAACCAAACACCGCATATTCTCACTCATAGGTGGGAATTGAACAATGAGATCACATGGACACAGGAAGGGAAATATCACACTCTGGGGACTGTTATGTGGTGGGGGGAGAGGGTAGGGATAGCATTGGGAGATATACCTCATGCTAGATGACGAGTTAGTGAGTGCAGTGCACCAGCATGGCACATGTATACATATGTAACTAACCTGCACAATGTGCACATGTACCCTAAAACTTAAAGTATAATAAAAAAAAAAAAGAAAGAAACCTAGCAACCAAAAAAAGGAGCCCTGTACCAGATGAATTCACAGCTGAATTCTGCCAGACATATAATTCTTTTTGGAAACTATTTCAAAATATCAAGGAAGGGGCTCCTCCTCCCTGACTCGTCCTACAGAGCTAGCATTAGCCTGATACCAAAATCTGCCAGGGACACACAGAAAAGAAGAAAAATTCAGGCCAATATGCCTGATGAACACAGACAAAAATATCAACAAAATACAAGTGAACCGAATCTAGCAGCACATCAAAAAGTTAATTTGCCACAATTAAGTAGGCTTTATTCTTGAGATTCAAGGTTGGTTCAACACACACAAATCAATAAGCATGATTCACTCCATAAACAGAGTTAAAAACAAAAACCATATGATCATCTCAATAGATGCAGAAAAAGTTTTCAATAAATCCAACATCCTGTCATGAATAAAAAAAAAAAAATACCATCAACACTCTAGGCATCAAAGGAACATATCTCAAAATAATAAGAGCAATCTATGACAAACCCACAGCCAACATCATACTAAACGAGCAAAAGCTGGAACCATTCCCCTTGAGAACTGGATCAAGGCAAGGATGCCCACTTTCACCACTTCTATTCAACATAGTATTGGAAGTGCTTGCCAGAGCAATCAGGCAAGAGAAAGATATAAAAGGCATCCAAATAGAAAAAGAAGTCAAACTCTCTTTGTGGATGATAGGATTCTATACATAAAAAACCCTAACGGCTCTGCCAAAAGTCTCCTAGAACTGATAAGCAACTTCAGTAAAGTTTCAGGATACAATATCAAATACAAAAATGAGTCACATTTCTATACACCAATAATATGCTAGCTGAGAGCCAAATCAAGAACATCAATCCCATCTACAATAGCCACAAAAAAAGAAGTACCTAGGACTACAACTAACCAAGGGGATAAAAGATCTCTATAAGGAGAGCTACAAAACACTTCTCAAAGAAATCATAGGCAACACAAATAAATGGAAAAACATTCCATGCTCATGGATTAGAAGAACCAATATCATTAAATTGGACAGTATTTTTAATTCTGTGAAAAATGACATTAGAAGTTTGATAGACATAGAAATGTGGAAAAGCAACACTATTATGGAATAGAAACTTACAAACAGAAAAATATTCACTATTCATCAAGTAATGATTATTTATGAAATAATTATTAAATATTAAATATGATTACTTAATGAGAATGAAAAAGTCACAAATGCACTTTACAAAGCTGAGAAGTACCACAAATACCACAAAATCCAGAAAAATAACATAATATTTATATTAATTTATTATCTGACATACCTGTAAAATACAGTTTTCCGGCTATAAACTCTTTAATTACTTATTTATATAATTGATTTTGTAATATTTTTCTAGAGAGAATAGAAAGATATTTTAATCTTGACATATGGTTGATCAAAACATGTTTTTCATTATTTTTAGTATAAAACGTTTCCTTTGATTTCACAACTCATTACACTTAATATCACATAAATTTTTAGGACAGTTGTAAAATTGGAGAAATACCTGTCCAAGTTACTTTCTCATAAAAGATCTATTCACTGCCTGTAGCACTGGCAGTGCTATGTTTGTCCTAAAAACACAGAAAATCTTATAAATTCTATGTTGTGTAAGTCCATCAAAAAAGGAAAACCGTATATGTTGTAACAATTTTACATACCATATTATGAAGTATATATCTGATAACAGAGAGCTTCTGTTTTAACCAAGTGTCATTAAAAACAAAATCATTTACTACAACTGAATAGGAACGATTGAAAGAACTTTCCACAGACCAACTTCTGGCTCTGGGATCCATAGGATATTGTTATATCAAAGTACAGCCTCAGACCCTGCCATTATGTTTTAATGCTGGTAAGTAGGCCCAGAGAAAAGCAGAAAGATTTCTGGAACTTATTCCTGCACTGAGCGAGCTTGAAATAACTATACATAAATGACTACAAACCACATAATTATCCCACTGAATTCAAACTAAATATATTCCCAACTCAGCTCCATCCTTAGCTCAATTCCAAAAATGTCTACAGCTATTCCCAACATGGGGAAGAAAGCAAAGGTTAAGACAGAGTAGTAAAGTACAATAAAGTATCTTGTTTTTGTAAAATTGTTTTACAAAATCTCATTTTTTTAAAACAATCATATAACCATGTAAACACATTATTAAAGCCCACCCAGGGCCTTAAAGGGGCCCATGCCAGAGAGGACCTTGAAGCTAGAGCTTCATTAGCTTCACAGTAAATATACCCTGGCATCATGGCATCTCCAGGCAGAGGAAATTGGCAGTTTCATCCTGAACTTTTGGAGTCTACTGCCCCGTCTAGTAAACTATCAGCTTTATCTAATAGCTTGTCACACTAATAGAAGTGTAAATGTAAAACAAGGAGGACTCATAGTCCCATTATATTCTTAAGACCAATTCTGAGAATCAAACTTTAGAAAGCCATTTGTTAAAACAGGAGGATGTCCAGGGCACAGTAACTAGGAAGGTGTGAAGAGGCAAAACAAGAATAGTTATTAGAACTTGGATATTTAACATGTCAAAGAGAGGACTTAGTGAGCAAATAAGACCTTTTGCAAAATGTGAAAGAGACTGCCATGCAAATGAAAAATTAGATTTGTTCTGGATTCATTGGGGCAGGAGAAGAAGCAGGATGTGGTTTGAAAGCTTAATACAAAATATATATATATTATATCATTAATAATGTGTATTTGATTATATGTTGAAATGGTCATATTTTGCATAGTTTGGGTTAAATAGCATATGAATTTCATGGTTTTTTACGGTTTTAATTTGGCTTCTAGAAATTTTAAAAATACATATATAGTTTGCATTTATGGCTTGCATTACATTGCTATTGGACAGCACTAGTGTAAGGTTTCAGCCTCACTAAGATAACTCCTAAGTCCTCAAAGCCATTGCAATTTTACCAAAAGCTGAGGCAGCAAAGCTATTTTATATTTAGGCAGCTTTTACTTGAAATTCTCTTCTCTTAATTTTAATGCTTTTACTGTACCTGTTTCATTGGTGTCGCTTGGTTTTTTCTTCAATAAGGAAAATGAGCTTCTATAGTGTTCAAAGAATAGCCCCATAAAGATCCATTACTGTCTCTTTACTCAATAGCAGTAGATGGGTCATAATAGTATGTCTGACATTAGCAGGTTTATACAGTGATTTTTTTTTCTTATCAGCTACTTAATAAAATGAATTTCTATCACATCATCTTTAAAATGTTAATACTCTTACAGCTGTCTTCAAAGACCTATTTTGAACTAAATATGTTATCAATCAAAATACTCATTAATATTCGATGCAAGCTTACATGAAGAGAGAGATTAAATCATTGAGGCATCTGGGCCTCTTATTCCACTAATGTGACCTCATTATATCGTAATTTGTTATTATAGAAATTTAATTTTCTGATGCCATAGAATTACAAAGGGTCTTCACATTTCCTAGGTTTTCATCCACCCTAATTGCAAACTTTTTGATCATTTACTGGTTGGGTTCTTTGATATTTTCTGGTCTTGGCTTTATATTTCTGGCAGACTACAATGTGTAACCTAAGAAAGAAGTACTCCCTGATGCTGGAGATGATTTTAATCTCTAAAGGAGCTTGGAGACGGAGTTCTTTAATAAGATGAGGAAATATTTTGAATTGGCATTTCCCTTAGCCACCATTAATATATATGTGGATCTTGACTTTGACATCTTCACACTCTCTATCACTTAATGGAATTCCCTTCCATAGATCTGTGAGGAAGTCAGAAACACAGAGAAGATTGCTTAGATTTCTCTGCCTACCTCACAGACAGTTGTGAGGATCAAAGAAAGTAACATGTCTGGCCAAAGTAGTATCAAATAAATCTTCATTCCCTCCCTTTCTTCCCTCCCCACTGCCTTAATCTAGTCATTTAACCCAACATGGTACTTTACTTTTTTCTGCCATTTCAGTAGAGACCAAGAAAAGCCAAAAGGAGAGACAGGCCATTCTGAGTGCTAGGAATCAGAAACCTGGTATGTAATAACATTAGTCTATTTTTCAAATGAAGACAATTACCAAAATATCTCAATTTAGAAGAAAACTCAGAATTGCATCTGAAAAACTTGCCACATTTAACTTATATACCTCTATCCAACGCTGCTCTCAATTACAGCTAAATGGTCAGTCTTCTCATCTGTGGTATTTTTCCTCCTGGTTAATTTCTCTTTCAAAAATAATTGCCAATCCAGTTGACATGGCAAGGCCAAATTCCAAACAAATCCTGGAATCACAGAGGCAGGAGCACTCCTATTGACAGTGTGGTGGACCATTAATCAAGTGGTTTATTTAGTAGTGATCACACAGGGAAAAACTCGGAAAGAACATGAGCTGCCTGTGAGGTCAACAGCCCCCTAGCCTCCAGTTACTGTAACATTTCTCTTTTATAACAGATGTTGGCTGTTATAAAAGAGAAGGAACCAGTGATTCCATTTTCTGACTCCCTGGTTAGATCTGCCATCTCTTCTCTTTCTCTCCTCCTTGTGCCACCCACATTGGCCTTCTTGTTCAGCTTCTGCAGTCAGCTACCCACCCCAGCAGGGTCTTTGCACATTCTGTTCCCCAAGGTTGGAATGCTCTTCCTCCAGATTCCCACAGGGCTTACTCCCTCACACTCTTCAAGCTGTTGCTCAATGATGACCTTTTCAGTAAGCTTTTCCCGTGACCCAAATGGAAACTAAAACTCCCTGCGCAGTCCTCCCCATCCATTTCCCTGCTTCTCTTCCTGGATGATACCATTCGTCATCTGACAAGCTCCGTACTTCACTTGTTTGTTTGTTACTGTCAGTCTCTCTGGCTTGAATGTGAGGTTTCCGAAATAGGGACTTTGAGCAGCACTTTTGCTGTCATGTCTCAAGCACCCTCTAAAGTGTGCAGGGTAATGATTAAGTGAATGAAGACAGCATATATTAATGAGGTTTTAGCATTTCGTTGAAGTAATTCAAATAAGAGTTAGCCACACAAAGAACATTTTAAAGTCCATGAAGTACATAGTTTGGGTGATTTGATTTATATGTACATGCCTATTTGTAAATATGAACACACTGCGGTCTAAATTTGTTGGAGTGGTTGTTGTGCACATTCCTTAGTCCCAGAAAAAACAAATGGCTCTGAATTCACATTGCCTTCAGCACCACTCTGTGAGTAACAGATGACAGACTACTTTCCTGTTGTTTTATGTGAAAGAAAGAAAAAGAAATACATAGAAACAAAAGCCATCTTAGAGTGAAAAGAAATTCCTGAGCTGGCTTGGCATAGCCACCATCCACGGCAGCAGGACCACAGGAAAGGGGAGGAATTTCAGACTGCGGTGTGATGAACAGCTGCCAGTCCCACCCCAGTGACAACACCCAGCTCCGGCCCCGCAAAACTTCAGTTTTTGAAGATTCTATAACCAGCAGAGGAGGGTACTATATAAAGAAAATTAAATCCCTCAAAGCAAAATCATGACACTTTTTCTCAGTACCCTCTGGTTTGTCTTTTATTATTATTTGAGATCAAGCCTCAGTGCAAAAAGCAAAAAAGTAGACAATTCTTTGCAGATAACTTGCTGTTCAATAATCTGATAATTATTCATTTCAGCTTAAAGCATGCTTGTAAATATCATTTCAAATGAAGCACTGACTTGATTTTTAATCAATGAAACTGACATTTGTTGAAAAGCCTTTTTGAATAATTACCTTGCATTCTTTATTACTAAAGCGGATTTAACAGAAAATCAAAACAAACGATATTAATTACATCGTATCCTCATTATATATTAATAGGTTCAGAAACCAAACATTGAGTGTCTTATAGAGCCGGTGTAATATTTATATGAAGCTTTGTGATGGAAGCCAGCTTAATTCTAATGCATTCATTTTAGTGCTTTGACCTTCTGCTCTCTGAAACCATGAGTTTGTCTCAGGTAGGAGCGCAGGTATCTGGCATTAATGTTTTGGGATCACATCTGAGAACCCTGAATATCACAAGAAGTTGACTTTCTTATCTCAAGGGACATGCATTGGCTAACTGATTAGTCACCACCTACCTTTAATTCACAGTTGTAACAAAAACCATTCCCTTTCTCTTGATGAATTTACGGCATTAAGCAAAGGAATTCCACCATGTGACTGTGAATTGAGATTTGCTATTGTCTATATGTCTGCTAATAATTGGGCAGGTATAATCAGGAGCATGAAAATTATGACAGCATCATAGGAAAAGGGACCTCTTTGGGTCTTCATCTCCTGGTCTGACCATCCCTTTTTGTTTTTTTTTGTTGTTGTTGTTTTGAGATGGTGTCTCGCTCTGTCGCCCAGCTGGAGTGCAATGGTACCATCTCGGCTCACTGCAACCTCTGCCTCCCAGGTGCAAGCAATTCTCCTGCCTCAGCCTTCCTAGTAGCTGAGATTACAGGCATCTGCCACCACGCCCAGCTAATTTTTGTATGTTTAGTAGAGACGGGATTTCACCATGTTGGCCAGGCTAGTCTCGAACTCCTGACCTCAGGTGATCCATCCGCCTTGGCCTCCCAAAGTGCTCATGTTACAGGCATGTGTTATTCCTTAGCTCTGGCACCTTAGCTGTAATGAGAAACCAGCAGGTGGCTTCCTAGCTGCAGTACATTTCTAAGTTGCACAACACCTCTGAGCATCAATTTTCTCATCTACAAATTGGAAATAAAAACCATAGTTAGTTGTTGTAAAGATTAAATAATACAGCGTTGTTAGAAAGATTAAATGAAATAATTTATATAAAGTGCTAAGCAGAGTTCCTACTACGTACTAGGTGCTAAATAAATACCAGTTATTATTAGAATTATTATGATAAAAGGCCCTTTCCATGGCGATGTAAATGCAATATAGGGACCCCATTGTGAAAGTCTAATCAGAGTTACCTGTTTAACCTCTTCCTATAGTCCACAATATCCTGCTTACCTCTGGCTTACTGCAAAACACCAGCAGAAGCAGAATGGACAAGTACAGAAAATTGATTAAGTCTGGACATAGAAGGTCTCCATACTGAAATACAGAAGAAAAACAAAGCAATGAAACTTTATCAAGGTAGTTAGAATCCAGGAAGTATGGGCATCCTTGAAGATGGCATTTGCAACATCTAAATCATCCAGTCTGCAGAAGTTGAATGCCCATGTGCCAAGATCTGTTCTGGGCACCGAAGACTCAGCAGTGAACAAAGAGTCAAGTTCCTCTTAACAAGCTTTTGTCCTAGTTGGGAGAGAAAAATTAGGTGGAGTTGAAGAAAGTACAGAACTGATGCAGTGCCCTCCCTCCCAGGATGCCTCAGAGCCTTCCCTGACTCCTCAGTGACCCAGTTGTACATATCAGTCAGCATCAAAGTGGCATTTATTTGATTTTCTCATATAAATTCCCAATCTCTTCCTCCTCCAATCCCACTGACACTACCGTCAGCCAGGTCTTCACCCTCACTTGCTTTGGTTACTAGACTAGCTCCTTAACTGGTCTACCTGCCACTGGTCTCAACAACCACTGAAATGCCCCTTTCTACTTCATCTGAAAAACTTGTACTCAACCTTCAAAACCCCAATTCACCTGCTCCATGGAGTCACGCTCAGAAACCTCCTCGCCTCACATTCCAACACTGGTAAAACTAATTATACTCACTTCATAATTTATTTGTGTTTCGCTTTATTGTTTTTAGTGTTTTATTTTATTTTGTTTTGTTTCAGAAGTGAGGTCATCTCAATATATTGCCCAGGCTGAACACTCAAATTTCTGAATTCAAGCCATCCTCCCACCTAGCCTCCCACATAGCTGAGACTACAGGCACACACCAGCATGTCAGGCCACATAATTTATTAATTTGGTTAAGCTTCCAGAATATCACTGCTATACTGTGACAGAATCCACTTATTCATTTGATAAATTGTTATTAAAATTTGTACCCTGGACAAGGTGCTGTGGTAGGCACTGGAGATGAAAGAGTGAATGAGACAGACTAAGCCCCAGTCTCAGGGACCCAGCAATTCTACCTCCTCGTCTTGAAGGTGGAGGTCATGTCTTGTAACCTGAGTGCTCCTGGCACGTGGCCTGTGTTTGGGGTTTATTGAATGTCAGCTACATCACCATAATTTGATCCAGAGAGAGGAGGAAAAGCTGACTTTGGCCAGGCCCAGCCCACCAGGTTCAATAACAGTATTAGGCAAATTGTTTGTCTACATCACCCAGTGCATTTCTCTAAAATGGAGAGGAGATAAATATACATCCTTAGTGTTTACCCCTTTATCCCACTGTTTTTAATTATATATGGGAAAAAACATCCAGTTCCCTTCATGGCAAGGGAACTTTTTTTTAATCTTCATTTTAATCTTTTTTTAAGGTAAAATCAGTCATTTTCTATCACCCACAAATATTTTCTTTAACAGTTATGCAAAAAAAAAAAAAAAAAAAAAACTTAGTAATTTGAATAAAACAATTCCTAAATTTTCCCCTCAGGAGAATTGTTATCATCAGAGCAGATTGAATAAGCATACAGATTGAGAGAAGATGCCAAGATCACAGGACTCTACAAGGTTTAAAATTGTTGCTCCTTCAACATAATGGCTTCCAGATAATCAGCATGGCCATCAGATACGAGAAAGAATGGGTGGTGCTGGTAGGGGAGGAGCTACTTTGAGGGATCTTATTATTAATGAAATGATTATTATTACTAAAATAAGGTGTAATAAGGCTATCTGAGTCAGCTTGGGCTGCCCTAACAAAATACTGTAGATGGGGTGGTTTAAACAACAGAAATGTATTTCACATGGTTCTAGAGGTTGGAAGCCCAAGATCAAGGATGCAGCAGATCCAGTGTCTGGTGAGGGCCCTCTTCCTGGTATGCAGATGGCTGTCTTTCTCCTTGCATCTTTCCTGGTGGAGAGAGATAATTGTTCATGCCTCTTCTGATAAGGGTACTAATCCCATTCATGAGAGCTCCATCCTCATAATCTAATTACCTACTAAAGGCCCCACCTCTTAATACCACCAATTGGAGTTTTAGGCTTCAACAAATGAATTTCGGTGGGACACAAACAGTTGGTCCACAGCAAGAATTATTAAATAAGCATAAGAAATTATAAAAGAACCATATAAAGTAAGAGGGTCAGCCTAAATAAAACTTCAAAGCAGTAGAATTATAATGTCTTACATTTTCACATGTGTCATTTTCTGCCAGGCCATCAGCTAAATGAGTGCCTGAACGGCTATAGGCCTTACCAGAACTGTGCTTTTGGCATGATAGAAATATTGAGGGAACTTATCAGTACTAGGCCTTTATTTTGCCTCTTCTATTTATTTTAGGATTAACTCATTCATTTCGTGCGTTTATTCAACATTGTTAATATACATCATGTGCCAGCCATTGTATCCTAGGCTTTGAGGATACAGAATAAAAATCGATCATCCCTCCCTGTTAGGAGCTCATAGTTTGGAGTGAAGACAGACAAGCAAACCCTCATAATCCAGGGTCACATAAGCTGTGCCAGAGTTAAGTGTTGAAGACTGGGATCTCTCAAGACAAGCACAGAGTTTGATGAGGGGAACAGGAAAGGATTCCTGGAAGAGGTGTGAGCAGCACTAAGGGAAATCCAGAGAGGAAGTATCAGGACAGTGAAGGTACAGAGTCCTAAGAAAACCTAAAGCACTTCAAGGGTGACACATTGTTGATACAGGTGTCAAGGGGGAAGAAGTGTTAGACAGAAGTAAGGGCTGCAGTGCCTGCATCACAGGGTTCCCCTTTATCAGGAGCCTTTACAGAAGGTCAGTCTTGATGTCAGGTAATCATAGGCCTCTCCTGGGCCATTCTGGGAACATGACCAAGCCTGCACACCCTCCTTGGTCAACAGTGCGGAGCGGTATTGGTATGCTCTATTCAGCTATGTCTTAGAACAAAGCAAGCATTCAACAAATTTCAGCTGAATGAAATTTTAAGATAAACATTTGGGATATTGGCCCTGGTTTCATCTACTTTTTCAGCATTATGTTTTTATCTGATGTTAGTGTTTTTATCTCTAAAAATCTTTGAAGGAAAGTGGATTATAAATAAGTTAGGTAAGTGCATTTTTAAAATACATCTTGCTTTATCTTCACGACTCCATTGGTAAGTAAAAAACAATACTAAAGAGCCATTTTAAAAATAAGAAAATTAAGGACTTGTCATTCTGGCCAAGAAGGAGTAGCAAAGACTGGTTTTACCTGAAAGGCTTCCTGGCCAGAACAACAAAAATACTGGAGGAAATGTATGAAACAACAGTTTTGAAGACACTGGATATCGAGTCATAAAGGCTAGGAATCCCTGAAGGGCAGAAAGCAAATAAAAAACCCATCACTGTTCAAGATTCTTCCTCAAGAGAGGCTTCCAGGTATGGAGAAGAGAAGGGGAGTCAGGCAGAACCCAGTGTCTCTCTGAGGTAAACAGTTGAAGGTGAGAGTCAAGGGAATAAGTTTGAAGTTTGAAGAACAGAGTACTGGAGAGGAGAGAGTTATACAGAGAGAGAACTCCAGTGATCTGCAGAGGGGCTCCCCTGAGTATTCAGCAAAGCACTGATCAGCTCATGTATGTGAGGAAAGTATGCTAGGCCAGAGATAGAACCATCTGAGAGGATTAGAGGGAAAATTACCCAGAGCTTACACAGGGTCAAGAATGGTGCCTTCCCACCCACCCTACCCCCACTTCCCCCAGTCAGACTGGAAATCCTCATGATTCACAGAGCATTAGATAAAGCACCCTGAAGGGTCTTGCCTCACAAACAGGGCGAAATTAATGCTAGATTAATTGCAGTTCTAGACTCACCTAACAAAGCTTAAAAGCAATACTTGAAAGGATCCCACCCAGTTTTAAATAACTTAAAGGCATCCCAGAACAAAGCTCAAGAAGATCTGTGGGACGAAAAACCTACTCAGGACCCAATAAGATAAAATTCACACCCTGTCAAAAATTATCAGGCATGAAAAAAAGCTAGAAAATACAATTGATAATGAGGAGAAAAATCAACAAATCAAAGAGACCAAGAACTGACATATGTTAGAGAATTAGTAGACAAGGACATGAAATCAGTTATTATAACTCTATTCCATATGTTCCAAAAGCTAGAGGAATAAAGGCATGGAAGAGGTACAAAAAAAACCCCATATCCAACACCTGGAGGTGAAAACTACGATGTCTGAGATGAAAAATATACTTGATGAGATTAAGAGCAGATTTGAACGAATATGAGTAGAGCACCAGTGAGGTCTGAAACACCTTCAGATGGCCCACTGGAGGGGTGGGATAGGCCTAATGAAATTGGAGTTCTCAAAGGAGAGGAAAGAGAGTAGGGGACAGAGGAAATACTTAGTTGCAATGAAACCAGCAAGAAACATGGAGAAAACACCAAGGGATATCTTAAATTACTAACAACAATGAAACAAAAACTCAGCATATCCCTAACTTCCTCTTCATTATATAAAAAGTGGGTCTATTCACAATGGTCAGACTTTATTTATATTTAAAGAGGTTATAGAAATGGATTGGCAAGTTATGGACTGGGAGTGAAAGAAGGAGGAGAAAAAACTATCCAGGCATGAAGGCAGAGATGCAACCATGGAATCTTTAATAAAATTTTCTAACACTTCATGCACCTGACCAGTGTCACCAAGACCATGCTTCCGAGGTCAGTGAGGACGCCCAACGTCACAGAGCATGGAGCCAGCACTTTCGTTCAGGTCACTGTCTTACCTACTTTCTTTAGTCTGCCTTCTTCCTCTCAGGCCTTAATTTTTGACTTCTTGGAATTATTGCCTTGGTCAGTGTTTTTCTTCTTATTCTTTTTCAGTCACTGGATTTTCTCTTGCTCTGGAAAAAAAAAATGCTGTGGGGGAGGGTGGGATATGTGTCATTTCCAAAGCTTATAAGACAAAGACAATTATCAATTATATTTCCTTTTGCTCATTTTGTATTTGTAAAGTAGAAATTCCAGCTACTGTTTCATCACTTATCACTCATACACTGGAAAATGCTCATTTATTCATTATTTACATGATGAGTATCCTTGTTCATTTGTTTTTTCTTAAGGAATCTTTTCATTTCTTAGCTTGATTTTGCATCTGTGATTTCTTACATTTCCATCTTAAATAAAAATAAAAAGAACTATTGGTAGAAATCTAGAATGATATTTATTATCAAGTTAAGTATACTTTTAGGAGTTTCCCTGCCTGCCCTCCCTCTCCACTCCACATACACCTAAATATTGTTTTCACTGAAGTTGAAATTCTTAAAATATAATCAAGATTTTACCTAACTAAAAATTATTCTATACCCTATTATACACAAACATCAAGCAAGACCTACCGGAGGATATAAAAACAAGTAACATTGACACTTCCCATGGAGAGTCCACAATCTAGAAGCAGATTTAGGCAAGACAAAACTAAACAAAATTCAAGCCAAACCATTCTAAGTACTTCCTTATTAATGGGTATTTTTCTGAATAGTTTGTTCAGATACCAAAACAAAACAAAACAAAAACACTTCAAGTTACAAAATTCTTGTTCTTTGTTCAAAATCAATTCAACATTAGTTGAGGCAGTATTCAGGCCTGGACTCATGAAATCCAACATGAATGTATGATTTTAAATAGTGCTCTTAAAGTTTTAGTCTTAACTAGTATTATTGTATGTAAACATACACCAAAAATACATAAAAATTATTAGGGCTATATTAAGCTTATGAAACTTAGAAACATGCTACAAGTCAGTGGGCCAAAAAAAATGAGCATCTTATAGCCTAGAAGTTTTGACATCCGGAAACAAACCTTGCTTTAAGCAATACGGGCACTACTTGTATATCTGCTTATCTTCTTCTACTTACAAAATAATTGCTAGAAATGGTTGTGTCTAACAAATATTATTATACTTGTTCATAATACATTATTCATAGTGATGTATAGTCTTGACATAATTGTAACTATGAAAGGCAGACCATGCAGTGAAATATACAACAGTTTGCCTTACAACTCTTTCTTGACCTCCTCACTTTCCCAAAAATTGCAAAGGGGAAGTAAATAGCTATAGTGCTGCACTAACTGAATATAGAAAAAGAGAAAGATGCCAAGGAGAACTATTAAATTTATTTTATAATTATTTTTTCTTTCCAATTCTCTGGACCAGCCACAGCCAGATCCATCATGCAGAAATCAGAAACTGTGGTTCAGATGACCGAGCAATCAGGGTGGCAGGGCTGCCCGTCCATTTGTCAGACTCAGCCAGACAAGGACAGAGCCTAAAGGAGCTAAGTGGAAGAGTGAGCACGCGTTATGTTCTCTGGCCTTGGCAATGGAGGTAGAATGTCAATGGGCAAATGGATGTCTGGGAGCAATGGGAAAAGAGAAGCACCTGAGTCTGGGAAAGGAGCCATGAACAGTGGGCTAAGTGAAAAGTGCCTGGGGACATTTGTGTGTTATTTCTGGAAGAAAAAATAAAAAGCTACTTGCAGCAAAATAGCTTTATTTCCATTTCTGAACTGTTTTATAGGTGATTTCCATAGAAAGACTTTTCCCCTCTAAACAATCCAGCATACATACTCTGAGGATTTTCTCTTTTCTATCCTAACAGCAGTGTTCATATCCTAACACTCTTGCAGTTAAAAGTGCTCTACTCTGCTTCATCATCTACACCTCCTGTCTTTCCTTTGTTATAAATGCTCTGCCTAGCAAGACAAAAGATTCTTTCTAGAAATAGCAAAGAGATGAAAGTGGAGGAATGAGGGAAGGAAGGAGTTTGGGAGGGGAGGAAAGAGGAGAAGAAGAATGAAGGGATACAGGAGGAGGATAAAGCAGGAAGGCGTGGCCTATGGCATCTTTGTTGGTCTATTGTTGCCTTTCTTTCTCTGGGCTGGCCTTGCTGATAGCTGCAGCCTAGGTAGGTGACTGCTGCTGCTGCTGCTGCTGCTGCTTCAGGTGCTCTTCACCATTGTGATGCATTAATGAAGTGGCGCTGCCCCGTCAGACCTCATCAGCAGTCCTGTGCAGGCAGAATGAAATCACTCCTATTGACCCCCTGGCATATTTATAGCCTCTCTCTTTCTGCTGAGACTGGTAGTTTTCACCTTCCCTTCCCTGTGTTGTGTTTATTCAGCAGCACGCTAAATCACACCCGGGCACAAGTGGAGCATTCATCAGGAACCACGAGCCCCTCTTTCAGTCTGCCAAACCTATCCAATTACTGGGGCTGGAAGAGCCTGCACAAACCCTTCTGCCAGGCAAGTTCTCTTGTTTGCACCCTCTAAAAATAATACCTTCTGAGCTCCGCACGCTTCCCCATCCAATCTTCACATTGACTTTGAACTGGCAGAGCACTCATTTATTCTTCATTGGCTTTGTCTCCGAGATCCCCCTTTTCTTCTTAAACAATGAGAAAGAGATGCTGCATTTCTTTCTGGAGGGGATGGGAGAGGATGTGGGTAGATCCACTTCCCATTCTTTTCTCTATTTTCTTGGCTACCTCTTCAGATGTGCAAGTTGTACAGTCAGGTTCTTCTGAAGGACAGCTGCACTCTGGTCCCATGCTGCCCTCTGTCTTTCTGTTTCTTGCTAAAGATGTTACAGATTTCTTTAACAAGCAAGCTGGGAGAAACAGTTAAAATTACTGGAAAAATTGTGTCACTTCGATTGAAAGTCATAAGAGCTACATCCAGGCATTCCTTTAAAAGTTGACAGATGATAGTAAATTGTTTAAACGTATGTCTCTCTTAACATATATATATTAATTTGTTAGGAGTTTTGGTTTTTTACCAATATTTTTACATTTTCTACTTTTCTTAATGTATCCTAGTTTTTAGATTAGAAAAAAAGCAAAGATTAATAGTATTAGAGCTAAATCTGTGGCTTGCAATGCTTTCTGAAGCTTATTACAATGGAATATTTATGATTTAGGATTTTTTGAAAATTATTAGAGAGTTGTATAACAGCAACAAAACCTACCTGGGACTCAGAAAACCCAGATTCTTGTCCCAGCATCTTTCCCTCTAACTAGAATTGTGACCTTGTAAGTCATTAATCACTCTGGGCTTTAGCTCCCTTATCTATGGTTCTGTCTAGAGCTAACACATCCATACTTACAAGCATAGGACCGAACAAAGGAAGCCAGACCAAATGATCATTTGATTAATAACCAAGCTATTTATGAGACCTGGGACAAAGGTTTATTACTTCCCTTATCCCCAGAGACTAATGCATAATAGCTGGTAAAGCCACAGGAGTAACACACAAAGCATACGGAAGACACCTAGATCAAGCATCAATCAACCTTACAGGGTGTGCTGGTACATACTTAACGAGTTCTAAAAAAAAAAAAATTAAACTTATTTGTAGCCTTTGCCAATTTCTGTGATGTAAATATCCTCCACCGTGGTAAATTTCAGCTACCATCTTGATTTCACTGATGGAAGAGCTAGAAAAAAATGCTAAATAAATTCTTAAGAGCTCATACAAGGGCACACCCCACCTCCTTCCAGAGATCAATTGGGCTTTGAGTGGGAAATGATAGAATTTCATTGACAGCCAGAGATATAAGATGAAGACAATAAAGAAAAGGAGCTTATCTTAATAGAGTTGTTTCGAATACTTCTCAAAAATGTCATAGCAATATCCCTAACAACATTGAAAAAGGAGTGGGAAGTATTTTGATGCCTCCAATCTGTCTGGATATGTAATCCAAAGACAACTTAGAAGAAAATTTATTTAAAATTTCAAAGTAAATTTAAAATGTAAACTTTGCATTCTATTTTGGGGATATCTGGGATGATTTTAATACAAAAATCATATAAAAATAATAAAATCATATAAACATTCTTTGCAAATTGGAAAAAAAGCTTTCATATACTCCTAGCATACCAACATGTAATTTCAATAAAAGACTGTAAACTCAAACCACAATTTGAAGGATTTAGAATGGTTTTTCCCATAAAGGAAAGAAGAGTGGAAGGAAAGGAGAGAAGGAAGGGAGGAAAGAAGAGAGATGGGAAGGGAGGGAGGCAGGCAAAACAAACTATATAAAAACAGTATCACATGGAAGGAGAGATGATTAGAAAGGTAGATGCCATAATTGGGAAATTCTTGTTATCACTAAGCTCACCATCACCCTCCATGGCAAAAAGGTTCCAAATTTCTGAGCTCACTGGCTCACTCATGAACACTTTTTCATTTAAGTTATTGCCTATTTAGGCAAAATTTGAAGAACAACAGAGGAGGTATTATAAAAGCCACCAAAATGACTGTGTTAACGGGAGTAAGTTGAGAGACCACAATGATAGTGCGAATCAAAAACAGACATAATGAATTATGAGGAGATAAGAGCTTTAGTTTAGAAGAAATTAATACCCTAATGGCATGAATATGCTTAGAGAGGGAAAATGAGCACTAAGCTAGAGGCCTTGCTGCCTCAATTAGAAAGGGAATATTTTAAATAATTTGGACGAATGGATCAAAATTTTTCTGAATTGATGTTGGACCATTCACTTTAATCTCATAAATATTCATGTCACATCTGTGAGTACAAAATCCCAAGTGGAACAGAAATTGATGTAAGAAAAGGGGCAGGCACAGGAAGTGTGGTCAAAAATAAAGATAAGATCATCACCCTAAAGAAGGTAAGGATATAACAAGGGTTGATAAGCTGCTATCTAAAGTACAAGGACGAATGACAGCTATGATAAAAGGTAAAAATACAGTGCTTGAGTAATAAAATCCAGTGGAGAATTAGGAAATGCACTGTGACCTGATTCTATTTCTATTCATAAATTCCTTTTTTTCTTGTAAGTAGTATATTTTGCCTATGCAGGAGAAAGGTAGGCATTTTTATTTCAACTAGATACATTCAGCTTCACCACATTTTTTCTTTTCTCAAGTATCATTTAGCCATGAAAAAAGAACTTTCTGTCTTACCAGCTAAGTCAAAAGGAGTTTACAAATTGCCTACCCTTCTGAAGACCTTGCATACCAATTCTTAGCGATGAGCTCACAGAGTTGTGTGGTCCGAAAACAGTTTCATATACTTCCCAATGCTGAAGTGAAGACTTGACTTTCAGGTTCCTGACATGAGTCTACAAATATATATGTTGAAAACATATTTTTTTCCACTGAGGGACATAATCCAGAAATTCACCTTAAAAAAACTGTTAATGTCCTATTGAAATTTTCTGTAATTTTAAATTTTAATAATGCAATTCCAGTGCTTATTACTCAAAAATAGAGGAGCATATGGATGCTGCCAAAAAGCAAAAATAAAAAACAGTCACCACCTGGTCCACAAGTTGGTTTACCTTTATGTCACTCAATGCCTTACACCTCATAGAAATCTAATAAATTTGATTAGTTAGTCAGGTGTATAGCTAAACATCCAAATACGTTAAAATTTCAGGCAATGAAATTTTTAGCTTTCTTATAACATTTTCTTGGCTCCACAGCTAAGGGCCCCATTCCAACCCACCTCAAGATGTAAAGCCAAGGATAGACAGTTTATCACCCCTCTCAAAACTTCCCCTAAGGTGAGGTTGTGATGGTTAACAAGTAAAATTCTGTAATACACTGAAACCATCCTTAAGCACTATATAAGTATGACCTTTTATTATAGCCCTGTTCCAATCTGCAACTCCATAGCTTTCTTTTCCCCTAGTTGTATATTTCCTCAAAAATGGACGTTGCTCTAGTTAGGCTACTAATGAAAGATTTGTTTACATTTGCAGGCCTTGCAAAATTCTAAAGAACAAAGTCCAACCATCCAAGCAATATTTTAAAGAATGAGATCTGTGTTAACACTTAAAGACATTTTCCACGTTGACCTCATGAACCCCAAAAGAAGGATGAAAGAAGTCTGGAATTAATGAATTTAGGGAACCTGTAAAACTCCAAAAATGTTTAATGCAAAAATGTGATATTTTTGGTAGGAAATTTCCATTGCTTTCAACAGATTTGGGAAGGGACCCAAAAGATGACTAAAAGCATCTGCATTTTAACCAAAATATCATTGATCTTACAATTCAAATGGAGCTTAATTTGGGTATTTTCTAATTTTTTTTTCCTGAAACTTACCCCTAGTCTTTATGTGGTTGCCAATACTTTATGTTGTATGGAAATTATTATATTTATACATCTTAAATTTTAACTTTTAGTTAAAACATACAAACTATTATCAAACCCTATCCTAAATTTCAATTTTATTTATACTATTTTGGACTTAATACTTACTACCATTTAGAATTTTTGTGATTCCCCTCTATACTTCAAATTTTTCTTTCTTTCTTTCTTTCTTTTTTTGAGACATAGTCTCACTCTGTCACCCAGGCTGGAGTGCAGTGGCATGATCTCAGCTCACTGCAACCTCCACCTCCAGAGTTCAAGCAATTCTCTGCCTCAGTCTCATGAATAGCTGGGATTACAGGCACCCGCCACCATGCCCAGCTAATTTTTGCATTATGACGTAACACATCAAATGCATGACCTGCTGACACAGTGGAAATGCAAAGGTGATTTTCTTCCCTTTGCCTTCCCTTTTATGCTCTCTATCCCATAAGAAATATTATTATGTTGAAAATAGCACTAAGTCAAAATCAATGTAATCACCTCTGGTTTTATTCACTATATTCAGAAGCATAATTTCCACGGAGGAAGAATAACTGGTAAAAGTAAATAAATAGTCAGCTTTTGATGTTTCTCTTAAATGCAGTAATTTGTTCTATAATGAATTCGTGTTCATAAAAAAATTTAAACCCTACATAGAGATACAGTTAGAAATTGTTAGTGTCATATTACTGAAAATGACCATATTCTCAGACAATTATTTTATTTGTGTGCCCTAAGTGAAAATTTTTACACTTTTATTTGAAAAGCTTTTTACATAAATTCATTTCTTTCTCACTGATGCTCTTTTTTTAGAAATACATTTTTTTACAAAAACACTTTCAAAAATATTTCTAACATTGCAGTGTTGGATAATACACATGGAAAAGAATGCTAGTGATGCAAAGGCTTCATTTGTTGTTTTAAATTCAACTCTTACCTCCTCAGAAACAAACTTTTAAAGTTGTCTCATGGCTTATATCTAAAAAGAAAAACTCATTATTTAAAAATTAGAAACTATCAACAGCAGTCTCTTCAATAAGACAAGGAATAAAAACTGGTTTCTAATGACTGCAATGATACAGATTTTGAGTTAGCCCAAAGGTAAAGTTCGGATCTCTGGTTTCGGATTACACAGACATTAGATTTATTGATGTTATGAAATAGTTGCCTGTGTCATTTACATTTGGGGACCTAGTAATAGCATTTTATTGCTACCTAAGACAAGACCTGCACGTGCATGTTTTTCCAATCTCACAATGAATGAGGATCTGAGTTAAAGCACCTGGGGAGCAAACGAAAGGATAATAAAGCATCTTATGGGGGTCCTCAAGGGACTAATAACTCCAGGTGGTCTTAGAAATCATGGAGAATATCCCATCAGGAGCTCTTGGGAGGAAGCCAGGGATATGCAGCTGGTACAGCGTTCAAGTCCTCTTCACAAGCTGCCTCAATACACACCCTTGTCACTCCTCGGGGCAGCCCTGCAGTGAGCAATAATTACATCACATTCTATAGATTATCTCTCTCCAAGTAATTTCTCAAATGTTCCCGTTAAGTTATATTTTGAAAGTCACTGACAACCAGCTAGGGAAAGACAATGAGAAGTGCAACTGGTAAGCACAGGGACTAAAATTAATCAGAGGCCATTGAGAACCCCTCACCCATCCCGCCCCATCCTTCTCTTTCCTTTCTCTGGCCTTCAGGGACAAAAGGCTTTGGAGGCTTTTAGAAACTGGAGAATGCAAAAGAACCAAGCAGGAGTTCTCCTCAACTCCTATGTTCACACACTGAATTCTGGTTTTGCCCCTTAACAACTGTGTGTCCATTAGATTGTGTTTCTTTAGGTCTCAGTTTAACGTCCAAGGAAACAAGGAAAAGACCCACTTTACAGACTCATAGCTGTTGATATGACTCAATGAAATAAAGCACAGAAGGTGCCTGGGCCAAATGCCTGCACATGGTATGCAACCGAGAAATTATCGTGTGAATAGTTAGAAGTAATTGAGTAGCTTATCCCTGCCAGGCACTGTGTCAACTTTTTCAACCATCGTACAGGGAGCATCGAGGGGCTTGTAGTTGTGTCCAAAATTCAGCCTTCAGAATCCAAAACATTAAAATGCCTGCCAGTTCCGCCTTACACTTACTCTTTGACTAGACAATTGTTGAGCACTTTTTATCTGTCAAGCTGCACATTTGAGACTGGAGATACAAAAACTTAACAAAATTACCTTCATATTTCACAATTGAATGAGAGACATATGTATACTAACTTTAAACACTAACTGCAAAAAGCAATCATGAATAGAGAAAAGATTATTAAAGATGAACCTTATAAAAATTTTCTCAAATGTGAATGTTTTTGTTTTTAAATGAATTTACTCCCATGTTTACTATTCTATTCTTTAACACATAATTCTGTTAAGGGGCTGCATTTTGCCACCTCTACAAATGGTGTTTACATTGGAACAAAGTGAAAAATGACAGACCCAAGCAGTATCAATCAGTCCTAGATGCTGTGATGCATCATTTCCAGCATTTCATAAGTTTGATAAGGTCCCTCAATTTTTATGGTAGGCTAAGGATATGGAACTGTTAATAGGGCAACAACAAGAAGAAAAACATTCCCCCCACCCCCGTTGCCACCGAACCCTGCCAACACTAGCTTTTGAAGACAGTCACTGCTGAAGCCTCACAGTACTGACTCAGGTACCTGTGAAAACAGAAGTAGAAAAAACAAAAATTGGAGGTGGTGTAGCTTTAGGAAAATGTAGGAGAGGATTGGGAGAGAGAAACTGCTCCAGCCTTATCCCAGGCCAAGGTAAGTCACTACCTCCATGCCTGCAGAAGCCTGCCTGGGCTTCCACTACAGCTTCCCCCAGCTCTGCACAAAGGGAAGCTAAGGGCTTAGTCCAGAAGTTCAGCTCAAGCTCAACTCTGAATATGCGTCTCAGCATGAGTTACATATCTAATGAGGTACATATCTAATAAGTAGCCAGCATTTAAAATCAAAAACAGCTTCGTTAAATGCTTATGATTGTGTGATATAAATGTTTACTCAGCACACAGCATCGAATTTATCCTCAGAGCAAGGCAATGACCTGCCAGGAATGACACGATTTAAACTGTTTCTTAGGCCCAAGTAGTGTTTGCAAACGCTTTAGAGACTTCCTTATAAATGTAAGCTGGAAAGCCAAGCTAAGCCTTTGTTTATAGCATCTGAAATCTTAGAAAATATTCTAGCCTGCGAATTATGAATTAGCAAGATTTCATTATTTTTCCTGAAGGAAATGGGAGGCACTGGCCCTGCCGAAAACCCAAACAAGTCCTTAGAACTATGGCATTAAAAAGCCTCTCAGTATTTACAGGCCTATATGTGGGGAAAGGTCAAGGCCTTAAAGAAGCACATCATTTAAAAGAAAAAAGCAGAGAGAACATCAGCATTTTCCTCTGAAAAGTCTACACTTTTCCCCTGGAAAAGGAGCAATTATCTGAGCCACACAAGATGTAGCAATGTTCTACTTGCCCTTCTAGATACAGAAAATAAATGTATTTCAATGTGAGATCTATCTTCAGTAACCTTTCCCTGCCCTGTTTAGCACCTTCGGCCATCTCTTGGAACCCCCTGAGTCTCTAGTACTATTTTCATGCCTTAAAATCAGACCTTTTCCCTCACCTCCTTCCCGTCCACACTTTCTTTTGTCCAGTTTGCTATTTCAAATGAGTTCATAATAAAGAGGAGAAATCCCTGGACTTGAGATCAGAGGTCCTGACTTTGAGTGGTTTGAATTCATGGAAGGAGTCTAAGCATCAGTATTTTTAAAAACTTCCCAAGCATTCTGATGTGAAGTTAGAATTGAGAAGTAACTTGCTGTTAACTGATGATATTAATACTCAACTAGAACGCCTCCTAGTAAGCAAGTGGATAAACTCCTGTTTTTCATTAATATAAATTTATTGCGATACCCAATATAAAAAAGAATTGTCTAAGGATGAATGTTTGGGCTCTCTGGCAAGCTAGTGAGAAAGCAATCTTGTGTGTCAGTGAGTCTTCTCAAATCTCCAACTCTGCCTACCCAGAAACTGGTCCTAACTCAGACAATACTTGTTCTTCCTTTTGCTGCCAGTAAGGGATACTAAGGGACAGCACGAGATAATCAAAATGCCACAGGGTTCATTCATTTAATTGTATTCATGGTTGAACTCAAGCATGATCTCATAAGTGTAGACCTTTTCCAATTTCCTAGGAAACAGAGTCTGGTAAACTGTATTTTTCCCTGAAAGAAGGACATTTTTGTTTTTCAGAGGAGAAAAATATAACCCAACATGCAAAACAATATGCTTAAATAAAAAGGTAAACCTACTCATATCTCCTATGTAAAGCCCAAAGAACTGTTTGAGGGGAGATCAGGAAGCATGTAAGTTTGCTGATATCATATCTTATCAATAAAAATCAATCCAGGCAAATATATTACCAAACCATTTCTGGAAAGCAGCTGTCTTCTCCCCAAATTAAGAGTAAGCTTCCAGCCAGTCATTTGGATAACATTCATTAAAAAGCATACTCTCACCTTCACTTCCAGATGAACCTTCTTGCTGTGATTCATAAACATGGCTGTACCTCTAAATAGACTGGGACTTCCTTTTGGTATGTTAACAATATTTACTAAATAATATTTAAGGGTGGCTCCTGGGAATTCATATTATTGAAAAATTTCTTGTATAAAGATGGATTATTCAATAAATAGGGTTGGGATAACTAGAAGTTCTGATCCAAAAAAATAAGTTGGATCTGTCCCTCACACATTAAAACAGGATAAAGTTTAAATGGATCACAAACTAAAAATAAATAAGTAAAACGATAAATGAACAAGAAAGAAACTATCATAAAAAATTTTTTGTCACCTCTGAATAAAAACAGCTAGAACACATGACAGAAAAGATAAATTCAGCAATGTAAAAACTATATATTAAAAATAATAACTATATATTTATATATGTTACAAATACATAAATGTATATCTTGTGTGTATTTGTGTGTGTGTGTGTGTGTGTGTATATATATATATATATATATATATATATATAAAAAATAAGTAAAGTCAAAAGTTAAACACCAAACTGGAAAAAAGCATAACTTATATGACACTTAAAATGTTGATTTTCTGGCTGGGCATGGTGGCTCACGCCTGTAAGCCCAGCACTTTGGGAGGCCAAGGCAGGCAGATCACAAGATCAGGAGTTCGAGACCAGCCTGGCCAATATGGCGAAACCTCATTTCTACTAAAAATACAAAAATTAGCCAGGCATGGTGGCAGGCACCTGTAGTCCCAGGTACTCGGGAGGCTGAGCAGGAGAATCACTTGAACCCTGGAGGTGGAAGTTCCAGTGAGCCAAGATCATGCCACTACACTCCAGCCTGGGCGACAAAGCGAGACTCTGTCTCAAACAAAAACAAAAACAAAAACAAAAACAAAAAACTGATTTTCTTAATGTAAAGGATTCCAACAAATCAATATGGAGAATTCTTGGAGAGAAAGAGAAAGACATGTTGGAGAGGGTAGGCAGGACAATTTAACATTACCCATGTCACTCCTTACCCAACTCCAGGCAGCACAGCATGGAGAGAGGTACCATCCACTTACGGAAGAGAGAGGAAAGTAAAGTGTAGGACTTTGCACCAGCCTCAAATACTGTCTCACCATAGTAAAACTCAGTACTACGAGATCCCCACAGCCCCTGACTCCAAGCTGGTACACATGGACTGAGTCTCTAGACTTGCTCTGGCACCAGAGGGGAACCCATAGTACCTACAAAATAAACTTAAGTTCCAGCTCGCATCAATGCCAGCCAACTTTAGTGACCTTGGGCTCCAAATAACTAACCCACGGTGACAGGCAGAACTCGGCAGCTGGGGGCTTGGCTTCCAGACCAGTGCTATGCCAGCTTCAGTGGCCAGAGAATTCCAGTCGAGCAATGCAACCAGCCATAATGGTCCTGGACTTAGGATACCCTCTAAAGCTGAAATTGCTCCAGCAGGCACAGGCTCAGTCACCGCAACAAATGACCTGCCTAGAATTTCTGGACAGGTTTACTGTTGAAGGATATTCCCAGGCAAAGCCAGACTGCGAAGGCTGGAGTAAGTGCCTACTTCTTCAATGTGCATTCATTAACCTACAACAAGGATCAAGAACATTCAAGGAAGCATGACATCATCAATTGGGCAAAATAAGATGTCATCATAAAGAGGTGGAGATATATGAACTCTCTAACAAAGAATTCAAAATAGCTGTTTTAAGGAAGCTCAAAGAACTTCAGTAATATAGAGAAACAATTCAGAAATTCATCAGATACTGAAACAATTTTAAAAATCAAATTATCGAGCTAAAATAATATAATGAATAAAATTAAAAATGAAATAGCATCAACTGCAGAGTTGATCAAGCAAAAGAATATGTAAACTCAGAAGGGCTATGTGAAAATATATGGTCAAAAGAGAAAAGAGTGAAAAGAAATGAAGAAAGCTTACAGGATTTATGGGGCAGCATCAAAAGTCATTGGTGTTTGAGAAGGAGGAGAGAAAGATAAAATGGTAGGAAGCTTAATTGAAGAAATAATAGCAGAAAACTTTCCAGATCCAGAGAAAGACATTGATATCAATGTACAGGAAGGTCAAAGGTCACCAATCAGATTCAATCCAAATAACATTACCCTATGACATATTATTCATCAAACTATCAAAGATCAAAGACAAAAAGATGATCCTGAAAGTAGCAAGAGAAAAAAAACACATATAAGGAAGTTCTTATAAGGCTACAGAGGATTTCTCAGCAGAGACCTTACAGGGCAAGAGAAAGTGGGATATTTTAGAGTGCCGAAGGAACAAATTGCCAACCAAAAATACTGTATCTAGCAGAGCTGTTCTTCAGAGATAAAGACTTTCCCAGCCAGACAAAAACTGAAGAAGTTCATTACCACTAGACATGTCTTACAAGAAATGATACAGGAAGTACTTCAAGCTGAAGAAAGGGCACCAGTGAGTAACATGAAAGCATCTGAAAGTAGAAAACTCACTGATGAAAGTAAATGCAGTCAGTCTTTTGTATTTGTGGATTCCCCCTTCACAAATTCAACCAACTGTTGATCAAAATATAGTGTTCATGTAATACAGAATCCACCAATACAGAGGGACAATGTTTTGCATCCGTGGGTTCTGCATCCCACGTGACTCCAGGACTTGAGCATCCCTGGATTTTGGTATCCACGGGGGGCTTATGGAACCAATTTACCGCAGATACTAAAGGTTGACTGTATGCAGTCAAATTCAGAATACTTTAATAATGTAATGGTGTTATGTAAATCATTTGTATCTTTAGTACAAAAATTAAAAGACAAAACTATTAAAAACAATAATTATTGATAATTTGCTAAGGGATATGGAATATAAAAAGATGTAAATTGTGATATTAAAAATACAAAATGTGAGGAAAAGTGGAGTTGAAGTGTAGAATCCTTTTGGAAACAAAGTTAAGTTGTTATCTTAGTTTCATGTTGCTATAACAGAATAACTGTGATGGGTCTTTTATAAAGAAAAAAGTTTTATTTAGCTCATAGTTCAGCAGGCTGTGGAGCTCAAGGTTATGGCCTTGGCTTCTGGTGAGGGCTTTTGTGCTGCATCATAACATGGTGGAGAAAGTCAAAGGGGATGTGGACATGTGCAATGAGAAGCATCCTGGCTTTTTAACAACCAACTCTCGCAATAACTAATCCATTTCCACTGGAACTAATCCAGTCTTGCCAGAGCAATAATTCACTATGGTGAGAATGGCACTGTGCCGTTCATGAGGGATCTATCCCAATGACTAAAACACCTCCTGCTAGACCCAGTGGGCCCACCTGTCAACATGGCCACATTGGGCATTAAACTTCAACAGGAGTTTGGGTGGGAAAAAAACTCAAACCATATCCAAACCATAGCAGTTGTTATCAGCTTAAAAACAGCCTATTATAACTATAGGATGTTTTTGTAAGCCTCATGGTAAGCACAAAGCAAAAACCTGTAATGTACACAGTAAAAATAAAAAGCAGAGAATCCAAATATACTACTAGAAAAAAAATCACTGAACCACAAAAGAAAAAGAGTAAGAGAAGAAGAAAGGAAAAACAATGATCTCTAAAACAAATAGAAAACAAGTAAGAAAATGGCAATAGTAAGTCATCTCCTATCCATAATTACCTTGACTGTAAATGCATTAAATTCTGTAATTAAATTAGATAGAGTTGCTAAGTGAATTTTTTTTTAAATCCCAACTATATACTGTCTAAAAGATACTCAATTCACTCATAAGGACACACATGGACTGAACATGAATGAATAGAAAAAAATATTTCATGCAGATGAAGACCAAAAGAGAACAGGGATAGCTATACTTATACTAGATAAAATGGATTTTAAGTCCAAATCTATAAAAAGAAAAATTAATAATAAAAAAAGCCAATAACCCAATAAAAAATGAGCAAAGAATTAGAATAGACAGTTCACAGGACAAGAATAGCAAATGGTTTGTAAACATATGAAAGGATACATTTTTCATAACAAAAAAGTAAATTAAAATAACACTGAAATATCTTTTCACAGTTCAGATGGTACAAATTCCAAAGTTTGGCAACACACTTTTGTTGAAAAAGGTATGGGGGAACCAGGTCCCTTTCATGTGGAGGGCAAATTAAATATCTGTGGTAGACAATTTAGCAGTTGCTGTCAAAATTACAAATGGAATGTCATTCAACCTGATAGCTTCTCTTCTTAGACAAACTTTCACACATATGAAAATATAAATGTACAAAGGTATTCATTCAACATTCTTTATAATAGTAAAATATTTGAAATAATCCAAATGTTTATCAAACAGAGTCCATTTTATTAAGTTATGGCTGAATTACACATTGGAGTACCTGGATGCTATAAAAGAAGATTGGGAAGTTTCTTTATGTACTAACATGTAATGATCTCTAAGGTAACAAATCAAAGGGCAATGCAGCCTATACATCATTGGATTATTTGTGTTTTGAAGAAAGCAGAGAGAAAGAGTCACTGATTTTCCTTGTTACCTGAATTTTCAGTCTCAGAAGAGTCACTATAATGACTGCCAAAATTTTTTATTCAAAATTCCCTGTCCAAATTGATAAACTGCTAAAATGAATCCACATGCAGGCAGCAACAAATGTTATGCATGATTCCAGGCAAGACCAGAGCGAGCTTCAATCATTTCTCAGGTGTTTTCCAGGAGGCATTGAGTCTCTGTTGATGTCTAATCAAGTTCCACATTATTGTCATCATCTTCTCCATATGCCAGGTAAAAATACCTTCTAAAAGCAGAAAAGAAAATATGTAAGCCTAAAAGATATAGAAATGTTTATACATATGAAGAAAAGTTTGAAGTGATAAAGCATATTGAGAGAGGTGAGTTCATAAAAAGAAAGTATAATTTATAACTGCCCCTGTAGAGTAGTGCTTCTCTAACTTTAATGTGCCTACAAAGCAGCAGGGGATCTCAGCAAAATGCAGATTCTGATTGAGTAGGTTTGAATTTGGGTCTGAGATTCTGCATTTTCTGACAAGCTCTCGGGTGATTTCAATGCTTCTGATATGCAGAACACATTTTGAAGCACAAACTTTGTTGTCACTGTGTACTGCACGTAATGAACGTAATGAACTCATGATGAGTTCACTAAGTGTTGAATATTTAGGTTGTTCATGCAGCTATCCTTGATATACAACAATTGGACAAACGAGCTGTAGTTTTTGATTGCCTGGGAATATATTATTTTTACTTGAAAAATAATATAAGCTCCAACTATCCAAAAACTTGCAATCCAACAGGTTTTCAGAAATGTGTGTGTGTGTGTGTGTGTGTGTGTGTGTGTGTATTAACTTCTGTATACATAAAATAACTCTGGAAAGCTTTGTAAAAATAACAAGAAATTTAATATTGAATAGATGGGAACCATGAATAGTAGGCATATTTCACTGTATTTCCTTTTGTACCTTTTGAATTTAAGTCATGTGACTACATTATTTTTAAGCCATTTAAAATCCTCCCTTCTGAAACTGATGACCTGTTGAAGTAGGACAAAAGGGAAGAAGGATTAATGCAGGTCTGAATCTACAGAAAGCTTTGCCAGGAAAAACATGGTGCTGAACTGACCCTGGCCAGTTTGCAATAATTTATATCTACACACAGAAGCTAATAAGCATACAATGGCCATATACTTATTAAATGAGAATTTTTTATTTTTTCAACAATGTTGTGAAAAATATTTACTAAAACTATACGTAAACAGGATTTTTAAATCACCTCATATGGAAGAACTTACACTGAAAAGAAACAGTAGCCTATCTACCAACCTCTATTTAGGATAGATCCACAGAGGAAGCCATTTTTAATATTTTCTTCCCATGATTATGTCTATGCTGACAAGTCTATAACTAGGCTTATGCACCTAGTTATAGATTCGGGAATTTATACATTAATCATATACTCTCTGCTGTGATGGATGAAGATTTAGCTCACACCATTCCTCACCTCCTCCCACCATCCACTTAAAATAGTTATATCAGTATTCATTTTAGGTTTTCCATTTGTTACACTTATAATGGTGAACAATATGTTTTCATTGTTATTTTTTAATCCCATCAATTGACGCATTATCTCTTGACTCCCCACTCTGTATGATGAGAATGTTCTTGCTCTTGCCCTTCCTTGTAGCTCACTCTCCACCTTTGGTCCTCCAAATATTGTCATCTGTATTTTACATTGACAAGCGTATGACATTTACATTCTGTTCTCAATCATAAATATGCAGCCCACATTTCACCCTAAAAGGTTTATCTTAAAAGTTGAACGTTGATATGATTTGACTGTGTCCCCACCCAAATCTCATCTTGAATTGTAGCTCCCATAATTCTCACATGTTGTGGGAGGGGCCCAGTGAGAGATAATTGAATCATGGGGGAAATTCCTCCATACTGTTCTCCTGGTAGTGCATAAATCTCATGATGGCTTTTAAAAGGAAACCCCTTTTGCTTGGCTCTCCTTCCCTTTTTGCCTACCACCATGTAAGATATGCCTTTCACCTTCCACCATGATTGTGAGGCCTCTTCAGCCACATGGAACTGAGTCCATTAAACCTTTTTTTCTTTATAAATTACCCAGCCTCAGGTATATCTTTATCAGCAGTGTGAAAACTGACTAATACAAACATTTAAGGCAGTGTTACATAACTATGACCATAAAATTATTGTTGACTATAGCCAAATAGTATATGATTAAATTTTATTTCTTATGCAGCTTTTTGTTTTTCCTGAAGTTCCTAATTAATTTCTTGTCTTTCTTCCATTAACCATTTAGTAATTTTAAGAACTCAGAATTTCCCCAATACTCTTATTTTTCTTCTAATATATCATCATATTTTTCCAGTCTCTCCCTTCCCAGACTCTTCTATTTTCTGCTGCAATCTGTACCACTGCCTGCTAACATAATTATTTTCTTCAGCTTTTCTTTGCTGCTGTCCTGGGTTGTATCCCTGCCACCTGGTGGGTCTTTTGACTAGAGGGAAAGCTCTTGGCCAATGCATCCCTCTGGCTACTGCAAGAAGACATTGCTCAGTCTAACAAGGGGTTGAGCTTCTTGAAGAAAAGAATATAAAAAGCCAAAATACCATATTCTGTGCTCTTCTTTGCATGCCACTAGAGTAGCAATCTGTCTTTTTGAGGAGTTCTCTATAATGATGATTCAAATAAGGCAATTTGGAACTTGATCTTAATTTAGTTATTTAACTCATGCCAGTTGTGATTCATTCTGTTTCATATTGAAATCTTATACTTTATTTTTATTTCTGGTATTATTTGGCAGACATGAAATAGAACCACTTTTTTATAATAAAGAATGCTTCATTGTCAAAGAAGTTAAAATATCATGCATAGACTAATGATTAAGGTTTTACAATATTTTACTAATGTACTCTGATTCTATTTCCTTTATAATGATCTATTATTTTAGAGTCTACTTCTTGAGACGCTGTTAGATGAGGTAGGGAAGAAGGTATATGATTACTCACCAACCAGATTAACTTTTCACTTTTTGACAAAGTATTATGTCATGGTTATATACAGCCCTGATTCCATTTAAATATCTGTGTGACAAATATTCTGCAGAGAAAAAAAAAAACAGGACTTGAGTAATGTGACTAATTCAGCATACATAATTTGTTAATGCAGTTAGTTCTGATTCAGAACTATGAAATTTTTAGAATTAATGGAATGCATAAAGATGGACAATCTAAGTTTTACTTTCTTGGTAATGGTTCAATTTACACCAAACCCTAACCTTTTTATGAAGAGATCAGTATCTTGAAGACATTTAATGTACAAATGGCTTATTTTGTTCATTTCCATTTTAAAACCAGACCTAGAAAACTTAATTTGTTTTCAGAGCTCACCGTCCCATCTTTTGCTTCTGCTTAGTGAATGTTTACTGAGTGTGTAGTGTTTATGGCTTCCTCCAACTTACCAAGCACAGTGCTAGATTCTCAGACAAATCAAAATAATTGAAATATACACCTCACTCCAAGTATCTAGTAGTATAAATAGAGATATAAGAAATGTACAGATGAAACAAAAAAAAATATTTAGAACAGTTCATTGTCAGAAGTACCTTGTATGGCACTTAGAGAAAGATGAAGAAAGAAAAAAGAGAAACAAGGGCTGGAATGCCCATAGAAGCCTTCATGAAGAGATATGTGATGATAGAGTTAACCTGCAGGTGATTTTGATGCAAACATTTCAAACCAATTTATTGACTATGAAAGACAAGATTTTTCCACGTCATCTGGAGCATTATTTAACTTCTTGGGTATGTTTTCTTTCTCCCTATGTGATGGGCATAAGATAAAAAGATTAATGCTTGCTTTTGAAAGTTGGCTCTAAATGTCAACATTTTTGTGTATGTGTATGATATTGAGTAGTGCCTATTATTATAACTAAAAATCATACGAGAAAAAAATCTTTATTCTTTGCAAGTAACTTGAACTCAGAAGACATGAACACTTTAGAACATGCATGGAAAGTACCTGACGACCAGCCTAAATGCAATGGAGCAGTCATCCCCCATGACTCTCTGGATAAGCTGACTTTCAACACCAGACCCGTAGCCAAGAATTTATGATGTAGAAATATTTCACTTAAAAATAAATATTTCCTGAAAAACCTAAAAACTATGAAAAGCAAAAGTATTAAGTTGAACCATATTGAACTGCTAGTTCTGTAGGTCAAAGTATCAGCAATTTTCTATGGTGCAATAGAGGATAAGACTGTTTTCCAACATGATTTTCCTGGTAGCCATTAACTATAGATCAGTCTTGGCAAAATAAATAAATAAACCTATAAAGGCTACTTTTACTAAATTTAAGGTTAACAATAGATACATCATCTTTAAAGCAATCAAAATGGGCAACCAAACTTTTCTAAATTCTATGAAGTTTCTTGAAGAAGAAACATCCTGAAGATGAAATCTCCTTGAGGAAGATTCCTTTGTGGATCTCTTGCATTGATTGAGAATCACTAGCTTAATAAAATGTGTATTTGCTTTTCTGTAGATTGATTTAATAGATAGTGCTTATACTAGACCCTTTTAGATTTTCATATAGGAAATAAGGCCAAGAAGACAGAGGGAAAATGTTTGTCAGCCTTGACCCAGAGTTCTCAGGACAAAGAAGAATAACATACTGAGATCTATTCAGCCTTGGCTTCTCACAGATCGTTACAACCAAGATGCCAATTAACACTGAATGTGACAGTGGCTTTTGTGATGTGGACAGCTGGCCACTCAAGGATACACAAGGACCACCTGCTCGTATAACATAGGCCACCAAACAGGCACCAGATGGTGACAACATTTGAATGTGATTACTACAGTCACTTTCATCTCGGCTCCATTTGAACTGGACATTAAGAGAAAGAGCTGTGAAATTCACATTTGATTTTTGGAACAATATGGTTCTCTATAAATCTCACATGTATGACTTACTTGAAGCCAAAGAATCATTGCTGGGCATTGGTGGCCCAACAGAAGTTCTACATCATGTGGCAATTACAAACAATTGGCTTTAACAAGATATACTATACCTGCTGAGATACCCGTATGGAAAGCTTAGAGAGAAAAAAATGTAGAAAAATTAACTACAGGGAAAGACTTGAGTGAGGTGATGGATTTGGGGGTAAATAGAAAAGTAAAAAATGTTTTCCAGAAGAGGCAAGTGTCAAAGCAGGAAAGGAGCCAAGATATGCATATTTTTGGCACTATATCCCAAGTCCTTGAAATTTGATCCTGGCTATACAGATTGATAAGAAAGAACATTCTAGAAATTTTTAGACATGCTTATTGCCCGCAAAAACAATGGTGTACTTTTTCAATCAATATGCAATCTCTTCCCAAGATTGAACAAAATGTTCTGTTAAAGTGGTTGATGCCCAAAGCAATACAGAATAGTTATAAAGTAAAACTTATTCAGCAATTCTTGATACATAGTTTGTACTTTGGATGACGAGGAATCCATGATTGTATTTCACAGGGAGGAAAAGACTTGATATATCATATCCAAATCCTTAGAAAAGAAAATAACATTTCTAAAAGCCAGGGATGATGTGTGGAAAACATCAATAAATTATATAATAATCAAAAGCCCATAGAGATTTCACTAACATAATTTATTCTGCATTATAGACTGATGTGGTCTCTACCCATCTATGAAAAAAAAAATCAGATTCCCATTTCCCTAACAATGTAGGTGAATCTTGTTGAGAAGAGCAGCCAGATGTCCAATATGATTTCCTGAATTTCATAATGCAACTAACTTAGCAGGTGACCCTAAGTCTCTAAATCAAATTGTTAGGGCTTTGGAGGTCTCCTAGCTAGGCAAAAAGGGGTCAGTATGAAAACAATTCTGAAAAAAGCTAGAAACAGCAAAAGGAAAGAGCAGGAAAAAATATTGGTGAAATTTGACAAATGTATTTCTCAGCATTATGTCAAACATGTTTACTGAGCTGCACAATTAATAAAAAATATTCTGTACTAGAGTCCCTAATTATTATTCTACACAGGACAGAACACCTCTTCATTATCCCTTTTTGAATTGATTGTGTACATCAAACAGTCGAGATATAAATAAAATATGCCTGCATGCATAATACCCTCACATTAAAGCTGGAGGCAATTAACCTATGATTTTTCATTAATTAAATTAAAATAACCTTCTAAAAAATGTCTAAAACCATAACAGGTTTTTTAGTGTGTATTTTCCTCCCAATGATGCAGAGAGGCTGTTTACCAGATTTATCACAAATGCTGTTTTTGATTTTATCCCCGGCTTGTCTCTAATTTTCTCCTGAGGTTCCAGTCTCATTTAGCTAAACCCAATTACAAAGTCAGAGGTTTGGGGTTCTTTTTTCTATCTTTAAAAAATACCTGTTCTCATCAAGATTTTATTATTATTATTAAACTGTCCAAGCATCTTCTCCTTGAGTTGTATTTCTATTATGTAAGTGGAGAGCTGCAAATTATTTGGTGAATTTGCTGAATACAGGCAGTTGAGCCACATAAATGGGATATCAGAAGGAAAGAATAGGTCTGAACATGGGGTTCCCTCAGCTAAGCTGGAAAGCTCTCCCTACCTCCTGCTTGGGCTCCTTCCAATTCCTCCTTGACTTTTCTGATTTCCAGTCATCACAAGTTGTTCATTCTTCCAGTATTCTCCCCTTTAAAAAGTGTTTTTATTTTAAAATAGGCATAAAAGGTTATATATATATGTATATATATATATATATATATACATATATATATATATATATATATATTCCAAGGAACATAACCTTAATGCTGGAATTACTTTGTTTTGCTTTTCTCTAAACCCCTTCTCAGACCCACTGAAATCCCACTATATTAAGGGACCACATATTCCCAGATTTCTCCCACCTAAAGTCAACTTTTCTTGGTAGACAATTAGGTGTTCAAATTTTTCCTAAACATCATGTATTGGTTGGCTTGTCTTTTCCATATATATTTACTCTTTTTCTCCTATGCAGAGAATCTCTCCCTAAAATATTGTATTGCTTCCTTTTTCTTGATTCCCACCACCATGACCTAATATGGACACTCATAACTTTGCCCTTATACCTAAGTTCTCCCTCTAATTTGACTCATTGCCTCTAAGTTATCCTTCTACAATGTGCACTACCTGTACAACACATCTTCCTACAGCCTTATTTTCCCCTGGACCCCCTCATCACACATCTACATCAGCGTGATAGCAAACATTATCCATTACACATCCGACAAACCTTGTCACCTTTCCCATCTATTTCCTGCTAGGAGAGTTCTGAATTTTGTATTCTAGTGTATTATAGAATCTAGAAGAGATTATAATCTTACCCCAAAAAAATGGCCACTCCTCCATTCTATGATGGTCTACACCAGTCAATGGCTTAGGAGTAGGCACTTGACCCAGTTCTGGCCAATGAACTTTACAGGAAAGTCAGTGTGGGACTTCCATCCCTGAATAAAATGATAGCATCTCATAAGGAGAAAAGATCATACTCCTACACTTTTCTCACAGCTTGGAATACTGGTATAAGAATGTGATGGCTAGTGCTATGCCAATGATAAGAATAGATCAAAAAGACAAAAGATCAAACAACTTTGAGTCCTTCATGACACCAAGCTGCTGAACTAATGCTTCAAGGCTTTTTATTAAAGAAGAATAAGAAATGTAAAGTTAATATACTGAATTTAATTGAAAAAGATCAAAAAATTATTTTACTGTACAAAATGAATCTGCAAAAAGACTACGTAAAGTATTGTTGTTCACCATACCAGGTTTGGAAACTCACTGGCACAGAAGACCATGAATATACCCAAGACTATGTCATGATAAATTACCATAGGAAATTGATAACATATTACACAGGACGTAATGTCAGGGTACACACTATTTCCAATCTGACAAAGACATCGGAGAAATTTACTAAGCACATATTTGAACAATCGTAATCTGTCATGTGTATTCTCAGAAGTCCCTGGAGAAGTACATGCCTGACAGGGTACAATGGCATTGGAGAAGCTATTATAGTCAATTCTATGAATCAGATACCCTGATTCTCCAAGGCAGTTTTTACAAGAGCAGGTCAATGTCTTTTGATTAAAGCTTTATTTTAAAGTGATAAAAGGAATTTGAGGAAGGGTTTCCTTTTGGTTATAATATCTTTTAAAACTACATTAAGATAAGTGCTCTTTATACAAAGGTATCTTTTGACAAAAGAGGATTTTACAACAAATAAATCTTGAAATGATGCATTAATTTAATTTTTACTTCAGATCATCAATAGACCACAATATACTATGCAGAAAAAATTATAATGCACAAAGAGATATAAAATATTAATGTGACTGAATTTTACAAATCTGTACATAAGATTTTTAGGTACTTCAAAGCAGTCAACTTGTAAGGTCATGTCCTTATTGTGATATGCTCTAATATACTCTGCATATGCATCCTTGACAGTGGCAAATCCTCAACCTTTAAGAATGGAATTTTGTTTTTAAAAATTGGCGTTACATTTAATGAAATTAATCTCACCTTGCCAAAAGTCTTGTTCTCCTCAAAGCCCAGGAGAACTTAAGTCTCCCTCATACCCTGTGTCCTGCAAGTCAGGCCATACCAATGTCACATGGGTCACAGGACCCAGATTCCTTGCCATGACTCTTGCACATCAAAGGCCTTATTCCTTCAAATGAGGACTCTGGAACTCTCAGAGTCCAAGGATCCAACCTTTCACCATGCATAAACTGAAGAGCGTTCCTATGATGTAATGTAACTCATGGTCTTAAATCCCCAAATTCATGAGATCAACTCAGTTCTCTTGACTTCATTTCCAAAGGCTCACCTAATCTAATCTATCTGGTACATCTTGACCTACCACTATTACTCCAGTGCTTTTACACCATGGTATGCAGGGCTCATGCCTATACTTCACCAGTGTCCCTGAGAACTCAGGTCTCAGTATCCTCCATATATTATTTTCACACATTCTTCTCTTTTGTGTGGCAGGCTTATCAGCTTCTGTTGATGCCCTTTCAGTACCTTGTTTATAGGGACCATGTCAGAAAGTATGCTGAATATTGCATCAGCCTTTGTAGTCATTCCACCTTTCTTTATCTCAAACCCCATAACTTCCTCCAGCAATGACTCTCAGAAATCATTCCTATTCTTATTCATGCCATTCATTACATACCATCAACCAAAACTCCTATAGATACTCCTTAAAAGGTACAAAAGTTTGGAAATAAAGTACATATGATAGTTCTCATCATTCTCTGACACTAAACTGTAAGGTCAACATGTTAGCTCTTTGTTTCCAAACTTGCATTATATGAATAAATCTAGATAAACATTTTTTATTTAGGATTGGTATCCCCCATCTCTCCAAATTCTCATTACTCACTATCTAAAAATTCAGTATAAAAGATTCAGATGAAGTCATCTGACCTCACTGTCTGAGCTCTTGCCATTCAAATCCAGTACCAAATATTAATAGATTAGGGGATGTCGAAGGATATTTACTGGGCCAAAATTATAGAGCCATATGGAACACAATGACTCACAAGGCCTTCAAGACTTCATTAAAATCAGACTTAATATATTCATATTTTTAATAAATAATGTGCATATGAAAGGAGGATTTGTCAGCCATGAAAAAGCACAGATATGGGACAGACAAAGAGTAGACCTGCCCCAACTTGTGCCCCAAACATATTTCAACATGCTCCTCCTAAAAGAGAGGACACTTTAGCCAAAGCTTTAAGTATTTCTGGTCTATTTCAGTAAAACAAGTTAAAAAAATTGTTTTTAAATGGAACACTATGTGGATCTATATATAGCACGTCCTTCTAGGATATCAGAGTCTAGCCATTCATTTTCTTCAAGCTATTTTACAACTCTCTCTAAGTTGATAAGTGCATAAATTATGTCTTGTCCAGCAGAGTTTTCATTGGTTTCCTTTCTCTGCTGTAGAAAAACTAGTTTTGCCTCCACTTGCAGTTCAATTCCTTTATTCCAAATACATTTGTGCTTTTTTACTTTTCATTTCAACCAGTTATAACATTGGCCATGTTACTTCATTGAATGAGTAAAATAAATTCTGTAACATGTTCATTTTTAAATATTTATATCTGTACGAGTCAGGATTACAACTTTTTCCTGAAAATTATCTTTCTTAACAACCTTAAGGCTATCTTAATGTGGTCTGAATGAATATTTGCCTTAACTAATTTCTCTTATAACAATTTGATGTTCAACAAGTATTTATTTGATTTTAATTGGCATTCCATGTTGACCTTCCTTTTGGAAGAGCATGCAAATATAAGTGTTTCAGTTCAGTGGCAGTTATATATTTTATTATAAACATCAAATAACTCCACTCAAATGTAAATGATGAGCACGCAAAACAGTTTTGAATAAAGATGAAATATGGGCAAATATAGTGGAAGAGCATGTGCTTTAGAATCAGACCTGGAATTAACTTCTAGCTGTGCCAGTTTATAAGCTGTATGACCTTGGGCAAGTCACTTGATCTCTCAGAATCTGAGTTTGTACATCAGCAAATATGGATACTAATACAGGATTGCTGGGGAAATTTGTAGTGCCATATTTCTAATCTAATTGTCAGCAGAGATCATCTTTTCCTTTTCATGCTGCAACCTCTGGAAAGTTCAGTCCCAAAGGCTCTATTGAGTCCCACTTCCATGGTCATCTCTTCTTCTAAATTACTATTTCTACTAAATCTTTGATCTCTTTCACATCCTGCCTCTTGTGTCTTCCTCTTTTCTCTAACTGTGCCACCCCACAGGAAGCACAGCCCCTTTTTTGTCTGATTTCCCCAAAGCACCACCACTCACTCAAGCCTTTATGCCTAGTAGACAGTAACAGAATATTAACAGACTTTAAAGTAAATATTCAAAATATTGAGGGCTGTTGTCTGCTCCCAACCAACTTTCCTGCTAAAATGGCTTCCTCTCATACCAAAACATGGCAGAGACACAACAAAAAAAGAGAATTTTAGAACAATATCCCTGATGAACATCGATGCAAAAATCCTCAATAAAGTACTGGCAAACCAAATCCAGCAGCACATCAAAAAGTATATCCACCATGATTAAGTGGGCTTCATCCCTGGGATGCAAGGCTGGTTCAACGTACGCAAACCAATAAATGTAATCCAGCATATAAACAGAAACAAAGACAAAAACCACATGATTATCTCGATAGATGCAGAAAAGGCCTTTGACAAAATTCAACAGCCCTTCATGCTAAAAACTCTCAATAAATTAGGTATTGATAGGACGTTATCTCAAAATAATAAGAGCTATTTATGACAAACCCACAGCCAATATCATACTGAATGGGCAAAAACTGGAAGCATTCCCTTTGAAAACTGGCACAAGACAGGGATGCCCTTTCTCACCACTCCTATTCAACATAGTGTTGGAAGTTGTGGCCAGGGCTATCAGGCAGGAGAAAGAAATAAAGGGTATTCAATTAGAAAAGAGGAAGTCAAATTGTCTCTCTTTGCAGAGGACATGATTGCATATTTAGAAAACCCCATCATCTCAGCCCAAAACCTCCTTAAGCTGATAAGCAGCCTCAGCAGTCTCAGGATATAAAATCAATGTGCAAAAATCACAAGCATTCTTATACACCAATAACAGACAAACAGAGAGCCAAATCATGAGTGAACTCCAATTCACAATTGCTTCAAAGAGAATAAAATACCTAGGAATCCAACTTACAAGGGATGTGAAGGACCTCTTCAAGGAGAACTACAAACCACTGCTCAACGGAATAAAAGAGGATACAAACAAATGGAAGAACATTCCATGCTCATGGATAGGAAGAATGAATATCGTGAAAATGGCCATACTGCCCAAGGTAATTTATAGATTCAATGTCATCCCCATCAAGCTACCAATGACTTTCTTCACAGAATTGGAAAAAACTACTTTAAAGTTCATATGGAACCAAAAAAGAGCCCGCATCGCCAAGTCAATCCTAAGCTAAAAGAACAAACCTGGAGGCATCATGCTACCTGACTTCAAATTATACTACAAGGACATAGTAACAAAAACAGCATGGTAGTGGTACCAAAACAGAGATATAGACCAATGGAACAGAACAGAGCCCTCAGAAATAATACCACACATCTACAACCATCTGATCTTTGACAAACCTGACAAAAACAAGAAATGGGGAAACGATTCCCTATTTAATAAAAGGTGCTGGGAAAACTGGCTAGCCATATGTGGAAAGCTGAAACTGGATCCCTTCCTTACACCTTGTACAAAAGTTAATTCAAGATGGATTAAAGACTTAAATGTTAGACCTAAAACCATAAAAATCCTAGAAGAAAACCTAGGCAATACCATTCAGGACATAGGCATGGGCAAGGACTTCATGTCTAAAACACCAAAAGCAATGGCAACAAAAGCCAAAATTGACAAATGGGATCTAATTAAACTAAAGAGCTTCTGCACAGCAAAAGAAACTACCATCAGAGTGAACAGGCAACCTACAGAATGGGAGAAAATTTTTGCAATCTACTCATCTGACAAAGGGCTAATATCCAGAATCTACAAAGAACTCAGACAAATTAACAAGAAAAAGACAAACAACCCCATCAAAAAGTGGGCAAAGGATATGAACAGACACTTCTCAAAAGTAGACATTTATGCAGCCAACAGACACATGAAAAAATGCTCATCATCACTGGCCATCAGAGAAATGCAAATCAAAACCACAGTGAGATACCATCTCACACCAGTTAGAATGGTGATCATTAAAAAGTCAGGAAACAACAGGTGCTGGGGAGGATGTGGAGAAATAGGTGTGCTTTTACACTGTTGGTGGGTCTGCAAACTAGTTCAACCATTGTGGAAGACAGTGTGACAATTCCTCAAGGATCTAGAACTAGAAATACCATTTGACCCAGCCATCCCATTACTGGGTATATACCAAAAGGATTATAAATCATGCTGCTATAAAGGCACATGCACACGTATGTTTATTGCAGCACTATTCATAATAGCAAAGACTTGGAACCAACCCAAATGTCCATCAATCATAGACTGGATTAAGAAAATGTGGCACATATACACTATGGAACACCATGCAGCCATAAAAAATGATGAGTTCATGTCCTTTGTAGGGACATGAATGAAGCTGGAAACCATCATTCTCAGAAAACTATCACAAGAACAAAAAACCAAACACCGCATGTTCTCACTCATAGGTGGGAATTGAACAAAGAGAACACTTGGACAAAGGAAGGGGAACATCACACACGGGGGCCTGTCATGGGGTGGGGGGGGGGAGGGAAAACATTAGGAGATATACCTAATGTAAATGATGAGTTAATGGGTGCAGCACACCAACATAGCACATGTATACATATGTAACAAACCTGCACATTGTGCACATGTACCCTAGAACTTAAAGTATCATAATACTAGAAATAAATAAATAAATAAAATGGCTTCCTCTCATACCCAACATTTTCCTCATATCTCCCCCTCTGCTCCCAAACACCAAAATTTTTGTTGTATTTTTTTCAAAAATCAGTTTAATTACCCCTTATTTTCACTCACAAGGACATTCTTGTGCCCATAGAGACTGTTTCTGAGAAGAATTTGGTGGTCAGCATTTAAAGTAACGTTATTTTCTCTTAGCTACATTCCTAAAATTCCTGGAAGAGCAGACATTCAATTAGTGGTAGTTATTATCATTATGTGTATAGATCCCCAAGGTAATGACCTTGAAATGCTATTCTCACTTGAATATATAAATTCTTTCATGTCTGTTAAAAAGCCATTTCCATTATTTTATGGTTATCCCATACAAATTACCATTCCAGAGACCATGGAGAATAATTCAATGCTTTTGTTTTTTAGAGTGCTGAAAAATAACTCACTATCATTACATTTTTAATTATATCCCAACAAATGGACAGCTTTTTCTTTGTTTTGCTCCTACAATTACTTCTTTTCTTGTGTAAAACATATTCTGCTTTGGATTTGGGAAAATCCCCCATCTGTGCCTCCTCGTAGGCTGCTGACACCATGGCCAGGGTCTACAATGTGACCTAGGACTAGAAACACCACGTTCTACTTGCGGACCTCAAGTATTGGTCAGAAATGGACACATTACCAAAATCCATTGAATCATACCAAATCGGACTTAATTCTAGGATATTAGCAGACATTTTTAGGAAGGTGGACCATCCAAACTGGAGCTCTTATAGACATCTTATTATTGTCATATAGGGGGATAATTTGTCTGAGAATAAAACCAATGCAGCAGAAGACTGCACTGAAAGCTTGAGAGAAATCTGATCCTTGTGACATTTGCATGAACCGTTCGTCAGGCAATATTTGAGGCCAGGCCTATCCCTAAATTTCTGCTGTTGTTATATAACAGAATAAGCTCTCCTTTTTTTTAAGCCACCTTGGATTGAATTTTCTATCCCTTGTAACAGAGAATCCTGTGTGACTGACTCATTTCATACAAACGGATTTAAATAAATTCAAAGAAATACACACAACCATACATATAAAAGTAAACAGAGGCATGGAGGCATACAATTAATAAATGAAAGAAATTTAGACAAAATTATGTGTAAACCAACTGTGCAAAACTGCATGTAATTAGTTTCCAAAGGAGAGGTCCAAATTCAGGACATTCCTAATGGCTAATTAATTAATAGTTGTGAATTGCATAATATCCATGAAATTAAATAAAATCAATTGAATAGAAGGGCCCCAGTGTCCTGGTTCAAGAGGGAAAATCTTTAATAGATCTTCATAGAGGGATATTGTATGCATCATGGAAGGCAAGGTCCTCAGTGATAGACTTACCAAGAATGGAATAGTGAGCTTCTTTTAACTGTTTCTTGTAATGAAGCTCAACAAAAAGCCAAAGTAATGACACCAAGACACAATTTTGTAAGAGCAGTTACATGAAAGACTGAAAGACTGTGGTCTTATTACACAGCTCTCTGACAGCTAAGAGCCCAGAATTAGACTGTCTTTAGGTCAATGGTTCTCAAACTTTTTAGCAGTAGACATTTTTATCCGTATGAAACTGTGTGTGGAGCTGATCTGTTTGACTCCTGACTGGGGAGTCCGGAGAACCCACTCATCAACAGACCTGTCACACCACTTACCCTCTGTCTACCATGGCAGTCCCTGTGGAACACCAGGCCTCTGACAGTTTTTTTAAAGAAAAGAATATATTCTGCACCATAAGACAGGGTGAAAAAAAATTTTACATAAAAAGAATATATTAATGTCAATTCAGAAATAGTCCATAAATTGTATTTTTCCACATTTGAGCTATCCGAATTTCAAAGCAGAAAACTCAATTTCAAATTATCTAACATTGAGGAAGGGCAGGACCTATATGCGTTAGTGATCAACTAAGTGAACAATAGGATTTCATCCTTCAATCCTTTCATACCCCAGGAAAATAAATGAATTCCATCAAGATATGTTCCTGAATATCAGACTATCTATCTCTGAACAGAGATGCATAAAGGTAGTACCTGAGAGGGTAAGCCACAGCTTCCTAAGGAAACAGTTCTGGTTTTATCCTGAGGCAAAGACAAGTAGGCAATAAGGATCCAAGAATTCTGTGTCATAGAGCCTATCTTAAATCACAATATCTTATAAACATTTCAAACAATATAGAACCTCTCATAGCCTTCACAGTGTCCAACTTTGAACAATGTAATTTCTTAGAGAACTCTTAAAAATACATTGGCTGAAAATACATCTTCATGAAAATGAACAATTTGAGAAAACATAATTGAATATAAGCCAATTAAATGTTGGAAGGTATTTACCAAAAATGATCATTTGGGATCTAGAATAGTGAAATGATGTACATTCATCTTTTAAGACAGCTTGATAGCAAAATCAATTATAACTTGAGACAGAAAACTCATGTTATTGATGTAAAGAAAAATATTTATCTTTCGATTCTGAATAGCATGAATCTATTTACTTCAGAAGCAGTTTCAAGTCATTATGATATCAGGAGAACAAAGAAGAAAATATATGCCTATTGTGCACTAGCATATTTTCAATGAGCCTATTCTCAAACCAGTGGTAGGCACCAAGTATCTCATTTTGTCGGGAGGTTTTAGAATGCAGTTTCTTTGTGAATCTCAGTAATGAGGAGTTTATATCACTTTTATATGGCTTAGTCTAGAAGCTGAAAAACTACAGTCCACAGGCCAGATGTCTAAATAAAGATTTTTTGAAACACAACCACACCCATTTGTTTATGTGTTATCCATGCTGCTTTTGTGTTCCAATGTACAATCTGAGTGGCTGCAATAGAGACTTTATGACAGTGAGACTGAAATATTTATTCTATACTCCTTTAAGAAAAACTTTGTCCACTTTGGACTTGGTTAATACCTGCGAACTGCCCTGGATCAAAGGCCAATAAAATATCAAAAAATGTTAAGTACTTTTTTATTCACAAAGTTATGATGTAAAGTCATGGGTGAATATTGTCAATATTAGATGAGTAAAACTTAAAGCCCAGATGTTCATCATGTAGAATATTGGCCCAAGAAGCACACATTTAAAATCAGTTTGGAAGGAAACTAATAGCGTTCAGAAGACATGCCTGGTTAATCAATGGACCTATAATGCAGGGCAAGGTAGAATAATTTTAAAAACTGAACAGTTTTTAAAAACTTTTAAAAACTGAACAGTTTTTAAAAACTTTTAAAAACTGAACAGATTAATCAATGGACTTATCTGGTGAAATAGAGAATACCTTGCTAAGGATTGAATAATGGGCCTATGACATAGAATGAAGCAGATCACTTTTTTAAAACTATTAATAATCTACTGATTATTCTATGAGCCCATCCAGATGGAAAAAATACAGAGCCCGTAGTTTGCAAACAAACCATTTAAAAATCCAGAGAGCTAGAAGTCTTCAAGAGGAATTTTACTTAATTTGAGCTCTTCAATCAGCTATTCCAAGCAAACAACCACTGTTTACATTATTAAAATCTGAAAAACATTTGGAGACTACAAAGTTCAAGCAGTTCTCCTCAAATCAAATTAACCTCCTTTGTTGTACTTTAATGAAGGTTTACCTAATCCATGTGTTTTCCTCAGAGATGTGAGAGCTATCATTCCCAGGAAAACTCAGGACTTGGTGTGAGTAAGAGAAATAAAAGAGAAAATATCTATAGAAGGGCCAAAAAAAGAATAAATGAAAGAGAAAAATAAATGTGCTCCAAATAAGAGGAACAAAACATTTCTTAGCATAAATATTACAGACCACAGTAAAGCCTCTCTCATTTAAACCTGGAGAGAGCAGAATTACCTGCCTGCCATCTGTGCTTGCCAAGCCAGAAACAAAGCTTGCCAATTGGCATGCCTTAACCAGATTCACAAAGCTCAAAACCAACTTTCCATTTGGAGCAGACCCCCATTGAGGAAAAAGATCTGCATAATGGCAGAAGAAATCAACATCAATTACCTATAATAATCAACCTAGACCCTTATAAGTAATTCTAAAATGAATTAATAAGAAGCTGCTCAGCATTTGAGAAGTATCAACAATGTGAAAGAAAACTGAAAAGATCAGAAGAATGAATAATTTTGAGTAAAACAAGATTATTTGGGGGAATGGAAGACAACTTTTTTAAAAATCTAAATTCGATAAATTGATTAATGACAATTATGATACCCAGAAAACCAGACTGCCATCTATAAAACAAAAATTATATCAATAAAAGAACACAAAAAAGATTTTATAAAGTAAAAATATGATTGGAAAAAAATCAATAGAAATGTTGGATAAATAGTTATGGTACTCTCCTAACCTTTTAGCAAAAAAGACAAAAAGATTTTAAAAAAATAGAGAAATGTCTTATAAGATGAGTTAAAACAGAAGAAACTACAGGAAAAAAAATAGGAGGGAAGTAATAATCAAAGATGTAGTCGAAGAAAATATTTTAGAGCTGAAGAAAATTACTAGAATAAATGGTATCAGAAAGATAATTGAAAAAGCCTTATACCTAGACACATTCTAGTAAAATATAAAAACAAGGATACAGACAAAATTCTAGAAGCATCCAGAAAGAGAAAACAAAAATAACAAATAATCATATTGCTATTACATATTTCATTCAAAATAGTGCATGTTGAAAAGCAATGGAGCAATGTCTTCAAAGTTCCAAGGGGGAGAAATCAATATGACTCTAGAACTCTTCACGTAACTAAACTACTAATAACATGTGACCACAAAATAAATGCATTTTAGACATGCAAAAACTTTGAAACTTTTTCACAGATATATTTTATGTAAAAAAAAAATCACTACAGGAGATAATTGAACAGTGTTCAAGTCAGTGACTCAAAAACACTGACAGCTGAATGTATCATACACACAAAAAAGGGAACCTAGTAGGAAAATGACAAAATGTTGAAGCCACAGGAACACATTTCCTTTTCTATGGGTGACAACTTACTGCTTGATTGTTCACTAAATAATAGGTCCTCAGAGTTTAAAAGTAACCTAAAGACAAAATAGGATTCTTAACTATATTTATAATATTGAATAAAAACATTAAAGCACTTGAAAATTTGTAAATAAAAATATTGAAATTTTTCTCACTTTACATAGACAAAATCAAAAGATAATTATCTGAAGTTAATTAAGAAATGGATTTAAGTATAATATTTAAAGTTATAAATGTACAAGAATAAAGAGTAGTATAATTATTAAAAATTATGAGTAGGGAGAAAGGTATAAGGGTGACAGGATTAAGTTAATGTTTTCTTTTTATACTGGGGTGTAAACAGATGTTGTTTAAAGTTGCTAAATACAGAAAGAGACATAAGATTTAAACAAGAAGAATTAACAGAAACTGTGAAAAGTGGTTATATCTAAAAAGTGGGACTACAGTTGAGTAATATCATAGGAGATTTTTCATTTCATACTTTTTTGCACTGTTTCAAATTTTTCCATGGGCATATATTACTATAACAACATTAGCAATAATAAAGATAATTATGGGAAATGCTAACCAGGATATGGGTTTCCAGCACCTCACTCACCATATTCACCTATAAGAAACACAACCCCAGAATCTACAGTTATTCTAGCACCTCATTCACCATATTCATCTATAAGAAACACAACCCCAGGATGTACATTTACTCCCAGTTCTGAGCATCAACACAAGTCTTACCTCAAGCTTTTATTTGATATTTTTAGAAGAAACAATACTCTTAAAATTTAAATATGATAAGAACTCAGGTGGGAACTCCTGAGTTCCCTCTTTCTTGTTGCACCAGTAATTTTAGCAATGTAGTTTTTCACTTACCATCATTCTTTATCAAGTCAAAAATTAGAATTTGTGAAGTGGAAAAAAGTTCCTCTCTTGAGACATTCAGTAGATCCTGGGACACCAAATAATTATCATAAAAATTCAAAAATCTCTCCAACCATTTTGTTCTTCTTAACCCTTTTATCCAATCAGGAGTACAAATAGGCCGCAGGTTGAGGGTAATATGAGAGGAAATTGATCACTTTCTGCCTAGTCCAAAGACTCCTTCCTAAGTATGGCAGTAAGCAGAGAAGAGATAATTATAGTTGTTTCTCAGATCACCCCTAGGGCTCCATTATGTGCTTTCATTCAGCAGGATCTGTTTCTTCTAGTGAAGAATTATTCATTCAGATTAATTCAACTTACAAAGGAGAAGAGTTCCAGAGACACAATCCTCTCCTCTGCAATGTGTTCCAGGAGTGGTCCGTGGAGCACGCCCCAATCCGGTCATTTCAATGTCCAGAGATAATTACCTCCACCATGGAGAACCCACAATAAATAACAGTTCAGATTATTGGTATCAAGCCAGACATCCAGTAGCCTATGTAAAACAAGTGGAACTTCTCCAGGAAAGGCTTTTGGATTTTCCTATGAGACCAAACACCAAGAAGTCCTGAGAATAAACAGGATGGCGGTGGTTCGCTTACCTTTGTTTACCTTTGTTATTTTGCCCTTAAAACAAAAGTTTTGAAATCATGGGGATAAAAATATTGCTATTAACATTGAGATAATATTAAAACCTATCAGGAAAGCTAGTTCATCTAGATCTTTATTTTTGAAACCCCAATGAACCACATTTTTAAAAGGAATCTTAAGAAGTGGCAATTTTCAAAAAATCTAATCATAAGAATACAGTTTTTCTTCTTAAGATTTGGTGGCTCAAACACTGCAGCTGTTGTTGAGTGATCTGGCCCAAATAAAAAGGCTCCCCAAACTCATCAAACCCCACATGGGATAATCTATTGACTTTTTATGTCATAGTACCCAAACTGGAGTGTCTCATGGTGATTTGTACAGACTCCAGAAGAAAAATCTTCATGCAGGAAAAAAGGAGTCAAGAAATGAATGGAATTCAGGTAACAGTTACGCACAATAAATATAATTAGTATATGTATCTAATTGTACTCTAAAGAACTGTGCATTTATGTATACATATGTAACAAACCTGCACGTTGTGCACATGTACCCTAAAACTTAAAGTATAATAATAATAAAATAAAAATAAAAAAAAGAACTGTGCATTCACTGTATGTAAAGTTTACCTCAATTTAAGAAAAAAAGAAAGAAAATGAGTTACCCTGAAGTTCTAATCCTCTGAGAAGGTGAAGGTATAGAAAGTATTGCTTTATTTGCAGGCTGTTCTTACTTTGCACAGTTCCAATATGCATGAATTTCAATTATCACAGGTTAGTTAAATAACAACAGTTTCCCAACAACACAGTTTAAATTTCACTTACCACAATCACAGTCTATTAACAGAACAATTGCATAAAGCAGAAACTGCTGCTAACTTGTCAGTTCACAAATCACTATGTAAATAACAGATGCACTGATAATCGGTGAACAATCACATCATTTGCTTCAAAATCTGTTGGTGACAGGCCAGTGGTATCTGAGGTTCAGTTCACACAGTGTGTAGTTGTGTTGCCTCCTGGTCGGCTGGAAATAAACCGATGTCACATTTCATGAAAATAGATACTCAAAAGAAAGAATTGGCCAACAAAGATGAAAGTGCAATGAAGAAACTAAAAGCGATAACAATATAAGTAAAATTTAAATCAAACATGCACAGCACAGAAGACATAGCTGACTGGGAATATTGACACCGCAGCCATTCAAGAGAGTCTAGATATGCAGCCAGTGGAATTTAGCTAAGGTGAACAACTTACCAATATAAATAAGCAAAGCATTTGTGACAAAAAAGAAAAGAGGAAGATGTCATAGAGGAAGTGATGCCAGGAAAAATCTTCACATTAAAGGACATCTCAGAAATATTTCACATTAAAAGCACAAAAGATAAACTGCTGGAAGCTAATCCAAACTTTGGAAAGAGTGTGACAATTCACCACGCAATAGAAAAGATATTCATTCTACATTTTAAGTTATATGAGAAGGCAAGCATGTTCAAATTATTTTTGATACTTTTTTTTTACAAATAAATAATGGAATTCAATTATCAATGTTTCTAATGTTTTAAATTATGGTGCTATAAGTAAATATTAATTTAGCCAGCTTTTTTTTCATTTTGCTATATATTTCCAACCTACAGTAACAGAGTTTTAGTGTTTTAACATTTTTAAGAATTGAGGACAATTGTAATTTTTCTCATTAGTTATTAAGATTGCTTTGCATAGATTCAGTTTGCATGGTCTTTTTATTATTATTATTATTTTTGTCCCACACACTATGCAAAGACTGTCTCCTAAGACTGGATTTTTAGTGAACACTGAAAAGCCATTTTAGAGGGGAACAGGTTTCATTGAGAAAAGAACCTCTTGATCATTTGAACCCTCTAAATGAATCATGTGGGAGTCTAGTAGAAACGTTTATGAAGCTGGGAGAAGCTATACCACGGCCTTCAGTCTGAATCAGATTACCTTTTACATTGCCTAATCTTTCCTTTGGAAAACAGTACGAAGTATTAAAGAAGCCCAGTCTCAGCTGCCTCCCTTGGCCCCAAAAGCTTTCTCAGTGAGTAGCAGAGCACTGGCTCAAAGGGCAAAAGGATATTGTCTCTTTTCAGTTAGTACCGTCCCTTCTCCCATCAATAACTATTAATGCCTTCTTTTTGTATTCTCATGGTAGCAGTTCTAACATCTATCCCAGGCCTTATCTCCTTCTAATCCTCATCTCCAGTGAGACAGAGGGTTCCATCTGAATAAGAAAGATTACTATCTACCAATGGGAGTCAACTAGGTTTTATTTCCCGTAATCTAGAACTTGTTTTTAAGATGGCTCTTACAGCAGCACCTATAGATTTTCCCCCAAGAATGCCTCAGGAAGCTCAACATTGCTTAAGGACATATTTGGCCAAAACAATATTAGGAGGGTCTTTCCTCACATATCATCTCCTTTTGCCCTTCCACTCTTGTCATTCATACAACTTGGATTCTACTTAACCCAAGTCCAAATGTTTAATTCAAGTGGACACAGATCTGCTTTTTAAAATGTCTTTAAATTTACTGGATCTCTTTTACAAGCCCTATCGGTTGAGAAATGTATGTGATGCAGGGGTAGGGGGACAGTCAATAACTTAAAACTTCCTTCGGGTAAGTGCTCACTCTTCCCATGTAAAGCTAAAAGATTTCTGTTTCCCTCTTCTGCTCCCCTATAAACCAGTGTTTGAGTGTATGGGGGGACATGGTTTAAATGACCTGGTCTGGGCAGAGTTACAGCGTCTGAAACTGCATTTGGTGTCTTTCTGCTGTCACGTGGGTCCTCACTGTCAATTTCTACTTTGATGCTGTTGAATCAGATGTGTACTGTAGTTCTCTCTGTCTCTCTCTCTCTCTCTCTCTCCTTTTTCCTCTCCTTTGCTCCCTTCCTGCTCTTTTCTCTAGCTGTCTAATTTGAAATCTCTCTCTTTTTCTCTCAGGTACTATGATCATCCCTAATTATTTCGTCCACTTCAACTCTCCCCAGCTCTGAACGTTCCTTAATTCCTGGATGTGACTTCCAATTAATTTTGACCCAGGCAGTATATTCTACAATGCTTGACTTCAGGGCTACACTTTCCAGAAAGACCTCAAATCAGACTTTCAGCTAACTCCCTTGTGGAGAAGGTAGGTCCCAAACAAAACGCATGAGAACCAAAGTGGCCAAGATCTAATCTCTGAAACTCTGCTATCCAATCAGGATGTCAAGTATGCTCTACTGAAGCCATCCCCTCTGCTCTCCATATTCCCTGGTCTTATCCAGCACATACCTCCCTCAGGGTCTTCAACCCAGAAAAGAGAAACCAGAGCCCTGCCTCCCTTCAACACTGCTGTTTGGCATATCCCTGCACCACGTTGGAAATGCTCTGCTCAGGGCTTCTTCTAGGCTCTAGTGCCTAGAGTCTCGCAGGCCCACCCACCTGGGGAATCAGGTCACTTGCCGCTAGCACTGATGTTTTCTACATGCATGTGTCAACCCGAACGTTTCTAAACTGTCACTCTCATATCAAGTGTTGGAATTGATTAAAACCCTAGTGCCTGCTCTGCTCTCTCCTATCTGACTCCCTTTTACTTCTCTTCATTTCTCAGGTTAGGCTCAGCTTATTCTTCCACCAAAGCATCCATCTGCTAGGAGAGCAGGTTCCTTAGCCTAGAATTGCTAAAGGAAATATTTTCTCTACACTCAGGGTAGAAAATAAATGCTCACTGACTACCAGCTTTAGTTCTTAGTATGCTAATGCAATCTCTACACAGAACCTAGATTTTAAGGCAGTCTTGCTGCAAATCCTCTTTTAGATACTAGCTGGTAACTATTAATGTCTTCTCTTTGTATTCTCATGATAGCAGTCCTAAACTCCATCCCAGGCCCTATCTCCTCCTTATCCTCATCTCCAGTAAGATGGAGAGTTCCATCTGAATAAGAAGATTAAGCCATGAAAATGCAAAAGAGAAAGGGATATTAATGTACTTCAAATATTATTCCTCTTAATTAAAATAGGTGAGACAATGAGAAACATCTCCATGCCAGGAGTGCGCAAGAGCTGTCTGCAAAAAGATGTCTGTGGCCCCGGAAAGAGTTGCAGCCCAGTAAATCTCCTGAGAGGATCATGGCTTTTATAACACTATAAAAAAGGAGAATTCCACTGAGGGCAGCAAAAGGGCAGTAAAAAAAAGAGTTCAAGGTGATTGTTATGATCCCCTTTTAAGGATGTTTATCTCTGCTGCTTCCACTTTGCCTATCAACTATTACATAAGCAAATCAAGAGAGAGACTACTTAAAATATTTAAAATTTTTGAAATTAAAATTAAAGTGCAAGAGTTACACACATATAAAAAACCAATAGAGGCTAAAAAGTAAATTTAAAACTCAAAAAAAAATCAAAAATTTAAAAGGAGAAAACAGAAATTTGCAGAAATAATTTGTCATGCTGGGCTATATCACCTAAATTCCCCCTTCAAAAACTAAAGACTTTCTCCCCCACCTCCAGTGAAGGTTTTTTGCTGACTTCTCAGGTAATTGTCCCCATGAACAGAGCCAATTCACCCTGAGACAGCTGTATTCACTGTGGGGACATAAATCATTGTGGGAAATAAAGGCCAGACCCTGTTATGCCAACTGGAGAAAGCCCTAATCAACCATTCTAGTTTCAGAGCTCCCAAGAGTACGACAAGTTCTTGATTAGATGCATGAGCTTCAGGCAATGTGATATTCAGGGATCCTTTAATACAATTTGTAGGAGTACAGTGGTCTATGACATTTTGGAAAATGCCCATTAAGAAAATAACAAATTATCACATCCCACGCTGTCCAGCACAAAGAAGAAAGTACTATGCAAGGTAAAACTATTTATGTTTTAGAGGCAACATATTGCACCTGAGAATACTGCTCCCAATACCAGGTAGCACAGAAGGCTACCAGCTTTGAGAGAGACCTAGAGCAGGGGAGGATTCTATTTTGAGCAGGTTTTAGGCTCAAGTGCTAGCAGCCCTGATGTGTGAGCCATACAATGCATCCATAGCAGCCATATCCTATGATGCTAGAGGTATCCATTTTGGGGAAGGATACTGTGTGGAGTTTATGACAAGCTTCAACGGGAGAATTACAACCCAGACCTCCAGGGATCTGGAGCAAGGACATTCCATTTTCAGCAGAGAATGATGGATTACAGCAATCCATTGTAAAATGCAAGTGGTATAACGGAGATTAAGCATAAGCAGAAGTGAAGAGACAAAGCAGGCTGAACGAGCAGGTAACCTGGACCCCCATGTGTCCCATTGTTGCACCTGTGCCCCTTCCCTTACTAATACATATGGTTACATTTGTGGAGAGAAACAAAAATCAAGAAGAAAAAATAAAAAGTTCCGTTCATGAATAGGTCAGCTAGGTATTTGGGTTTGTTAAAGTGAACTAAAAATGGCCTGAGAAGGACTCCATACTTCTATATTTGAGTCCTTGTGGATGAACTGTAACCTAACTTAATAGGTAGACAAGATTGAAAACCTAACTTAGGAGTATATGCCTGTAATAATAGTCAGTCTTGGCCAATTCCAGTAGCCATGTTTCAACTACTCATACACCGTTGAGTGTTCAAACTGTATTCAAATAAGGCAAATGTCAACCTGCAACCAAGACAGTTGTTTCTCTATCTCACTTCCAATTTCTGCACACCATGCCTCTTATTTTGTTTATAAATTTGTTCTGACCACCAGGCATCCCTGGAATCTTTATGAATCTGCTGATTCTGAGGGCTCCCTGATTCACAAATGATTCATTGCTCAATTAAACTCCTTTAAATTTAATTCAGCTAAAGTTTTTCTTTTAACAGAAGATTGTTTGGAAAGCTAAGTCTTCCCTCTGTCATTAAGTAAATGTTTTCCTTTTTCAACAATTTTCAGTCATCATTTTGGCTAAATGAATGACTTATGGTTACCTGGAATTCTACTTCATAATATCAAGTGTTTTAAACTTTTAATATATTTGATAGGCTTCCCAAAATCCAATTTCAGCTTCCAAATTATCTTTTCCTTTTTTTCATCTCTTTATAGAAAACATAATTTATATGAAAGGGCTTTACAAATGAGTACATTTTTTATAATCTTTTTTTATTTCAATAGGCTTTTGTTGAATAGGTGGTGTTTGGCTACAGGAATAAGTTCTTTAGTGTAATTTCTGAGATTGAGGGGCACCCATCACCTGAGCAGTGTACGCTGTACCCAATATATAGTATTTTATCCCTCACCCCATTCCACCCTTTCCCTTGAGTCCCCAAAGTCCATTGTATCATCCTTATGCCTTTGCATCCTCATAGTTTAGCTCCCACTTATGAGTGAAAACATACGATGTTTGGTTTTCCATTCCTGAGTTACTTCACTTAGAATAATGGTCTCCAATTCCATTGAGGTTGCTGCAAATGTCATTATTTTGTTCCTTTGTATGGCTGAGTAGTATTCAATGGTATATACATATATATATATATATATATATACACACACATTTTTTTATCCACAAGTTGATTAATAGGCATTTGGGCTGGTTTCATATTTTTGCAATTGCAAATTGTGCTACTATAACGAATGTGCAAGTATCTTTTTCGTATAACGACTTCTTTTCCTCTGGATAAATACTCAGGAGTGGGATTGCTGGATCAAATGGTAGAGCTACTTTTAGTTCTTTAAGGAATTTCCATACTGTCTTCAACAGAGCTTGTACTAGTTTACATTCCCACCGACAGTGTAAAAGTGTTCCCTTTTCACCACATCCAGGCCAACACCAATTATATTTTTTATTTTTTGATAATGGCCATTCTTGAGAAGTAAGGTGGTACTGTATTGTGGTTTTGATTTGCATTTCCCTACTAATTAGTGATGTTCAGCATTTTTCCATATGCTTCTTGGCCATTTATGTATCTTCTTTTGAGAATTGTCTATTCATGTCCTTAGCCTACTTTTTGATGGAATTTTTTTTTTTTGCTAATTTGTTTGAATTCCTTGCAGATTCTGAACATTTGTCCTTTGTCAGATGTATAGATTGCAAACGTTTTCTCCCACTTTATGGTTTGTCTGTTTACTGATTGTTGTCTGTCTGTCGATTATTTGTTTTGCTGTGCAGAAGCTTTTTAATTTAATTAAGTCCCATCTATTTACCTTTGTTTAGTTGCATTTGCTTTTGGGTTCTTGGTCATGAAGTCTTTGCCTAAGCCATTGTCTAAAAGGGTTCTTCCAATGTTGTCTTCTAGAATTCTTATGGTTTCAGTTCTTAAATTTAAGCCTTTGATCCATCTTGTTGATTTTTGTATAAGGTGAGAAATGAGAATCCAGTTTCATTCTTCTACATGTGGCTTGCCAATTATCCCAGCACCATTTATTGAATATGGTATTCTTTCCCCACTTTACGTTTTTGTTTGGTTTGTCAAAGATCAGTTGACCATAAGTATTTGGCTTTATTTCCGGGTTCTCTATTCTTGTTCCATTGGTCTATATGCCTATTTTCATACCAGTACCATGCTGTCTTGGTGGCTAGAGAAAGTGACCAAAAAGGAGGAATTGCTAAAGTGAACTAAAAATGGCCTGAGAAGGACTCCATATTTCTTTATTTGAGTCCTTGTGGATGAACTGTAATCTAACTTAATAGGTAGACAAGCTTAAAAACCTGACTTAGGAGCAAGCCCCTCTAACAAAAACAGAGTCTTTGCCAATCCCAGCGGCCATACCTCAACCACTCATACATTGCTGAGTGTTCAAACTGTGTTCAAATAAGGCAAACACCAACCTGTAACCAATACAGCTGTTTCTGTACCTCACTTCCAATTTTCTGTGTGCCACTTCCCTTTTCCTGTTTATAAATTTGCTCTGACCATGAGGTATCCCTGGAGTCTCTCTGAATCTGCTGTGATTCTGAGGGCTGCCAAATTCGTGAATCGTTCATTACTCAATTAAACTCCTTTAAATTTAATTCAACTGAAGTTTTTCCTTTAACAGGTTCAAGCTGAAAATGGACAGCAGCTGTCCTATATGCCTACTTGAACTTTAAAGTGCCCCTGAAGGACAGTGCTGAGAAGGAATCCTCCAACTAGGCCTATTTTCAGGTGGTGCATTTGGTGAACTACTTTGAGTGGAAGGAAAAGTGGCCTGAAGTTAGCTCAGCATTTCTAAGAATGTATGGGCAGTTGCAAATGCCTCAACTGATTGGTCAGGTGCCTAGAAATAAGTCTATCAGAATATCATGGACTAGGAAAACTATAGTAGAGGTATATGATGAACCAAACAGGAGACATAAAGTGGGAAGATCTAAATATTACACGTTAACATCCCCTAGAGAATATCCACCATAAAAGAGCCACCAAAAAGCCAAATGGACACAAAGACTCAGCAAATTGACATCAGTCAGCCTCTGACACAAGGGGTGTATGAATGGAGCAGCTGTAGAGGCAGAGATGGATGCTATTAATAGGCCCAAGATCATGGGCTCCCACTTATCAAGGCTAATCTAGATTTTGCAGCTGCTGCATGTCTAGCCTGCCAGTAATAGATGCCGAGGCAGAGGCCCAACCACACACTGAAAAGAACAACTAGTCACAGGGTATCAGGTTGACTCTATTGGAGCCCTTCTGTCCTGGAAGGTATTTTATCGGGAATTGCCATATATTCTGGATATGGCTCAGTCTTTCTTTCCTGCAGAGCCTCAACTGAGGGCTTTGAGAGTGTTTGTTTCATCAACACAGCATCTCATATAACATCACATCAGAGCAAGGAACCCACTTGTCATCAAAGGACACATGACATGGTATCCCCTGTACCTATCCCATGCTACCCCTCCTAGAAACTAGCTGCTGGACTAGTAGAGCAATGAAATAGCCCATTAAAGACTCAGCTGAGGCACCAACAGATATGATATCCAGTAAGGACCGTGTCATCCTCCAGGACACATTATAGACACTAAAACAATAACCATTATGTGGTGCTCTATCTCTATTAAGAATATATGGGTCTTGGAAGCAAGGGTTAGAAGCAGGAGTGATCATGCTTACCATCACTCCCAGTGGCCACTCAGGGAATTTGTGCTTCCTTTCATCTTAACCCTGAGCTCCATGCATTTAGAGCTTCTGGTTCCCAAAGAGATACACCTCCATGAGGGACACAGGAAGAGAATTTTAAGCTGCTGCTGCCATCTCATTTCAGTCCCCTTGAGTCAAGGGGACAGCAAGCAAGAAGACTTGCCATCTTGGCAGAGGCAGTTGACTCCACAGGCATAGTAACCAGGTGCTAGCATCCCTAAGAGAAAGAGTCTGTGCCCTTCATGAGGTCAACCAATAAACCACCCATCATAAAAGTGGAAGGTTAGCAAAATCTAGATCTAGATCAGTTCATAAAGGAAGGAAATAAGTATCGGCTGTGGACTCAAGACCACATGTCTCAACAGGGCCACTACCTTTTCTTCCAAGTTTTTTATAGTTTCTCCCAAGAAAAGAGACTATTAAACTCCCAGAGGAGCTGCTTTGAGAATGTAAATGAGTCTAGTAGATACAACAGTACTGGGGTATACAACCTTGAGTACTGTGTTATGAGCCAATCAGATCCCGCACTGAGGACTAGAGGGCTTGTTCCCCTAGCTTTGGGAATGCTTGTTGATGAACAGCTCCTAGCTGTCAGCCTTCTAGAAGGAACTGCCCCAGTTGAAGAGAGAC